>NC_000006.12:47029696-47332727 GCF_000001405.40 Homo sapiens | reverse complement strand
TGCTTGTTTTTGTCAGGTTTGTCAAAGATCAGATGGTTGTAGATGTGTGGTGTTATTTCTGAGGCCTCTGTTCTGTTCCATTGGTCTATATATCTGTTTTGGTACCAGTACCATGCTGTTTTGGTTACTATACCCTTGTAGTATAGTTTGAAGTCAGGTAGCGTGATTTCTCCAGCTTTGTTCTTTTGACTTAGGATTGTCTTGGCAATGTGGGCTCTTTTTTGGTTCCATATGAACTTTAAAGCAGTTTTTTCCAGTTCTGTGAAGAAAGTCATTGGTAGCTTGATGGGGATGGCATTGAATCGATAAATTACCTTGGGCAGTAGGGCCATTTTCATGATATTGATTCTTCCTATCCATGAACATGGAATGTTCTTCCATTTATTTGTGTCCTCTTTTATTTTGTTGAGCAGTGTTTGTAGTTCTCCCTGAAGAGGTCCTTCACATCCCTTGTAAGTTGGATTCCTAGGTATTTTATTTTCTTTGTAGCAATTGTGAATGGGAGTTCACTCATGATTTGGCTCTCTGTTTGTCTGTTATTGGTGTATAGGAATGCTTGTGATTTTTGCACATTGATTTTGTTTCCTGAGACTTTGCTGAAGTTGCTTATCAGCTTAAGGAGATTTGGGGCTGAGATGATAGGGTTTTCTAAATATACAATCATGTCATCTGCAAACAGGGACAATTTGACTTCCTCTTTTCCTAATTGAATACCCTTTATTTCTTTCTCTTGCCTGAGTGCCCTGGCCAGAACTTCCAACACTATGTTGAATAGGAGTGGCAAAAGAGAGCATCCTTGTCTTGTGCCAGTTTTCAAAGGGAATGCTTCCAGTTTTTGCCCATTCAGTATGATATTGGCTGTGGGTTTGTGATAAATAGCTCTTACTATTTTGAGATACGTTCCATCAATACCTAGTTTATTGAGAGTTTTTAGCATGAAAGGTTGTTGGAATTTGTTGAAGGCCTTTTCTGCATCTATTGAGATAATCATGTGGTTTTTGTTGTTGGTTCTGTTTATGTGATGGATTATGTTTATTGATTTGCCTATGTTGAACCAGGCTTGCATCCCAGGAATAAAGCTGACTTGATTGTGATGGATAAGCTTTTTGATGTGCTGCTGGATTTGGTTTGCCAGTATTTTACTGAGGATTTTCACATCAATGTTCATCAGGGATATTGGTCTAAAATTCTCTTTTTTTGTTGTGTCTCTGCCAGGCTTTGGTATCAGGATGATGCTGGCCTCATAAAATGAGTTAGGGAGGATTCCCTCTTTTTCTATTGATTGGAATAGTTTCAGAAGGAATGTTACCAGCTCCTCTTTGTACCTCTGGTAGAATTCGGCTGTGAATCTGTCTCGTCCTGGACTTTTTTTGGTTGGTAGGCTATTAATTACTGCCTCAATTTCAGAGCCTGTTATTGGTCTATTCAGAGATTCAATTTCTCCCTGGTTTAGTCTTGCGAGGGTGTACGTGTCCAGGAATTTATCCATTTCTTCTAGATTTTCTAATTTATTTGCGTAGAGGTGTTTATAGTATTCTCTGATGGTAGTTTGTATTTCTGTGGGATCGGTGGTGATATCCCCTTTATCATTTTTTATTGCATCTATTTGATCCTTCTCTCTTTTTTATTAGTCTTGCTAGTGGTGTATCAATTTTATTGATCTTTTCAAAAAACCAGCTCCTGGATTCATGGATTTTTGACGGATTTTTTTGTTTCTCTATCTCTTTCAGTTCTGCTCTGATCTTAGTTATTCCTTGCCTTCTGCTAGTTTTTGAATTTGTTTGCCCTTGCTTCTCTAGTTCTTTTAATTGTGATGTTAGGGTGTTGATTTTAGATCTTTCCTGCTTTCTCATGTGGTCATTTAGTACTATAAATTTCCCTCTACACACTGCTTCAAATGTGTCCCAGAGATTTTGGTACGTTGTGTCTTTGTTCTCATTGGTTTCAAAGAACATCTTTATTTCTGCCTTCATTTTGTTATTTACCTAGTAGTCATTCAGGAGCAGGTTGTTCAGTTTCCATGTAGTTGTGTGGTTTTGAGTGAGTTTCTTAATCCTGAGGTCTAATTTGATTGCACTGTGGTCTGAGAGACAGTTTGTTGTGATTTCTGTTCTTTTATATTTGCTGAGGAGTGCTTTACTTCCAATTATGTGGTCAATTTTAGAATAAGTGCAACGTGGTGCTGAGAAGAATGTATATTCTGTTGATTTGGGGTGGAGAGTTCTGTAGATGTCTATTAGTTCTGCTTGTTGCAGAACTGAGTTCAAGCCCTGGATATCCTTGTTAACCTTCTGTCTTATTGATCTGTCTAATATTGACAGTGGGATGTTATAGTCTCCCATTATTATTGTGTGGGAGTCCAAGTCTCTTTGTAGGTCTGTAAGGACTTGCTTTATGAATCTGGGTGGTCCTTTATTGGGTGTATGTATATTTAGGATATTTGGCTCTTCTTGTTGAATTGATCCCTTTATCATTATGTAATGGCCTTCTTTGTCTCTTTTGATCTTTGTTGGTTTAAAGTCTGTTTTATCAGACACTAGGACAGCAACCTCTGTTTTTCTTTTTGCTTTCCATTTGCTTGGTAGATCTTCCTCCATCCCCTTATTTTGAGCCTATGTGTGTGTCTGCAAGTGAGATAGGTCTCCCGAATACAGCACAACAATGGGTCTTGACTCTTTATCCAATTTGCCAGTCTGTGTCTTTTAATTGGGGCATTTAGCCCATTTCCATTTAAGGTTAATATTGTTATTGTGAATTTGATCCATCATTGTGATGTTAACTGGTTATTTTGCCCATTAATTGATGCAGTTTCTTCATAGGATCAATGGTCTTCGCAATTTGGCGCGTTTTTGCAGTGGCTGGTTGTTTCTTTTCATGTTTAGTGCTTCCTTCAGGAGCTCTTGTAAGGCAGGCCTGGTGGTGACAAAATCTCTCAGCATTTGCTTGTCTGTAAAGGATTTTATTTCTCCTTCACTTATGAAGCTTAATTTGGCTGGATAGGAAATTCTGGGTTGAAAATTCTTTTCTTTAATAATGTTGAATAAGAATGTTGAATATTGGCCCCCACTCTCTTCTGGCTTGTAGGGTTTCTACCAAGAGATCCGCTGTTAGTCTGATGGGCTTCCCTTTGTTGGTAACCTGACCTTTCTCTCTGGCTGTGCTTAACATTTTTCCTTCATTTCAACCTTGATGAATCTGACAATTATGTGCCTTGGGGTTGCTCTTCTTGAGGAGTATCTTTCTGGTCTCTGTATTTCCTGAATTTGAGTGTTGGCCTGCCTTGCTAGGTTGAAGAAGTTCTCCTGGATAATATCCTGAAGAGTATTTTCCAACTTGGTTCCATTCTCCCCATCACTTTCAGGTACACCAATCAAACGTAGATTTGGTCTTTTCACATAGTCCCATATTTCTTGGAGACTTTGCTCATTTCTTTTTACTCTTTTTTCTCTAACCTTGTCATCTCGCTTTATTTCATTAATTTGATCTTCAATCACCGATGGCCTTTCTTCCACTTGATCGAATTGGCTATTAAAGCTTGTGCATGCATCACGAAGTTCTCATGCCATGGTTTTCAGCTCCATCAGGTCATTTAAGGTCTTCTCTACACTGTTTATTCTAGATAGCCATTCGTCTAACCTTTTTTCAAGGTTTTTAGCTTCCTTGTGATGGTTCAAACATGCTCCTTTAGCTTGGAGAAGTTTGTTATTACCTACCTTCTGAAGCCTACTTCTGTCAACTCGTCAAAGTCATTCTCTGTCCTGCTTTATTCCATTGCTGGCGAGGAGCTTTGATCCTTTGGAGGAGAAGAGGCACTCTGGTTTTTAGAATTTTCAGCTTTTCTGCTCTGGTTTCTCCCCATCTTTGTGGTTTTACCTACCTTTGGTCTTTCATGTTGGTGACCTACAGATGTGGTTTTGGTGTAGATTTCCTTTTTGTTGATGTTGATGCTATTCCATTTTGTTTTTTAGTTTTCCTTCTAACAGTCATGTCCCTCAGCTTCAGGTCTGTTGGAGTTTGCTGGAGGTCCACTCCAGACCCTATTTGCCTTGGTATCAGCAGTGGAGGTTGCAGAACGGCAAATATTGCAGAACAGCAAATACTGCTGCCTGATCCTTCTGCTGGAAGCTTCAGCCCAGAGGGGCACCTGCCTATATGAGGTGTCTGTTGGCCCCTACTGGGAGTTGTCTCCCAGTTAGGCTACACGGGGTTCAGGGACCCACTTGAGTAGGCAGTCTGTCCTTTCTCAGAGCTCAAACAGCATGCTGGGAGAACCACTGCTCTCTTCAGAGCTGTCAGACAGGGACGTTTAAGTTTGCAGAAGTGGTCTGCTGCCTTTTGTTCAGCTATGCCCTGCCCATTGAGGTGGAGTCTATAGAGGCAGTAGGCCTTGCTTAGCCACAGTGCCTCCACCCAGTTCGAGCTTCCCAGCCACTTTGTTTACCTACTCAAGCTTCAGCAATGACAGACACCTCTCCCCAAGCCAGGCTGCTGCCTCACAGTTTGATCTCAGACTGCTGCACTAGCAGTGAGCAAGGCTTCATGGGCATGGGACCCACCGAGTCAGGCATGGGGGAGAATCTCCTTTTCTGCCGGTTGCTAAGACCTTGGGAAAAGTGCAGTGTTTGGGCAGAATTGTCCCATTTTTCCAGGTACAGTCTGTCACAGCTTTCCTTGGCTAGGAAAGGGAAATCCCCTGACCCCTTGTGCTTCCCGGGTGAGTTGATGCCCTGCCCTGATTCAGCTTGCCCTCAGTGGGCTGCACCCACTGTCCAATCAGTCCCAATGAGATGAACCAGTTACCTCAGTTGGAAATGCAGAAATCACCATCTTCTGTGTCGATCATGCTGGGAGCTGCAGACAAGAGCTGTTCCTATTCGGCCATCTTGGGACCAATTGACCCACTCTGGTGTATTTTTAAAAAACAGTATAAGGCCAGGCACAGTGGCTCATACTTGTAATCCCAGTACTTTGGGAGATCGAGGCAGAAGGATCACTTGAGGCCAGGAGTTCAAGACCAGCCTGGGCAACATAGGGAGTCTGCATCTCTGCAAAAAATTTTAAAAATTAGCTGAGCATGGTGGCTCACGCCTGTGGTCTCACCTACTGTGGAGGCTGAAGTGGGAGTATTGCTTGGGCCCAGGAGTTTGAGGCTGAAATGAGCTGTGATTGAGCCACTGCACTCCAGCGTGGGCAGCAGAGCAAGACCCTGACTCAAAACAAAAACAAAAACAAACAAAGAAATGAAGGGTACAAATTTGCCAGCTAGGCAGACCTGGGTTCAAGTTTTTTTCCTTTTAAAAATTTATTTATTTATTTGTAGAGGCAGGGTCTCAATATGTTGACCAGACTGGTTTTCCACTCCTGGCCTCAAGTGATCCCCACACCTTGGCCTCCCAAAGTGCTAGGATTAGAGATTTGAGCCACTGCACTGAGGCTTACATATATTTATTATTAAATGACAGATAAAATTGTATGTATTTGTATTTACAACATATTTTGAAGTATGTATGTATATATATGTATATATATGTGTGTATATGTATGTGTATATATATATATTTATACACACACACACACACACATATATATATACACAGTGGAATGACTAAATCCAGCTAATGAACATGCATGACCTCACAAAGCTGTATTTTTGTGAAGAGAATACATTCACACTCAGCATTTTTCAGGAGTACCATATATTAATAACTGTAGTCATTGCGTTGTACAATTGATCTCTTGAACTTGTTCCTCCTATCTAAATGAAATTTTGTATTCTTTTACCAACATTCTCCAACCCACCCTCCCCGACAACCCAAGGCCCTGGTAACTTCTATAACTTTCTACTCATATGAGATCAACTGTTTTAGGTTCCACATATGGGTGAGATCATGCCGTATTTGTCTTTCTGGGCCTGATTTATTTACCATAATGTCCTCCAGCTTCATTTATGTTGCTGCAAATGATAAGATTTTCTTCTTTTTTATGGCTGAATAGTTTTCCATTATATGTATTTACCACATTTTCTTTATGCATTCATCCACTGATGGACACTTAGGTTGATTCCATATCTTGGCTACTGTGAATGATGCTGCAGTAAACATGGGAGGGCAGACATCTCTTCAACACACTAATTTCATTTCCTTTGGATATATACCCAGTAGTGGCATTGCTGGCTCATATAGTCATTCTATTTTTAATTTTTTAGGAAACCTCCATGCTGTTTTCCATAATGACTGTGCTAATTTACATTCCCACCAGCAGTGTGCAAGGTCTTCCTTCCCCCACAGCCTGGACAACATTTGTAATCTTTTGTCTTTTTTATGCTAGCCCTTCTAACAGGTGTAAACTGATGTCTCACTGCAGTTTTAATTTGCATTTTTCTGATGATATGTGATGTTGAGTATTTTTTTCATATAGCTGCTGGTCATTTGTATGTTTTAAGAAATGTCTGTTAAGATCTATTTGACCATTTTTAAATCAGTTGTTTGTTTTCTTGCTATTGAGTTGTTTGATTTTCTTAGATATTTTGGATATAAACCCTTATCAGATGCATAGTTTACAAATATTTTCTCCTTTTCTGTAGGTTGTTTCTTCACTCTGTTGATTGTTTCCTTGGCTGTGCAGAAGCTTTTTAGCTTGATATATCCCAATTGTCTATTTTTGCTTTTGTTGCCTTTACTTTTGAGGTCACATCCAAAAAGCTGTCACTCAGACCAATGTCATGAAAGTTTTCCCCTATGTTTTCTTCTAATAGTTACATAATTTCAGGTCTTACATTTAAATGTTTCATCCATTTGAGTCTATTTTTCCATATGATATGAGATAATAATCTAATTTTATTCTTCTGCATGTGGATATTCAATTTTCCCAACCCCATTTATTGAAAAGAGTGTTCTTTCCCCCTTGTGTGTTCTTGGTGCCTTTGTCAAAAATCAGTTGCCTGTAAATACATGGATTTATTTTTGGGCTCTCTATCCTGTTTCATTGGTCTCTGTGCCTGTTCTTGTGCCAATACCCTGCTCTTTTCATTACTATCTCTTTGTAGTGTAATTTTGAAGTCAGGTAGTGTGATGTTTCCAGCTTAGTTCTTTCTGTTCAAGATTGCTTTGGCTATTTGGGATCTTTCGTGGTTCTGTATGAATTTTAGGACTTTTTTTTGCTCTTTTAGAGAAGAAAGTCTTTGGTATTTTGAGAGGGATTGCACAGAATCTGTAGAATGCTTTGGGTAGTGCAGACATTTTAACAATATTAATTCTTCCAGTCCATAGAATATATTTTCATTTATTTATATCTTCTTCAATTTCTTTTATCAAGGTTTTATAGTTTTCAGTGTAGAGATCTTCAACCTCTTTTGTTCAACTATTCATAACTTTTCTTGTAGCTATCATAAATGGGATTGTTTTCTTGTTTTTTTTTTTTCAGGCAGTTTGCTGTTGGTGTGTAGAAATGTTGTATGTTGATTTCATATACTGCAACTTTACTGAATTCATTTATTGGTTTTAACTTTTTAATGGTGTCCTTAAAATTTTCTATATATAAGATCATGTCATCTGCAAGTGGGGCAATTTAAGTTCTTCCTTTCTAATTTGGATGCCTTTTATTTCTTTGTTTTACTTAATTGCTCTGGCCAGGACCTCCAGTACTAAGTTGAACAGAACTGGCAAGAGTGGGCCGGGCATGGTGGCTCACACCTGTCATCCCAGTACTTTGGGAGGCCAAGGCGGATGGATCATGAGGTCAGGAGATCGAGACAATCCTGGTTAACGCAGTGAAACCCCGTCTCTACTGAAAATACAAAAAATTAGCCGGACGTGGTGGCGGACGCCTGTAGTCCCAGCTACTTGGGAGGCTGAGGCAGGAGAATGGCATGAACCCAGGAGGCAGAGCTTGCAGGAAGCCGAGATCGCGCCACTGCACTCCAGCCTGGGCGACAGAGTGAGACCCTGTCTCAAACAAACAAACAAACAAACAAACAAACAAAAAAACTGGCAAGAGTGGGTATCTTTGTCTTATACTGGATCTCAGAGGAAATGCTTTCAACTTTTCCTAACTGAGTATAGTATTAGCTATGGATTTGTCATAAATGGCCTTTGTTTTTTTGAGGTACATTTCATCTATACCTAATTTGTTGAGAGTTTTTATCATAAAAGGGTGCTGAATTTTATCAAATGCCTTTCCTGCATCTATTGAAATGATCATACGGTTTTAGTCCTTCATCCTGTTAATGTGATGTATCACATTTGTTGACTTACATATGTTGAACCCTTCTTGAATCCCTGGGATGAATCCCACTTGTTCATTACATTTTTATTACTTAAATGACTCTGGATCCGTTTTTTTTTTTTTTATTGCTAATAAAGCTGTTTCTCTGTTCATTTGTCAGAGGCTTTAACTGCTCCCTTACCAATTACAAAAGCTGACAATATTGCTCAAGAGAGTAGGTATAGTACCTGTTTACCCACAGGATCTTCTACAATAACCAACAACCAACAATCTATTACTGTGAGGCAGTTCTCTGCATGTTAGTTAAAGAGATGAGCTATACAAAGCCACAAGACTTAGGTTCAAATTTTGTCCCCATCAGTGCCTTACGTTTGTCACAAAATCTCTTTAGGCCTCAATTTGCCCATCTACAAAATGGGAATGATAATACTAATAACACATATTGCAAAAGTGTGCTGTGTGGATCAAATGAGATAATGTATGTAAAGGACTTATATGGTGCCTGGTACATAGTAAATGTTTCATACATGCTGTGATTAGTAGTACTTCAAACTATAGCATCATAAAGCTTTTCCTAACTCTCATCATAAATGGAGTCAGATTTCTTCATTTGGAGTTAGCAAAAGGGAAAAACTACTCCTTTGTTTTGCAAAATGTCTAATTGAAAGGCAACGTCCATGATATCAAGACAAAGGAAGCCAAGGAACTCTGTATAACAAAGTAAAACTTTCTTCTCTAGCATATGAAGGTTTTTCTATGCAAAGTAATTTGGAATTTTCTTGGGACAGATCCCAGAAAGGTTTGGGGAAGTCCTGGATGCTGAGAAGAAGAAAGATGTAAGGAAGAATTCTATAGAGAGGGCAGGCTGGAGAAAAACTGTGAGAATCTTCAGGAGAGAGAAGGTTGTTTCTTCCAGACTCTCTTTATCAGGCAGATGGTTCTCAGAATAACGGCATCTAATCTAACTTTCTGTCGAGCCTGTGGTCTTAACCACTAGACTGCAGAGCCTCCCTCTGCTGGAAATCCAACTTCTTTTTTAGGCTTTCCCAGGTGGTCTCTCAGTTGAAATGAATCCTTACTTCATGTACACTGGTATTGCACTATTTGCATCTCATAAAATACTTAATTATTCAATCATTCTACAAATCTGTATTGCATAATCTCTGTACCAGGCTCTATGCTAGACATTCATTACAGAACATGAAAATATAAACATATTTATATACACGGCTGTCTTCCCAATATTTTTGCCAGTACCCAAAGGTAGAATTTACCTTTATACACCTTTGTATGGCACACATTGCATAGCAAGTCCTCAATAAATGTTTACTGAATTGAATGGAATCAATAATAGAGAAATATTAAAGAGAGAAATATTAAAATGAGTTTTGCTTGATAATTCCAACTGATAGAGATTCCACACAGAGAAAATGGAATAAACAAAATCATTTAGTAGAAAAATGCAAGGTATTCTCTGGGGACAATGAGATATTCATGTTTTCTGTAGCTGAGAGTGGTGGATGATGAGTTTGAAGCTATATTGTGAAGAGCCTTGAATGCTACATTGATAATTTCATACATAGTTTTTCAATCAATGGGGAGCTATTGAGGGTTCTTGAGCACTGTGAGAAATAATCAAGTCCATTACTTAGGAAGATTAATTTAGCCATGGTGTTTAAGTATCTTAGAGGAGAGGGACTAGTGAGAAGTAGCCCAGGTATAAAGCTAACGAATTTAGCTAAGCAACATTGTTAAAAATTTCAATGAGTTTGTTGCTAGAAAGAAATGGAAAGGCATATAAAGATATGAGTCTTTGTTAAAATACGGGTCTTAGCAGCAGAGTAGAGGTAGGAGGTACGAGAAAGCAAAGAAAAGGAGGAGTCAGACACAATTCTGGGAACCAGGCCTATGAGTGGGGAAGAAATGTGTTGTCACTAAAAACAAACAAACAAATAAAAAAAAAAAAAACAAAAGAGAAATAGTGACTACAAAAAGAGCTGTTGGCTTATTTAGAGCTGTGGCCTTGTTAACAGGAGAAGGGCTTCAGAGATGTTGAGTTTTTTTTTTTGATGGAGTTTCGCTCTTGTTGCCCAGGCTGGAGTGCAATGGTGCAATCTCAGCTCACCGCAACCTCCGCCTCCTGGGTTCAAGCGATTCTCCTGCCTCAGCCTCCTGAGTAGTTGAGACTACAGGCATGTGCCACCACGCCTGGCTAATTTTGTATTTTTTAGTAGAGATGGGATTTCTCCATGTTGGTCAGGCTGGTCTCGAACTCCCGACTTCAGGTGATCCACCCGCCTCGGCCTCCCAAAGTGCTGGGATTACAGGCGTGAGCCACTGTTCCCGGCTGAGATGTTGAGTTTGAGGGCCATTTCCATATTGCAGAAGTGGCACTGAGCAAACCGCTAGAAATGAAAATGGGTCTTGACTGAAAGAGCCAGAGGTGAAGAGTTGAGAGTTAAAGGAATAGAAACATTGCTGAAACTGTGATAATAAATGCGTAACCATGGAGAGAAGGCATGGAGAGAAAAGAAAGGGCTGAAAAAAGAACATCAGGGGATGTCTATATTTTTAGGGAGAAAGAAAACTGAAACAAAGAATAAGGCAGAAACAAAAAGAGAAAATTAGACATCTTAAGGTAATGCTACAGCAGTGAAAGCCAATAGATGGCAATGCATACTCAAGAGGGAAGATGGATTCAGCAGCACAAATGCTGAAGGATCTGTGCAGCAGGAGCACCGGGGACATGACGGGGTGTCGGGGGTGGAGACTGTGGTTTGATGAAAGGAAAACCAAACTCAAGAGATAAGAAAACCGACTTGGAAGAAAACAGTTACTTTTTCAAAAAGTTGGTTGCTAAAAAGAAGAGGAAAGACCAAGGAGTAACTTGAAGAGGTT
Source organism: Homo sapiens (assembly GCF_000001405.40). Taxonomy (NCBI): domain Eukaryota; kingdom Metazoa; phylum Chordata; class Mammalia; order Primates; family Hominidae; genus Homo; species Homo sapiens. The sequence continues at coordinate 47,321,606 of NC_000006.12, read as the reverse complement.
GCAGGGTAAAGTGTAAGGGATCTTATATTTGTTTACATGTTTGTTTATTTATTTATTTATTTGAGATGGAGTCTCCCTCTGTCACCCAGGCTGGAGTGCAGTGGCGCAATCTTGGCTTACTGCAACCTCTGCCGCCCGGGTTCAGGTGATTCTCCTGCCTCAGCCTCCTGAGTATCTTGGATACAAGGCGTGTGCCACCATGCCCAGCTAACTTTTTTGTATTTTTAGTAGAGATGGGATTTCACCGTGTTAGCCAGGATGGTCTGGTCTCCATTTCCTGGTCTTGTGATCCACCTGCCTCGGCCTCCCAAAGTGCTGGGATTACAGGCATGAGCCACCATTCCAGGCCTACTTAGACTTGTAAAGAAGGAAGTGGAGGGGAGCTTGCATTACAGAATCATGATCATCAAGATTATCTGATGAGAGTGAAAGGGCAAAGGAGGGTGGGCAGAGGAGTTGAGAAAAACAGAAAGAAGTTGGGGCAATCAACATGCACAATGCCATGAGAAGTCAAAGACAAAAGCTTGATTGTGGCTGGGTGCAGTGGTTCATGCCTGTAATCCCAGCACTTTGGGAGGCCGAGGTGGGTGGATCACTTGAGGTCAGGAGTTGGGGATTGGCCTGGCCAATATGGTGAAACCCCATCTCTACTAAAAATACAAAAATTAGCCAGGTGTGGTGGCGTGTGCCTGTAATCCCAGCTACTCTGGAGGCTGAAGCAGGAGAATTGCTTGAACCCAGGAGGCAGAGGTTGCAGTGAGCCGAGATTGTGCCATTGCACTCCAGCCTGGGTGACAGAGCGAGATTCCGTCCCAAAAAAAAAAAAAAAACTTGATTTTCACTGAGCAGTGAGGATCAAGTTCAGTTGAATAGCATGGAGTTCTGTTAGTGTAGACAAGACTTCTTTAACAAGCCTGATGGTTCACAGAGTAAGATCTGAGAAAATAAAGGCAGGGCTATGCCAAACTGGATGAACCTTTTAAGATAGGAATGGTAGGCCACAGGGAGAGGACTTGTAGCATGGCTCTGGGGCAAGTGACTTGATAATAGAAGGGATAACTAACAGGGAAAGCAGAGAGGTAGATAGATCAGAAACCATGATGAGAATACATGTCAGCCTCAGCAGGGCTGAAGGACAGAGAAAAGGGTACAGTGTTTGGTTAGATAGGAAACATCTTAGAGTGTCAAATGGCAAAGTCATGTCTTCCTTGTTTCTGCACCTTCACTTATTTTGCTTCATTGGCTCAGAAACCCAGCTGACTTCTTCCAATACAAAATTTCCCCATATTCAAGAATAACTATTCTGCGTTTCCTAAGTACACCAACCCTCAATAATCTTTTTAAAAAATCCTTCTATACATGTATAACTTGGGTCACATATCTCGGTACTAAATTATGTGTCTGTACTGTATGCTTTCATGTATGTTAATCTCATCAATCTGGTTTTGTTGAAAGCTTCTGGAAGGCAGAGACCTTGCCTGATATTCTGCTTGCAACTCTGCCTCTTAGCACAGCACTGGGCCAAAGCAAGCCCTCGGTAACTACTTGGTGATTGAGCAGATGAAAGGAGATCGGAGAGAGATAACAAGTAAAAAGGGTGGAGATGCCAATGACTTGATAACTCCTGAACTGGACAGACAACTCCTGAACAGAAGCTAATTAAATTCCATGATCCTTTTACACTTCAAAGCATCTGCTTGGACCTCACACTCACCAAATAATTCGTTCTTCAATCTACTCTTTTCCTACTTCAAACAGCTCACAATTCTCACAACCAAGAGAAATATACCACATGATCCAATTAGTATCCTAGCACTTCAGTGACAGAAAAGGATCATAAAAGATCATTTAGTCCACATTTATCATTTTTCACACTAGGAAGCTTAAAAATCCAAGCAGATACAGTGAAGTGCAGCGACTTGTCCAAAATCACACCGCTGGTTAATGCCAGAGCCAAGACCAGAAGTCAGATCTCCTGGCTATTATAACTTTTATGACATCACATTGCATCAATATCTGAGTAAGCAATTTTTCTATTCATCTTTACCCTAAATTCTAACGTGTCTGAAGAAATTTCAAACTTTCCAACCCAATGTTTCTTCTCTAATCAGAGTAGTTTATAAAAGACTGTCCCTTTCAAAAAGGGATTCCAGAAAGGAAGTTAATTTATCAAGTAAATACTAAGGGACAAGCCCTGTGCTAGAAATTTTATAGATTTTGTCTCATTTATTCCTCATATCTCCACTATGAGATAGTTTTTAACTGCATTACGAGTGAAGAGATGCAAAAAGATTAAGATACTTGCTTAAATTTACACAGTTAATAAGTAGTATAATGGAGATTTGATCCAATACCTGGTGGCTCCCCAAGCCCACTGCCTTTTGAGTAAACTGTTAAAATTTCTTTTAGCAAGAGCAGGGAATAGTGTAGAACAAGATCTATTTTCACACCAACTCTTGCAATGAGGGACAAATGATTTAAGGTTGTGAGAAAAGCTTATGGCAAAATGAAAACATTACACATGTGGGCTCCAAAGCAGATACGGAATGGGCAATTCCAGATGAGCTCTCTTTTCCACAGTGCTTTACCTTTTGCAGCTTCTTTCCTAAGAGAAGGGAAATAAATTGCCCCACTGTTCTTGGGAGTGGGACAGAGGTATCTTATCCTCAAGGGATTGGCCATCTTAGTTTTCAAATTATTTCTTTCTTATCATCCAAGAAAGAAGGAAGCTTCTGGAACTGTGCCTGCTTTGCAATTCTATCCCCATTTTATCTTATCCAAGAGTGCCATCTTTGTAGCATGTCACCATGGAGACTTGATCAAACTCATGCTCATGCACTTAATCTTGCAATCTGTTGCTGACTGGCTGATGTTCCTTGTTAGGCCAAAGAACAGCAGGTTCTTAAATGAATTCTTTTAAAGAACCAGAACTGCTGACATATGTTTAACCCAAGTCTGGTACATAGCACTTTAGTAATACACAATATTAAATCTGTTATTGTTTGGATAGCACAACTCAGGATGCTTGAATTAAGACCTGGAAAAAGAAAAGGCACATCGTGTGTGTTAACTCTTATGCTGCTTGTCAGATTTTCCAAGTTTATTTCATTCAACAAATATTTACTGAGCTAGGTAACTATCTCAAATCTCAACTATGGAGATATGAAGATAACTAAGACACGGACTTTGACCTCAAAGAGCTCAAAGTCTGGCTGGGGACACACAGAAATAAAGTAACTATAGTATAATATCATGTATGCTATAACAGAGACACATGGAACACACAAGAGGAACAACCAGTTCCAAATGGAGGTAGAGTAGGTGAAGAGAGATCATTAGGAATGGCTTCTCAGATGCGGTGCCATTTGAGTTTGATCTAAGGGTTGATTCATGGGAAGGGAAATGAAAACAACTCCCAACAAAGGCTTGGAAGCACAACAGGAAAAAAGTAGTTAAGGAACAGAATAATCAAATGGGATTAGTGTGTAGAATTTGGGGTAGGGATCCCTGGGGATTGGCAGGCAGTGGGGATGGAAAACTAAACTGGATATAGGAAGTAAAGGCTCTATGTGCCATATTGTAGCAATGCGGAGGGTTGAATCATAAGCAGTGATCAGAATATGGGTAGTTTTATTAGGACTTTGAGCTTCAAATTAAGAATAATGACGATTCTGCTGGATTTTTGGTGGGGGACGAACATGATCAGTTTTGTATTCTGAAAAGCTCATTTTCCTTAGCATATGAAGAAGAGATTTTTGCAGGACGAAGAGGTCCAGACAACACTAGAGGCAGGAAGAACAATCATGACGTTTGGGTACTCATCTAGAAAAAAGACCTAGAGCAGAAGGGATATTGTGAAGGGGCAGGGGACAAAACTGGTAGAGATAAAATTAAATTAGAATCGATTGAGATAAAATTATCAGGTCTTGGTGACACATGGAATGAGAGGGATGATGGATAATTAAGTCTTAGCCAATGAGAAGGCTTCCCAGAAGGCACATATGACAATTCAGCTTGACCAGAACTTCAGTCACATGGCCATGCATAGCACAATTGGAAGCTGGGAAATGTAGTCTTTTTTTCTGGGGAGCCATGTGATCAGTTGAAAATAGGTATACACTTATCAGCGGGATAAGGGCAATCTCTACCACCCATATCTGTATTATAGCTGCAGTATTTTAATCATCTTTTTACTTTCTCTCCTCTGGAGACTTTGAAGATGAGACTCTTCAAGGGGAGATATTGTTATCTACAGTAGCCAATAGTGCCGGGCACACAGTAGATACATAGATACTTAGTATGCATTGCAATGAAACAATCTTGCCATTGGTTTGATATATTTCTTTTTTTCTTTTCTTTTCTTTTCTTTTCTTTTCTTTTCTTTTCTTTTCTTTTCTTTTCTTTTTTCTTTTCTTTCCTTTTCCTTTTCTCCTCCCTCCCTCCCTCTCTCTCTCTCTCTCTCTTTCTTTCTTTCCTTCTTTCCTTTTTTTTTTGACAGAGTTTCACTCTTGTCACCAGGCCGGAGTGCAGTGGCGCAATCTCGGCTCACTGCAACCTCTGCCTCCCAGGTTCAAGCGATTCTCCTGCCTCAGCCTCCTGAGCAGCTGGGATTACAGCTGCTTGCCAGGATACCTGGATAATTTTTGTATTTTTAGTAGAGATGGGGTTTCACCATGTTGGCCAGGCTGCTCTCGAACTCCTGACCTTCCAAAGTGCTGGGATTACAGGAGTGAGCCACCATGCCCAGCCTTGCTTAGACATATTTCAAGTTCTTCCGTCTGAGTTTAGCTTCAGCTAATTTATGCACCTTTTCTATACTCACACCTTTTCCTGTTGGGACCAGGCCCCCAAAATCTGGTCATAAACTGGCCCCAAAACTGGCCATAAACAAAATCTCTGCAGCACTGTAACATATTCATAATGGCCCTAACGCCCAAGCTGGAAGGTTGTGGGTTTACAGGAATAAGGGCAAGGAACACCTGGCCCGCCCAGGGCGGAAAACCGCTTAAAGGCATTCTTAAGCCACAAACAATAGCATGAGCGATCTGTGCCTTAAGGACATGCTCCTGCTACAGTTAACTAGCCCAGCCTATTCCTTTAATTCGGCCCATCCCTTCATTTCCCATAAGGAATGCTTTTAGTTAATCGAATATCTATAGAAACAATGCTAATGACTGGCTTGCTGTTAATAAATATGTGGGTAAATCTCTGTTCGGGGCTCTCAGCTCTGAAGGCTGTGAGGCCCCTGATTTCCCACTTCACACCTCTATATTTCTGTGTGTGTGTCTTTAATTCCTCTAGTGCCGCTGGGTTAGGGTCTCCCCTACGGAGCTTGTCTTGGCAAGTGGCATCCATTGTGGGGGCTTGAATCCAGGTTGAAGGGTCGCTGGAATGATGGTTGGAATGGAAAACTGAAAATGGAGGATACCTGAGTACTCTTAAAGCAATCCCCATGGTGAGTAAGAAGGGGAGCTCAGAAGTGTCAGGGTAACAATGGGACAGGTGTGGGGTCTGGTTCGTTTCACCTTGGAACTTTTTCACACTGATGATGAGGAGGAACGAGAGTATAATGAAGTAACAGAAGAGGTTACAGACCAGGTCTATGTGCCAGCTAAAGCTAAAGCGGCAAAGGAGGGAGAGGTTCAACCCTACCTTTCTGCACCCCCTCCTTATTATTTTGAAGAAAAGACCCTCCAGATCTTTCTTTTCCAGAGGACACTGGGCAAAAAGTAGTTGCCCCAGTGACTGTTAGAGCAGCGCCTTGAGCCACCACTCTTAGTTCTATTCAGGCAGGAATTCAGCCTGACAAGAGGGTGATTTAGAGGCTTGGCAGTTCCCTGTTAGAATACACCCCCCAGATCAACAGGGAAATATTATAGCTACATTTGAGCCTTTTCCTTTTAAATTCGGGAAAGCACATTTAGTTGATTATATCAAGGCCTGTGATGGTATCGGAGGTAATCTGCATAAAGCTACTCTGCTAGCACAGGCAATGGCAGGACTGAGAGTGGATAAAGGAAATACTCTATTTCCTGGACCTTGTTTTAACTGTGGGAAGCATGGTCATACTAAAAAAGAATGTAGAAAAAATCAGTGAGTCAGGCTGCCAGATATGGGAAAAAAGAAAACTGCTGATCCTGAAATATGTCCAAATTGTAAAAAAGGAAAACACTGGGTTAATCATTGTCACTCTAAGTTTGATAAAGATGGGAACGCGATTTCGGGAAACACCATGAGGGGCCCATCCCGGGCCCAGGTCTAAACCGGGGCATTTCCAGCTCAGGCCATTCCTTCACCCCCGTACAATGTCTGTCGCCTGCCACAGCCAGTAGTGCCATGGTAGATTTATGCTGCACAAAAGCTGTGAGCCTTCTGCCTGGGGAACCCCCGCAAAAGGTCCCAACAGGAGTCTGTGGACCCTTGCCAGCAGGGACGATAGGATTACTTTTAGGAAGGTCTAGTGTAGGTTTAAAAGGGGTACAAATACATACAGGAGTCATTGATTCAGATTACAATGGGGAAATTCAAATTGTTATATCTACTTCTGTTTCCTGGAAAGCAGAGCCAGGAGAGCGCATAGTGCAGCTCCTGATTGTGCCATATGTGGGAATGGGAAAAAGTGAAATTAAATGAACAGGAGGATTTGGAAGCACAAATAAACAAGGCAAAGCAGCTTATTGGGTAAATCAAATTACTGATAGACGTCCTACCTGTGAAATAACTATTCAGGGAAAGAAATTTAAAGGCTTGGTAGATACAGGAGCAGACATGTCAATCATTTCTCTACAGCACTGGCCGTCCACGTGGCCAATTCAACCCACTCAATTTAACATGGTTGGGGTTGGTAAAGCCCCTGAAGTATATCAAAGTAGTTATATTTTGCATTGTGAAGGGCCCGATGGACAACCTGGGACTATTCAACCAATTATAACTTTCTGTACCTATAAATTTATGGGGAAGAGATTTATTACAACAATGGGGAGCACAAATTCTAATTCCAGAACAATTATATAGCCCTCAAAGTCAACATATGATTCATGAAATGGGGTATGTACCCGGAACAGGACTAGAAAAAAAAATTTGCAAGGTTTAAAAAGTTCCCGCCAAAGATTAGGATATCATTTTTGATGGCAGCCATTGTTAAGCCTCCAGAACCTATACCTTTAGAATGGTTAACAGATAAGCCAATTTGGATAGAACAATGGCCGCTAAGTAAAGAGAAACTGGAGGCTTTGGAGAAATTAGTTACTGAACAATTAGAAAATGGGCACATAGCTCCAGCATTTTCTCCTTGGAATTCTCCAGTTTTCGTAATTAAGAAAAAATCAGGTAAATGGAGAATGTTAACTGACTTCAGAGCTATCAATTCAGTTATATAACCTATGGGAGCATTACAGCCAGGATTGCCTTCTCCTGCTATAATTCCAAAAAATTGGGCTTTAATAGTCATAGATTTAAAAGATTGTTTCTTTACTATCCCTTTAGCTGAGCAAGACTGTGAACAGTTTGCATTTACAATTCCTGCAGTAAACAACATGCAGCCTGTTTTCATTGTTTTACAGATGGGTCTAGTAATGGTAAATCTTCTTATTCTGGATCAAAAGGTAAAGTTTTTCAGATGCCCTATACTTCAGTTCAAAAAGCAGAGCTTGTAGCTATAATTGAGGTATTGACTGCTTTTGATATGCCTATTAATGTGATTTCTGATTCTGTTCCTATAATTGGGGCAGAATCAGGTTTACAAAAAAATTGGGGCAGAATCAGGTTTACAAAAAAAATTGGGGCAGAATAGGTTTACAAAAACCTATTTGTAAACAGGATTGGACCCAGTTAGAAAAAATGAACGTACTTGTTTAGGAAGATTGCATTGCAGAACAGGCAGAGGTGCTGCACAACGATTCCTATGGAATCATTATTAATTCGTCCCCTAAGGGGACGTTTAGCTTGAATTGCACCTCTCAGTCTGCATGCCACGGCCACACTATGTTCAGATGATCTGAACAAAACGGTCAGATGGTAGAAATGATAAGAACTACGGCAAAAGTTCCCATTACCTGGAACCATGGTGGTATAGCAGCACCTCAGCCTCAAATGATATAGCCCGCTCTAGGAGCTTAACATAAGGAATTAAAATTAAAAGAACAAATGTTTAAAGCATCGCAGGCACACCTGACCTTAATGCCAGGAACTGGAGTGCTTGAAGGAGTTACAGACAAATTAGCAGCTAGTAACCCATTACAATGGATAAAAACACTTGGAAGCTCTGTGATTTCAATGACGTTTGTGCTTTTAATCTGTGTTGTTTGTCTTTGTATAGTCTGCAGATGTGGAACCTGACTCCTGCGAGAAGTAGCTCACCATGACAAAGCTGCCTTTGCTTTTATCGATTTGCAAATCAGAGAAGGGGGACATGTTGGGAGCAGGCCCCCCAAAATCTGGCCATATACTGGCCTCAGAACTGGCCATAAACAAAATCTCTTTTGCACTGTAACATGTTCATAATGGCCCTAACGCCCAAGCTGGAAGGTTGCAGGTTTACAGGAATGAGGGCAAGGAACACCTGGCCCACCCAGGGCGGAAAACCACTTAAAGGCATTCTTAAGCCACCAACAATAGCTTGAGCGGTCTGTGCCTTAAGGACATGCTCCTGCTGCAGTTAACTAGCCCATCCTATTCCTTTAATTCAGCCCACCCTTCGTTTCCCATAAGGGATGCTTTTAGTTAATCGAATATCTATAGAAACAATGCTAATGACTGGTTTGCTGTTAATAAATATGTGGGTAAATCCCTGTTCGGGGCTCTCAGCTCTGAAAGCTGTGAGACCCCTGATTTCCCACTTCACACCTCTATATTTCTGTGTGTGTGTCTTTAATTCCTCTAGCGCCACTGGGTTAGGGTCTCCCCAACGGAGCTGGCATTTTCCTGCCAACTTTCTGTCATTCCCTCATAGATCGGCTCAGGATGTTTGTCATGCAGCAGTCATTTCTCAAAATGTGGACAATTGTTATTTTCATTATAAAGAACATGAAATTTTACTAGACCTTCTGAAAGTGTGCAGGATAAGTTAAAAAAATAATTAAGACAAGATGGTAAATCTGGTGATTTCTTTTTTTTTTTTTTTTTTTTTTTTTGAGACGGAGTCTCGCTCTGTCGCCCAGGTCGGACTGCGGACTGCAGTGGCGCAATCTCTGGTGATTTCTTCAGTATCCAGATGTATATATCAGATTTTTAACAAGAAAGATAAAATAGAAAAAAATGAAAGGTTAGGAAAGCATTAATTGGAATGTACTAAGGACGAGGAAAGAATTAGCAATGATTTTTGAGGTTGGAAAACTAGAAAAATTGTACAACATTGGCAGAAAGAGAGAAAGTCCAAAGGTAGGATGGAGGGTGGAGATAGAGTAATTTTTATGGCAAAGATGACATTGGATTAACTCATTTAGGCCTTCCTTTAAAATTTAGCTATAATTATGATTTATCAACACATATCTCCTCTTTCCTTGGAACTTTGGGAGAAACTTCCTTATGTATCATTGAATTTTTATCCTTTCCCAGAAAACAGACATGTCTAAGTTACCACATTGAAAATGTGGCAATGAATTATTTAATGGTTGCAGCATTGTTACTTCAAAATGGAAGGCATGTATACATTTCAATTCAAAGTAATAAAATTTCACACTGCATCTAGATTCAAATTATCTATAATCTATCACTCTATAGAGGGACATGTATTTAAATGTTAGTAGTAAACAGAATTGAGTAAATTTTTTCATCTCTCAAAATGTATATTAAATTTCAACTTGATATGATCAATGGAACACCAGGAATTCATGAAGTTTCAAAGTGGTCCAAGCACAAATAAACAATTTTCTTTTAGTTTTAGGAAGACAAATAGTTGAGAAGAACTTCTTATACCTGCATAGTAACCCAGACACTAAACTCTAAAGTTGCCCAACTCTTTAGAGCAAATCAATCATATATTACCACGAAAAATGTGAGTTTGGATGCAAGGAGTAAAATGGACTAAATAAAAACGTATTTGAAGCTCCTCCTCCTCTTTAATACCTATGTAACTTCTTAAAAAAAAACAACCCAACCTTATAATAGTATTGGCCAGTCATTTGAATTTTTGAAGAAAAAATTGATACAGTTATGCATGAAAACACAGCATCTATCCCTCACTCTTTCAACTTCTGAAAATAGCTAGAGAGTGGCAAGTCCAACCATCATCCTTTCCCCAAAACTCCATAATTAATGGTAATATTTTCTAGAACTCCTTTGAATTTCACTAGAGGTTATATATTGTAGCTTTTTTCCCACTCTAACATTTATAGACAATACTGACAAATGTTTGAAATAATAGATTGGAATTAACCCTCATATTAATTTTAGCTTCTACCAAAGTGTGCATAGAGCAAAGAATCAAAGGACAACATGTTAACTAATAAAGCAAATAATTGGTACCTATGACTTAGCAAGTTACCTTTATTAGCACTGGGTGTTGGATCTTGAAACTGATAGTTTAAAAAGTGTGATTCTTTTGAAATGGGACCAAAGGAGCCTAGGATAAGCCCAGCACCATAGGGCTCCCAATTGAGGGGTGTGGACTGGATGGCTGAAGAGGTAATATCAATACAGTGTGCCATGTGCTGTCAGTACCTAGATGATGGATAACACGATACCAGAAATGGTGGCCACAGTCAGGAGACTCGGCCTTCCCCCAGGTGAAACAAAGAAAAGGATAACAGCTGCTCTCTTACATTCAGAAGTGTGTGAGATACCAACATCCACGAGAATATTCCAGTTCTCCTTCTGAAGCAGAATACTACCTATTCTACCACCCACATCCTGACAAGGCCTTTGGAAATCAACTCAAAAATTTTTAGCATTATTTTTTGGGGGAAGGGTGATTAAAAAAAATCTCAGGGATAATCCGATTCAAAACTCTTGATTTTTAAATTAGGAAAATGCATCTTTTGATACATTTCAAGGAGTTCAAAAGTCCCTCCAAGACCATCCATGGACCCAACACCAATGACTCTGGGTTTTAAATCCTTTTAGTTTGGATTTCCTTAATTGCATTCATAAGCCCATATTAAAATTAAAATATAAAAAATTAAAATCTTTGCCCCATATTAAAATCACCCTGAAAACTTAAAAAACAAACAAACAACAACAACAACAAACCTCAATGCCCAGACCAGATCCTGTCCTGTTCCAATTAAATCAGAGTCTCTAGAGGTGGGACCCAAGAATCAATATATATGTTTTGAACTCTCCAGGTGATTCCACAGGGCAGCAAAGTTTGAGAAGCAACACACAGGTCTCCTTTTTCGTCACGCAGTTGATCTAAGTGCTCTGTGGTCTATTCACCATCGCTCTCTGATTTAATCATCGTGTCCGAAACAATGGAAAGGCGTATGTAGCTGAAATAATTTAGTTGGAATTATCTCGGAAAAAATAAGTAAAGTTAGATCAGGAGTGAGATGCTTTCTCAGCGCTTTCCCTGGGTCAACAGGCGCGTGCAATTTCCTCAGCGAACGCCAAGGGGCACCCTCTCCCTCCCCGCTCTACCTGGAACGCCTTCGCCTTTCCAACCGCACAAAGAGCCCGGCCTCCTCCCGGGTGACATCACAAAGGGCCGGTCCCCCGCCCCTTCGGCGCCACCACGTGTGTCCCTGCGCCCGGTGGCCACCGACTCAGTCCCTCGCCGACCAGTCTGGGCAGCGGAGGAGGGTGGTTGGCAGTGGCTGGAAGCTTCGCTATGGGAAGTCGTTCCTTTGCTCTCTCGCGCCCAGTCCTCCTCCCTGGTTCTCCTCAGCCGCTGTCGGAGGAGAGCACCCGGAGACGCGGGCTGCAGTCGCGGCGGCTTCTCCCCGCCTGGGCGGCCGCGCCGCTGGGCAGGTGCTGAGCGCCCCTAGAGCCTCCCTTGCCGCCTCCCTCCTCTGCCCGGCCGCAGCAGTGCACATGGGGTGTTGGAGGTAGATGGGCTCCCGGCCCGGGAGGCGGCGGTGGATGCGGCGCTGGGCAGAAGCAGCCGCCGATTCCAGCTGCCCCGCGCGCCCCGGGCGCCCCTGCGAGTCCCCGGTTCAGCCATGGGGACCTCTCCGAGCAGCAGCACCGCCCTCGCCTCCTGCAGCCGCATCGCCCGCCGAGCCACAGCCACGATGATCGCGGGCTCCCTTCTCCTGGTGAGCGCTTGCGTGGACCGGGGGTGGCGGCGGCGCCGGAGCAGAAGGAACCGCTCTCCGGGAGCCGGGCGGGTCACCGGGCCGGGGCTTAGGGAGGCGCGGGGCCCGGCCGACTGGGTTACGGGCACTGAGGGGTTTCCAAGGGAAGGCAACACACCAGAGGGCCTCGACTAGGTTATTTGGGGGAATCTCAGGGCTCAGCCGGGGCTGGGGAATGAAGACGAATTGTTTTCCTTGCAGTCTGGCTTTGCTGGAGGAGACGCTAGAGGTAGCCGCCCAGCTTCTGCGCATTTGAGGGCTTTTCCCCCTACTCGGCCTACCTCGCGCTCCCCACGCCCGCAGCCACAGCCCCCCACCCATCGGCCACTGCCCCTCTGCGTGGTGTGGGGCCTCGCCGCGGTGTGGGGCTCCCACGGCCGGCCGAGGCCGGCGCTTTGTTGCAGCTGCAATGTCATGTCGGGATGCTACCGCAGTGGAAGACAGTGGTACCGGTGCGCGCCGGACACCGGAGACCTCCGGGTGCTGTCGCGCGGTGCATTCCCGAGCAGGGCGCAAGCCGCCCCCTCCTCAATCCCTTTACCCTCTCTCTTCCCTCTTGGCTCGGGTGGGGTCTCAGGTTCTGTATGCCGAAATATCACCCTTAGACCCACTCTCCGGCGCCTCCAAAGCGCCGGCTTCCAGCCAGCCAGCGCGCCGGCACTGGAATGGGGGGAGGGGGAAGGAGATGTGTGTGAAGGAAGATGAATTTTCTACAGTCTTTCCGATCCCTCGTTTACCTGTGGCTAGGCAGGTGACCCTGCAGGGTGGTGCAGTCTCCCTCATCGTCTAAGCTGCATCCACATCTCGGGTCAATCATCTTGACCAAAAACTTACCCTCAACTTCCCCCAAATTCCCTCCCTTTATTTCCAAATATTGGGGTGAAGGGGCAAGTTAGGTGGAAGAAAATTTGAGATCAAACCCTTGAGCTTCCCTTGCCTATCTTTTATCACTGCAGGAGGGATGGAAATTCTTAGCTAAAAACCGAACAAAAAAACCCCCAAGAAACAAGAGCTTGTTTTCACGACAGGGCTGTGTAAGGGAAAAGCAGGCTTGCTGTCTCCTTCCCCAAAAGGGCTTAACGCCTGGCCAGCCAAGAACTGCTTAGATCTCAGGACATTGCAGTTGCTATGGCCTGGGAATTCATCCTACAGACACTCTGGTTCCTTGTGTGTGTGTTTTAAGAGGAAGAGAGAGACTAAATAAAAGTTTGTTACTGTTAGCATTTATAATGAGGCAAGTCCCAGTCTCCCTTCAGAAACTCTTTTCTGCCCACTTATTAATGGCATGGCCAAGGTTTATATCTTTGAAACAAGTGAAACAAGTGTGGTGGATGGTAAGCAGTAGTCGGGGAGTCTCTTGGGACAATGAACCTGGATTGACAGTCTTGGTGTGGAGAGAAACACATCTAGGTCCATGGGAACACTGATCCTAGTTCAGTGGAGTGAGAACTATCATCATTTCCTTTTTCACAGCTTTAGATCCACTACTATCCACTACTATGTTTCAGGTGCTTCTAACACATCTGATTATTATATGCCTCACAGAGTCCATTCCCAGATTAAATCTTAAGTCATTGTGCAATACTCCATTTATTTTACCTTTTAGCATGAGGTAGGTAATTAAACAAAGGTCTTGATGTAATCAAATGGTAGGTTGCCTTAACTAACTGAGAAAGGGCCCAGCTCCTTTTCTTGAATCATCAGGCTAGGCACCCTGGCTTATGCCTGTAATCCCAGCGTTTTGGGCGGCCAGGGTGGGAGGATTGCTTGAGTCCAGGAGTTCGAGATTTGCCTGGGCAACATAGTGAGACCCCATCTCTACAAGAAATTAGGTGGGTGTGGCGGTGGTGTGCGCCTGTATGCCCAGCAACTCAGGAGGCTGAGGTGGGAGGATGGCTTGAGCCCAGGATGTTGAGGCTGCAGTGAGCTGTGACCATGCCACGGCACTCCAGCTTGAGTGACAGAGTGAGACCCTGTCTCCAAAACCAAAATAAAAAATAAGTCATCAAACTCAACCTACCCTAAAAATTGTGCACTGGATTTGCAACTAAAGACCTGACAATTTAAGTTTGGCTACTTTGAAAAAGATAAAATTTATAATGGGGCTTAGGAGCAGTCTCAAGTTGATAACCAATACAGGATTCCTTATTCTTCTGCTAGCTATGCTAAAAAGACTTCAGGTAAATTCATGAAATGGCATGAGGTTCAGCCCTTCATCCTGAAGGGTGACTGGAGGGTGTGCCAGGAATCAGTAGAGACTATGTTATAATCCCCATCCAGGGTGGGGAGGAAATGCCTTTTGTCTTTCACATTCTTATTCTGCATGCCCAAGTCCACAGCACAGGCTTTGTTAATGTATAAAATGATGATCTCATGATACTGTTCCAAGAAGTATTTATCCCATTGGGATCCTTGGCCATGTGAACATAACGGACATCAGGTACTGGAGCCTGGGTACACGTGGCAGGGTACTCAGAACACTACTGGGGGAGGTGGGCAAGTTAGTGGCCTGCCCACGTATTACAGTTAGATTAAAAAGTAATAATCCCAGTAAAATGTTCTATTTATTATGTCTTTTAATGCTCTTCTTTCAAATATCTCCCTTTTTGTGTGATAATATTTATTGTCATCATTTTTGTGTTATGACTTTTTGTTTGTCATGACCGGCTAACTGCATGAAAAATAGCTTACTATAAGCTTATAAAAATACAAATATATAGGTACACAATATGATATAATATATACACATGTATATAGCAATTGTATATGTATAGAGAGAGCAATTGCTACATGCCAGGTGCTTTGTATACAGTATCTCATTTATTCATAGCATCTTTGTGAAGCAGGTGATATTGTCTCCTTTTTATAGTTGAGAAAATGGAAGCTCCCAGAACTTCATTGGTTTGTCCCAGGCCACACAGCTTGCACGTGATATTGCTGGGGCCAGAACCCAGGACTGCCTGGCTCTTCAGCTCATGTCCTCCCTTAGCCCTGTGCCACACTGCGTGTTTCACAAGTCCAAATTGCTTGATAATGAAATGTAACAACAGAGAAGGCTCACTGGGGAAAAGTTAAGAAGGTGGTTTGGTTTGTTACAGAACGTGAATGAGAATTACAGGAATGCCTTTGGAAGGAAGTATTCTTGCTGCTTGCACTTCTATTTCTGATGAGTGTCTGCATGATAATAGAAAGTAAAACATACACTGAAAGACAAGAGCTGGGTTCAAAAGTCTGGGGCTCAGGTGGACAAAACATTCTTGTTGCTCGACACCCAGTAAGTCTAGTGTGCATGATTGTGCTTTGTCTTCAGAATCTAAGCTTACCTTCCACCATCTTGACTTTACCAATTGTACTATTCTGCCTGAGACACTTACCCTTGCTATATCATATCTCTGTAAGGCAGAGACAAGATCCATGAGAGCTTTAGGTTTGTGCCAGTGATAAGGAATGCTCTAGAATGGCTTGCCCAGAGTGACACTACTTAGTCAGAGATGCCCCTTGCCCTCGGGGAGCTCGCTTTAACTGCATAGGTAGGATTTTGGCAGTGAGGCCCTCAGAAGAGAAGGGAGCCATAATTGGTAAAGATATGAGGTCTGAAGTTTTAGAAAACTCTTTTGCAAGCATTATGAATTCCAGATAGAGGGCTATTTGCTGTTATAGCCTGTCCAGCTGTGCGTTTGCCTAGAAAGTGCCAAGTAATAGTGTTTTTCTCTGTTACTGAAACTAGACATGTAGCTTAGTGCTACCTCCTGACCATCATTTATCAAAGTACATTACCTCGTACATTGGCAATTCACTTTGGCTGTTTGGGCAGGTGTGGAGTGGTCTGGTGGGGGCTGAAGTTCTGAATCATGTCAAGACTTGGTGGCAAATTCGAGCAGAACTTTAAATTAGAGCTGATATTATATCCAAAAGATTTTCTCTCTCCTATATATCTTAGCTCTACAATCCTAGAATGTGAAAGCTGGAAGGGAGCATAAAAAATACTGATTTAACACCCTGTATTTTTTGGTTGAGAGAAAAAAAAATACTCTACTGGGGAAGTGACTGCTTTTTCATGTTTACAAATGAAACTGCATCGAGCACCCTTTCTAAGTGAGGCACTATTCTGGGCAGTGGGAACCCAGGGATGAATTGGGATTTGGATCTTGCCATGAAGGTACAATTCGTATGGTATATAAAATGAGCATGGCCATCACCAGTGCTGGTTGGGTTTTACTCGCTCATGTGGAATCACTGGATGAATGTAGTATACTTACCTTAATACACAAAATATGATTGATGTTAAAATCTTTAAAATACCTGAAGTAACTTTGGCTCTTAGTCTGAGAATAAGAGAAAAAAAAGACTTTCAAATCTGAGAATGACATACGTTAGCCTCAGTAGAGAAAGCAACTTCTAATCAGAGGAATGGGGAGCGCAGAACCTGTGCTGGAATGCAGGAGTCCTGACCGACCCCATGAGTTATCATTACAGTCAAAATGTGTATAATGGAATTGAGCTCTGTCATCTGAACTGTTTCTGAAGGCATATGTTTGAATCTTCCCCAAGTCCAGTACAAAACAAACACACCTCTAGTGTAAATAAACTACACAAGTAAATCAAATCAGCAATAAAAAAAATTCCTCGTAAATGGGATTTAAGGACTACCTTAAGTTGGGAAGGGAAAAAAGGGAGGCTTGAAAAGGCATATATCCACCAAATTCCTGCATGACATATTTTAGTGTGGCTAAATGTAGACAAAGTCTATCAAGCAGGATATAGTAAGCACAGTTAATGCTGTATATTCTGGGGCAGTTTGAAGACAGTCCTTTTCTCCAGGTATGCTATTATTGGGTCAGAACAAATAGGTGGGAGCTTCTGGGCTGGCTCTGGCAGGTGGTCTTTGTCCTTTCTTCATTGTAGACCAGAATGTGGAGACATCACACTTTAACTTTGCAGGCAACTATATCCACGAAGATGAGAGGTGAAGCCTCTTTGGAGGCTGCATAGACAGTTTGCAAATTAATTTTGTGTTCAGCTGGTCCTTCATAAAGCATGTAAACTCTAATTGCCTTAAATAAACATCTTTTTTTTTTTTTTGGTTTTTTTTTGGTGACACGAAATGATCCGGTGCATTATCAGATCATTACTATTCAGGGGCTGGTATGAATTGAGTGACTTTTCCTTGTGCTTATTTTCCAGAAAGCACTAATATTCTGTTGGCTTTCTTTCCCCAAGCAGGCCTGGCAAATTCCGGTGATGCCAGGTCACCAGCAACTTCTTGGCAAACTCAGGTGCTTCTCTTCTGTGACAAGAAGAGCCCAGGTTATCTCAGAGCTTTGGGCATGTGTCCAGTGATCACTTGGAGCTGACTCAGTGTGGACCATTAGGCAAAGATATGTCTGTTTGACAGAATGACAATGGGAGCCATAATAGGAATCAATTTGGTTCCCAAAGTTGGATCCTCATTTAGCATTAGCAGAAGGCTGGGCCTTGTGGCTGTAGCAGCAACAGCTGCTGAGCTTTGATTATTTAGGATAGGGGCGAGATCATGAATAAATACTGGCCTTGCCCCAGTGTTTGTGTTTGTCAAATACCAAAAAATAAAATGGGAATCCTAAATTGGCTTGCATGCTGCCACCCAGCTTTCTTACCACCTTCATTTCTAGCCTGAATCCAAGAGGAGAGGAGCTTGGGTAGAGGTTATAACCCAGGAGGAACCTGGCAGATATCAGTGAGTACAGGCAGGACTGAGGGCTATACAGAGGTGGGGTTCACTGATACTTAGGCTGTTGACTCAAAGCAATAGTAAGCAATAGTGATCTCAGTGAGATCAGTGAGCAGTAGTGATCTCACTGTTCTTGAGAGGTGCTAAAGGCCACCAGAAGATTTTCTTGTCAGTATCCTGGCTTTGGAGATGACAGATGTGTGCAGTGGTGGGAAAGTTGCGCTCAGAGAGACCTCAGGCAGGTGTGGGACTGAGCAGGGTGTGGGTGGGGATCAGAACATTGCCCTGTGGCTTCATATTTAAAAATTATGCCTAAGACTTTGTGCTACACAAAAATAAAAACAAGAAAACTAAGGGGGGCACTTAGTAAGCTAAGTCATAGCAAGGCTCATTATCTAATCTTTATATACTTTTCTATTTGTTCGTCTCCTGTCAGTACTGCTGTGTGGCTCTGTTGCTTGGTGCCCTTGCAAATCTATCTGTTTTGGGAAAAGGAACATGAGCTTAATGGATTTAGGAGAGTGGAGAGGAGTGAGTCCATGAGTCCAGGAATCAAATGAGAGCAGCTGTGGATTCAATAGGGCTTCAGCTCTGAAAGCCCAGAGGGGAGGAATAAGCAAGTGGGTGTTAATATTAATCATTGATATTGCTATCACTGCCTCTTATTTATTGAGTACTTATCTTTGACATTGTGTTGAATACCTTCTGCAAATGATCTCAGTACATGTGACAAGTCTTTGAGGTAGTAGCATTAGCCCCATTTTACAGATAAGGGAATGGAGTTTGAGAAATCTTATGGTCATGCAGTTGGCAACTGCTGGAGAGAGGGTTTAAATCTAGGTCAGTGTGGCTTTGTGCACACTGCTTTTTCTGCAAGTTGTTGGTAGGAGAGAGGTCACCTTAATTTACCAGAATTTTGTTTTCTGTAAAGAGAATGACTTTACCCAAGAGTTGAACATTCTCTTTCCAGAAATTTAATGAGCAGTTCTGCTCCACGATGGTGCTTGGAAGTTTAGCTAAAACTGCTGGTTATAAACTGAGAGCAACCTGTGTGTGGATTGAAAGGGAAGGGTGTGCAGTCATTGGTAAGCATTTTCCTATGGTGTGACTCTGACGGGCAAGGGTGCCATCGCTAAGATGGAAAGATACTCCTGCAAATTGAAATGTTATAAATAGGGAATGGATCCTTTGCTTTCCTGCTACTTGGGTCATTTTGAAAAATATTTGTTTAGTGAATAACGGTGTGACATGGGTTCTGCTTAGCAATGTAGTTTCAACTCACTTATCCTGAGAACTTGAGGACCTTTTAGGGTTTTCTTTGCTGTCAGCCTAGTTATTTGTATAGGGTAAGTGCACGGGCTTGTACCATCTGTTGTTAGTATTTCCTTTTTTCACTTTTCATTTCAGGTCTCTTAGAAACTGGTTTAACTCCGTGATTTGAGGGGTGTCAGAGGTCATGTGTTTGTGTGTGGTTTATCATACTGACTGGTAGCACTCGCTTAAGTAAGCTTTTAAACATCGCTTCGTAGGTTGTAGAGACTGAGTAAACTAGGAAAAGGCAAAGGGTGAGAGGAAATTATTTAATCATTTGTCCTGGAAAACAGGTTGGAATTCTGGTCTCCCAAATAACCTTTGGGACAAGACCATTGTTTGATTTCATCCTATACACGGCCAGGTCAGCTTGCCCAGGATTAGGAGAGGTGGGGGTGTTGGGAAGGAAGAAAGAGATTCCAAGGCAAATGGTAACAGGTCCCCAGAATAATTTAGCTGGATATTTTTGTTAATCCGTTTTGCGATGCTATAAAGGAATACCCAAGACTGGGTCATTTATAAAGAAAAGAGGTTTATTTCACTCATGGTTCTGCAGGCTGTACAAGAAGCATGGATTTAGCATCTGTTTGGCTTCTAGTAAGGCCTCAGGAAGCTTTTAGTCATGGCAGAACGGAAGGGCGGCTGGTGTGTCACATGGTGAGAGAGGGAGCAAGAGAGAGGGAAGGAAGTGCTAGGCTCTTTAAGCAACCAGCTCTGGTAGGAATTAACAGAGAACTCAGTTATCACCAATGGGACAATGCCAAGCCGTTCATGACAGATCCACCTCATGACCCAAACACCTCCCGTAAGACTCCACCTCCAACATTGTGGATCACATGTCAGCATGAGATTTGGAGAGGACATACATCCTAACTATATCATGATTCAATCTTTGCTATTCTTTTATGTGTAGAAGTCCATGACTCCTCTCTCCTCTTGGGTTTAAACCTTGCAGACCTGGTCAAGGAAAAATAACAAAATAGACAAGGTTTGTGTGTGTTTCCTCATTTGAAAAGCTCAGGGCTAATATTGTTTTTCAGCTTCTCAAAGACAATATGCTCTTCATCATTGTGTTTCTGGCTCAATGTCCTGACACATAACAGTTAAGGAATAAATGATTAATGAGTTTCAGAAGGATCTTGATTTAAACTAACTGTTCATTCATTCTAGTCAAGTTAGAGGGTAGTTGGAGCTAGCATTACATCTCAGTACTTTGAACAACAACTGAAGGATAGATGAGTTATTAAGAAAGAACAATTTAAACTTATGTAAGTTGTCAGACTAGAAGAACCTAGTGGGTGTAGAATTCTCTTTATGTGTCATTTCAATTCAATTCCCTTTGTTTATAGTATTTATGTATAGTTAAAACTAATGTGTATGTACCTGCTTGTGTTCTGCTTTTCTTAGTGCAGCTATTTTCTGTTATCTTACAGAGATATATTTATATTTTATCCGTTTAATAAAATTTATGGGGCATCTATTAAATGTCAGGCATTGCTAGACTTTGGGTATATGATATGAAAAACTATTCATGGGCTTTCCTTCTTGGACGTCGTAAAAGGGGTGATGCTTAATGAGAACCAGCCTTTTAAAGAACAGAAGGAAGAGTATGCCAGGAGGAAGGAACAGTATGTGGGATGGCCCAGAGGGAGGAAACAGCCTACATGTTCAGAGAATAGAAAGATTACGGTGGTTGCTGCTCAGTGAATGGGGACAACGGATCGAGCTTGAAAAGGCAGGCAGGGGCCATATCATACAGGATCCTTTAAGGGATCAGGACATCACTCAGAGTGCAGTGGGAAGCAGGGTAATACTATGACTTGAATGCAATTAAAAAAAATAAAAACTCACTGGCAGCTCTGTGGAGAATGGATTAGAGAAGGGGAGCATAGAAGCTGGAGGCCAGTTAGCACATTTTACAGTAATTCAGGGCAGAGATGATGGTGCTAGAGCAGTGACAATGAAGATGGGGATTACTAGATAGAAATTTTGGAGAGATTTGCTGATGGCGAGATAGGAAGGAGCAGGTGATATTGAAAGCAGTGATCAAGGTTGATTCCTAGGTTCCCACATTGAGCAGTCTATGGTGGTCTGATTACTTTGAAAGGGAAGGCTTGGGGAGCAGTGGGTGAAACTGAGAGGCCTTAAGTTTGGATGCGTGTTGAGTAATTTTGAGGTGCCTGTGATTCACGTCAGTTCAAGCCTTTATGGCTGCCACTTTTTAATAGCTCTATCCCCTCCAGTCGGCACTGTGTTGAGCCATTCTATTGTTGTTGGATGCTTGGCTTGCTGTCTCTTTGGTCTTCCACTGCAAGCAGCACTAATGAAGTTGTCTCTGTATAAACCAATTGCTCTTTTTCCTTTTTGGTTGTTTCCCCAAGGTGTGTTCCTCAAAGTGGAATTGCTGGGTCAAAGGAAATAAATGAACAGTTTTATGGCTTTTGCTGCACATTGCCAGATTGTAGTCCAGAAGAACTGAATTTGCCAGACTGTAGTCCAGAAGAACTGAATTAATTTAGAATGCCACCAGCCACCTATAAATGTGCTTTCTAGCCCACAAGCCTGCCAATATTGGAGTTTATAATTTTAATTTATTTATGCTGCTTTAATATAGATATGTCAGGGTCCTTGGGTGCAAATTTGAATTTCAATAGCTCCTAGGGATATCAAACATTTATCCATAGGATGATCACCTTTGTAATTATGTACTCATGTAGCCCTCTGTCATAACTATTGAGAAGGAGTTATGTTAGCCACATTTGCATGAATTCTTTATATACATTTTTAGTTTTATTTTACATTCTACTTGTAATATTATTATATTTAATAACATAAAAGTTGAGATTTATGTTTTTATTTTTGAGACAGAGTCTCGCTCTGTCCCCCAGGCTGGTGTGTAGGTGGCGTGATCTCAGCTCACTGCAACCTCTTCCTCCCAGGTTCAAGCGATTTTCCTCCCTCAGCCTCCTGAGTAGCTGGGATTACAGCGTGCACCACCCTGCCTGGCTAATTTTTGTATTTTTAGTAGAGGCGGGGTTTCACCATGTTGGCCATGTTGGCTGGTCTCAAACTCCTGACCTCAAGTGATCCTCCTGCCTCGGCCTCCCAAAGTGTTGGGATTACAGGTGTGAGCCACTGCACCCAGCCGAGATTTATATTTTTAAACCTTTTTCTTTGTGTCTGAGAATATTTTGTGTCTGAAAATATTTTCATTTTGTTGGTGCTGTTCATTTTAACAGAAATTGATCTCTTTGCAATGAACTATTCTGATAACTTTGAATTTTCTATGTGATGTTTTAAATATTGGGTTTGTTGACTTTTCGGACTTTAGTGTCATATTTGTGGTAAGAACTACATTAGTATGTTCTGCAAGATAGTAATACTCATTGCATGAGTAAAGCGTTTTATGGTCAAATATGTTTGCGGAGTGCTAGGTTCAACTAAGTCACCATTTCTGGCAGCTGTCCTGCAGGGCCTGCTGGAGCCCTCAGTAGGTTAATATTGATTGTGCCTTTCTGAGAGAAGATTCTAATCAGGAGCACTTTCTAAACTTTTAGACCAGGGGCTGGTAAACTTTGTCTGTGAAAGGCCAGATAGTATATATCTTCAGCTTTATGGGTCATGTGGTTTCTGCTCTAACTACTTAATTCTGTGTTTGAATGGTGAGAGCAGCCCTAGGCAATACCTAAGAGGTTGGGTGTGGCTGTGTTCCAATAAAGCTTTATTTGTGGACACTACAATTTGATTGTCATATAATTGTTATATGTCACAAAATATGATTATTTGTTTGATTTTTTAAAAACTATTTAAAATGTAAAAACCATTCTTAGCTTGTGAGCAATACAGAAACAGGCAGGTGCTGGAGCTTACTCACTCTTTTTAAATTTTTATTTATTTATTTTAATTTGGGACAGGGTCTTGCTCTGTCACCCAGGCTGTAGTTCAGTCATGTGATCGCAGCTCACTGTAGCCTCAACCTCCTGGGCTCGAGTGATCCTCCTACCTCACTCAGCCTCCTGAGTAGCTGGAACACCACTATACCTGATTCCTTTTTTTTTTTTTTTTTTTTTTAATTTTTTGTAGTGACAGGGTCTGCCTATGTTGCCAGACTGGTCTCAAGCTCCTGGGCTCAAGCAATCCTCTCTCCTTGCCCTCCCATGCTCACTCTTTTAAGACCGTAGAATCATTAATATCTCATGGGACTAGATCAGGGAAACTCACTGTGGGAAATGCTTACTTAAATTCTGCCCTAGTTATCTAATGTACTTATTAATAGTAAATCCCTTCTGCTCTCTTGTGTTTTCTCATTTGCTATATACCAAGTTTTTATTTTAAATGTTTTGAAAATGCTAGTGGGCCCATGTTTCTCTTTTAACTCTTTACTGTGCAGTCTGTATTTTTTGTTTCTTTGTTTGCTCTAAGTCCGGGATGGTTTGTTTCAGGATTATAGCTTTTAAAAATCTGAAGTCTTTGATACACTTCTCAGGAATTGAATACTTGCATTTTAATTGGGGTGTTTTAAAAGATTGTCTTGGCCAGGTGCGGTGGCTTACATCTGTGATGCCAGCATTTTGGGAGGCCGAGGCAGGCGGATCACTTGAGGCCAGGAGTTCAAGACCAGCCTGGTCAATATGGTGAAGTCCCGTCTCTACTAAAAATATAAAAGTTAGCTGGATATGGTGGCACACGCCTGTAATCCCAGCTACTGGGGAGGCTGAGGCACTCGAATTGCATGAACCCAGGAGGGAGAAGTTGCAGTGAGCCCAGATCGTGCCACTGCAATCCAGCCTGGGTGACAGAGCGAGACTTCGTCTCAAAAAACTCAAAAAAAAAAAAAAAAAAAAAGTAAAAAGAGAAAGGATTTTCCATCACTCGTTAGAAAATTTGAAAAATAAAAGTAAAAAACTAAAAGATTGTTAAAATATAGTACATTGTTAAGTTGGCGGGAGTGATAATTAAGATAACATTTATGGAATGCTTACTATGTGTCAGACACGTTTTGCCTGCTTTATCTGTATTAACAATTAATTCTCAAAACAGTCTTTGAA
Source organism: Homo sapiens (assembly GCF_000001405.40). NCBI lineage: Eukaryota > Metazoa > Chordata > Mammalia > Primates > Hominidae > Homo > Homo sapiens. Next base: position 47,297,307 of record NC_000006.12, on the reverse strand, counting down.
GAGTAGGTATTGCTAATTAACTCCTTTATACTAATGAGGAGGCAGAGACACAGAAGTGAGCCATTTGCCAAGGCCACCCAGAATTAAGGATTAAAAAAAACCAACGTGTTTTTCTACTTGCACACAAGGCTCAACACAACACCTTTGACACCAAATTCTCCAGCAGACATCAACTGAGTGCCCTCTAGTTCAATTCAGTTCTGACCTATCTACCCGGAAGTAGTGTCGGATCCCACAGTTTAAAGACTCAGTCACAGGGGACTGCCCCCAATATCTGATGTCAAGCATAAGCCGCAGGTTATTTTGCCTGTGCTTCGGCCTGACCGACTGTAAATCAAGGTTCCCACAACCCCTTCCTCAGGTTTTATTAATCTGCAAGAGCGGCTCACAGAACTCAGGGAAACACTTTACTTACTCAGCCTCCTGAGTAGCTGGGACTACAGGCGTGTACCACCACACCCAGCCCCAGTTTCTTGATAAAAGATATAATAAAGGATACAAATGAACAGCCAGATGGAGGAAATGCATAGGGCAAGGTGTGTGGGAAGGGGCATGGAGCTTCCATGCCCATCCCCATCCTCCAGGAATCTCCAGGTGTTCAGCTGTCCAGAAGCTCTCCAAACCCCAGTCCTTTTGGGCTTTTATGGAGACTTCATTACTTAGACATGATTGATTATATCACTGGCCATTGGTGATCAGCTCAACGTTCAGCCCTTCTCCCCTTCCCTGAGGTTGGAGGTGGGGTTGAAAGTCCCAACCCTTCCATCATACCTTGGTCTTTCTTATGACCAGCCCCTATCCAGAAGCTACCTAGCAGCCCCCAGCCGACAATCATCTCATTAGCATACAAAAGACACTATTGTGGCTGGAGATTTTAAGGTTTTAGGAATTGTGCACCAGAAACCAGGGACAGAGACCAAATATATATATTTATTATATCACAGTATCACACCTAGCTAGCACCTGGTAGATCTGGGCTGCTCGGCACACTATAGACTAAAATATTAATAGGTTTTGTTTATGCGTGCTTTTATGCTGGAGTTGCTGCACTGGCCAGAGTCATTGGTTTTGCCTTGGTTCACATGCTTTTCTTTAAATCCTTAGTGAGCACAGAGTAACATTCCTTCTGCATCTTTCCTCCTGTCTTTCATGGAATGCCAATTCACTTACTGCTTAGTGACTAAATAAATGGGTAGCCTACTCTTGGCTTCTTCATGTATGCAGAAGTCTTAGAAATAGTTATTTCTAAGGACACGGAAGGAGATGAGGTTCTGTGGCCCCAGGACTGAGTGCTGCTGAGTGTACACGCTCCTGCATTGCAGGTTCCAGGGAAAACAGCACCTGAGTTAAGTCTCACATGGCTTTTCCTTTTTCCAGTGTCCCCTGAGCTTGCCTCCTTCCAGTCCTGCAGTCAGCACATTCTAGCCTTGGCATCCTCTATATTCACCAGCTTTAAAAATGGTCCCTGCTTTTGCCTTAGCAACAGAAGACTTTTTTTTTTTTAAATCAGAGAGGATAGTAGGAAATGCAAGAGTTGACCAACATAACTGGGAACAGTTCTGTCTGTGATTTGTGGAAGCTCTGTCCTTGAAGCTTTCCTCTTTGTGCATTCCTTTTTCCCTGCTTCAAATCTACAGAATTCTAAACAGCCAGTGTCTTGATATTACACATTTAATGTGATGCTCAAAATAAAATGATCAGAAATTCTGGAAGGTCCATCTCTGCCTGGGTTTTGCCTTTAGATCATCTGTTATCATGTTTTAGATTCACCATCTCAGGAATAACTTGGTTGCATTATCATCTCTACGGTAACGGGCTTCCTCTTCAAAATATTAGTTTTATGCAGCATTGAAAAATTCTACAACAAACTCATAGGCAGTCTCTCTGCCTGCCCTTTATGAATAGAAAAAAAGTTTATTTCCGCCTTGACTTTGCTCATTTTCCGCTAAAAATTAGAATTTGATAGGGAACAAGAATGACAAAAATACGTTGTTTGAAGGATGAGGTCATGGAGTAAGAATTGTTAAGGAATAAATAGGCATCAACATTCTGACATGTCTTTGCAAATCTGAGTGCTTCTTGTCCTTAGTCAGGCCCATCTCTGTGTCCGAGAATAGAAGTGACAACAAGAGAGGTGTGGTGTGGCTCACCAGGGTGAATGCTGAGACCCAGGGAGTTTTTACTGTTGGTTATTTAGAGCTACCTCCTCCCTCTTTTGAAATTTGTGTTGTTCTGGGTTTACCTTTTAATCATTCAGTAGGCATTTATAGTGCTTATAAATCCTGTACAGTTTGGGATATTTGCCACATTTATCCATTGTTGGTGAAATAAATGTCTTGGATAAATGAAATTTTCCACATAACTAAAGTTTAAACTAGGATGGTGCATAGATAAGTTCTGGAGGATAATCTTATTATGCTGCTTATAATTCTAATCACCAAGTTAGTATCATCTTTTTTTAAAGAAATAAGAGGGGAGGCTGGGCACAGTGGCTCATGCCTATAATTCCAGCACTTTTGAGGTCTGAGGTGGCAGGAATGCTTGAGGCCAGGAGTTTGAGATCAGCCTGGGCAACATAGTGAGAACCCCTGGCCCCCCTCAAAAAAAAAAGAAAGAAATGAGGAGGGAATTTTTTAACTCTTTGATACATTTGCTTGTCACCTTAAGCACCCTGCAGAGTGTAATTCTTGTAAGCCATTTGTAGTTCTGTTAAAACAGAGTGATGTCCTCAGGGTCTTTGGAGATGAAATGAAGTATCTGCCCTTGTACTGAAGGGTATAAGGCCAGACTGCTTTATCTCTTGAGTTATTGTGGCTACATTGTGGAGGCTTTGGGTTTTCTCCTGCTCGCTTTTAAACCTGTGCGCAGCCGGGCGCGTTGGCTCACGCCTGTAATCCCAGCACTTTGGAAGGCTGAGGCAGGCGGATCACGAGGTCAGGAGATGGAGACCATCCTGGCCAACATGGTGAAACCCTGTCTCTACTAAAATACAAAAAATTAGCCGGGCATGGTGGCGTGCCCCTGTAGTCCCAGCTACTCAGGAGGCTGAGGCAGGGGAATTGCTTGAACCCAGGAGGCGGAGGTTGCAGTGAGCTGAGATCATACCACTGCACCCCAGCCTGGCGACAGAGCAAGACTCCATCTCAAAACAAAACAAAACAAAACAAAAAACCTGTGCACTCATCTTTAGCAACCTCCTCTACCACCACTTCTAATATGTTGGTTCTAATTATTTATGGTCTGTAAGTCCATTCATTCATTTATTCAACTAACACTTGTCAGACATTACCATGAGTTGGGTCCTTGAGGGCATGGATAGCACCAGTAAGTGAAATAGACCTGATCCTTGTCCACATGGAGCTTGTGATCCACAGGGGAAGACATGCTAAACAGAAAAATGGGTAAATACAGTATTGTGGTAGCCATACTGGGGGAAAAAATGGGAATGAGGGGATCTTGTGAAACCTGTTTTTATTAGTGGAGAGGTGGTCAGGGATGGCATTCCAGAGAAAGTCCTATCTTTGTTAAAGACTTTGCCTTTCATCCTAAGTCATGTGGGAAGTGATTGAGAGTTTTAAGCAGAGGATGAAAGGATGAGATTTGGAGTGTGAGTTGGAGTGGGTGTCAAGAAAGGAAGCCAATATCTCAGTACTCGTTGCTAAACTTTCAGAGGTCTGACGATTCTTGTGAGTGAGCTTCTGCTCTCTGTATTTTTTGACATTTCTTTTGACTGCCCTGTGCAGGTGTTGACAGACTTTCTCTGTAAAAGGCTGGATAGTATATTATCCAGCATGTAGTATATATAGTGTATTCTATAAAGGGCTGGATAATATTTTAAGTTTGCAGGCCATAAGGTGTCTTTTGGAACTATCCAACTCTGCCGCTGTAGCATGAAAGCAGCCATAGTCAATACCTACATGAAGGGCTGAATTCCAATAAACGTGTTTATAAAAACAATTGGAATGTGGGATTTAGTTTGCTGACCCCTGGCTTGGAGAATGCTTTGCTTCTTATTCCCACGATCTTCATTATTGAGGTAGTTGTGCAAGGGAGGAAATGCAATCTATGTGGTCGTCCCTGGCCTTGAGCTGCTTATAATCATTATGGGAAGATAAGTATATACACTTAAGTGGCCATCAGCAAACATCACAAGACAATATGTAATTAGGCACCAATATGATGAACAGAAACAGGAAATATGATGAAGAGTTCACTCATCTACTTGGAATCTGGGTGTCTGGGAATAGTTTTAAAGGCTTTACAGGGAAGGTGGAGCTTGACAGAAATAATTGTAAACACTTAGAGGGTTAGAGGTGAACACAACCTAGTCCAACTTGCAAATTTTAGTGATGCAGTGTTAGAAGATGAACAAAAGCAAATCACAGAACGCTATGTATGGACAGTCCCCTTTGGATATGTAAGACAAAACAAAACAAAAATCAATGGGAACAGCCAATTTAAGGTGTGCATGCATATATGTATGTATTATGTGTGAATGCTCAGAAAAGGGTCTGGAAAGATGTGCACCAAAATTCACAGTGAGTCTCTCTGGGAATGAGTGGATTTGAGCAGAGACTTAAATGTTTTACTTTATAGTTCCTAATTGTTAGAATTATTACATGAATGTTTATTTTCATCATAAAAAATACTAATTAATACAGGGCAACATTAAAACAATTAAAAGTACCAGATTGGTTAAGAGGCTGAGAGAGTGGTGCAGAAGTGCGATTGGGCAGTCTCCAAAATGTGTCTCAGAATCAGAGAAGATTAGAGCCCTTAGTTCAGGGTGTCCAAAACTTGGATGGGCATCAGAATCACTTGGAAAGCTTAAAAATAAAATGAACCAAAGCTAAAACCAAATAAATTCCTGGCCCCACTGCAGACCCACAGTGATCCAGATGATGGGGCTGGGGTGTGATTTTTTTTTTTTAAAGCTTCCCAGGTAATTTTGATGCTGCCTTTGAGACCCGAGGCTTTGGTGAGCCTCCGATCTAGTTTATCCAACTCTGTACAAGTGAAGGAATTAAGGATCTTGACCAGGTAGGACTCGGCGTCAGATATTCTGGCTCCCACTCTCTTGCACTTTTCAATGACTGTGTCCCCTGATTCAGGTGTTTTCCTAGCATTAGCTTTGGGTGGCATCTCACCTTGTTGTTGTGTTATACAGAAACTATTCTTAAATGCCACTTTTGAATGGGGTCCACCTCACCCCCATTACTCATTGTTTCACTCCCAGATCATCACTGGGAATGATTTCTACAGTGTTTTAATTTTCTTAGAAATCAGAGGGCTGCCACCAGGCGAGTGGGAAAAGCCCTAGTTTTAGATCATGAGTTGACTAAAAGGCCCTAGGAAAATGGATTTTCTCAGGTGCCATCTGAGTCTCTGTAAAGAGAAAGGGATGTTGCCAACTCTTCCTCTCAGCAGGGTTTCACTCAGGCGAAAGAGGCCATGGAGCAGTCCCTCCAGCTTTGTAGCACAGATTGGGTTAACTGTTTACTTCAGAATTGGAAGAGGCCTTCGAAGTCCCTCTAGTTCAGTGATTTTCAGACTTGTTTTAGGAAAAATCCCTCCTGCAAATGAATTCTTACTTGGAAAGCCATTAGCAAATTGGTAAAGTGGAGATGCTTGGTTTAGGCAGAGATGGGGGGCTTGGAGCCTACCTCCCATCCCTCCCTGGTCCAAGGAGCATCCTGAGAGCTGTGTTCTGTCCAGTGCTCTCTTAAGTCCTATTTGAAAACCACTGATTTCTTCCTCTTTCCCCTTCTGTAAGTAATCATTCACCAAATTCAGCTGACCTGAGCCCTCAAATCTGTCACCGTCTCTCCATTTCCGCATCCGCCACCCTAGTCTGAGTCACCACCACCTTCCATGTTGGTTTTTCACCCTCTAACTGGGTTTTCTTGTCTACTCTCCCGCATACCCCTTTCACCCTCTGCTCTGAAGCAGACAGCTTTTTGATTCACAGGTGCAATTATATGCCTTCTCCCCCAACCTATCATGTAAACATTTAATGACTTCTCATTGCATTTTGAATTAAGATCAGCACATGGAGACTCTTCAGATGTAACTGTGGCCACTCTGTTGCATCTTGAGATAGAGCCACAAGCTTTTTAGTTCCTGTGCTGAGCTTCCTTCTGCTTCACACTTTTGATCTGGTGTTCCCTCTGCCTAACCCTCTTTCACTGCTTCTTGCCTGGAGTTAATTTCTGCCTCTCCATCCTTAAGAGTGGTGACAAAATGTTTCTCTAACTTCCCTGAGCTAGGAAGCACCTGTTCAATTCCCTCTCATAGGATTCTGTATTTCTCTTTCTCAGCAGTGATTTCAATTCTAATTGAGTAATTACTGGTGTATTCTTTTTTTGTTCATCCCAGCCTAGAATGTAAACTTCATAAGGGCTGGAATAGAGTTCTCAAGATTCTATCCTCAGCCCATGGCATGCTGTCTTGCACACACCTATTAGGTCTTCAATAATTATTTGTCCAGTGAATTCATAGTGTCTAGTTTTTGCTAAATCTCATTTCTAGTGTTCAGCCTGGGCCCGACTGTGGAGGGATCATTGTTTGTTGGCTCTGCTTGCGGGAGCTGGAATTGTCTCTTGTTGTATGAGGTAATTTAAAGGTCCTTTTTTAGAGACACATTGTCTAAAGTGGGTTACCCAGTATGAAACAGTTTAAACAGGGCCGAGTTTTGCTTTAATTAGAAACTTGATCTGTTATTCCAAATGAACAAAGAGCTCTAAAATCCACTTACAGTCTGAGAAAGAGTGTTGGGGCTGTGGGGTTTGGAGGTGGGTTTTATGTATAGCTAGGAAAACCTTTTTTGGTTTTACTTTAGATTTAGAAGTGCATATTTCGGGGGAAGTATAGAAAGCTGTAGGAAGCCTACCCCAACTCCACACCCAAATCCACACATACTTGCTATTCATGACCTCCTGTGCTCATTCTGCAGAGCCACCCTTGTGAGTGTGTGTGTGGGTGTGTCTGACTGCCCATCCTCCCACACAGGTAGGGAGGCTGACTTAGATCACACAGCACATCAGAGTGATATTCATCGCCGACCACCGCTCCCTGCCCAGATCTTGGGTTCAGTTCTCTTCTTTCTTAATTGAAGTGTAACAACCTGCCACTTGGGTTACTAATACAGCTTTCAAACTTTCAGAACACTGTAGCTGTCTAAAACTGCTTTTGCATGTAGACATGCCACGAAGTACAGAGCAGAGCCACTTTTGCAACCTCTTGGGTTGGGTGTTTAGTAGGGAGATAGGGTCTAATCCTGTCGTTGATACTCTTTTGTTTCTTTTTCTTTTTTTTGAGATGGAGTCTCACTCTGTCGCCCAGGGTGGAGTAAAGTGGCGCAATCTCGGCTCACTGCAACCTCCGCCTCCCAGGCTCAAGCAATTCTCCCACCTCTGCCTCCCAAGTAGCTGGGATTACAGGCATGCTCCACCACATCTGGCTAATTTTTGTATTTTTAGTAGAGACGGGATTTCACCATGTTGACCAAGCTGGTCTTGAACTCCTGACCTCAAATGACCTGCCCACCTTGGCCTTCCAAAGTTCTGGGATTACAGGCATGAGCCACCGTGCCCGGCTGGTATTCTTGACAAATGTAACTTGGGTTCCACAGGATGGGTCCTTTTATCCAGTGCATCCGCTGTGCTCAGAAAAAGGTGTCTGAGGCTTATTTTCAAATAGAAGGAACAAGAAAATGAAAGGTAAAGTCAGAAGGGATAAGGGAAGACATTACAGAATTTATCATCAAGCAGGAGGTTTTTTCCAGGTTCTAAGATGAGGTTAAGTTTCTTAACAAAAGAATCAACAACTGTCCTTTTTTTGTTGGGGGAGGGTCTCGACAGAAAAAATGAATATACCCTCATAAGCTGAAAATTTGTTTTCTGTATTGTTATTTAACTAGATAGGCAGCTCTGGGACAGGGGAAGGGACTTCAGGGAAATACTTTTGATTCAAATAGTTAAATTTTGGGGTAGGAGAGAATTGAACCTTGAATTAAGTGTCAAGGTGCTAAAAAGACAGAAACTCTGATCACTGTGAAAAAAATTCTTGATTTATTCTCTTAGTCACTGGTATAGCAGCCAATTTAGAAGGAATTTGCCCTGCTGAGTAGCTGGTAGTTTGAGGCAGCCATTATTTCCTTGACACATAAACTTTGTGCATTTCATAAAGGATAGTGAAAACTGTTGGAACTTTTCAATATTCATTAATGCAGAAAAACTTTCTCTTAATATTCTTATTCTCCCCCAGTCTCTTCTCAGAAGGACCTCAGGATTTAGTCCCATGAATATAATTTCCTTTCCCCTAAGTGCCTGTTGATTCCCTCTTGCTGGGTCTAGCTTTGTGCTTCCTCTCCTGGGTGGCTGCAGGCCCATGCTTTCGTAGCTATGGTCTTCAAAGGCTGAGCAAACAGGGTGTGAATCTGAAAGCATCAACTCTGTTGTTTAAAGCACATTACAAAAATGCCAAGGGCCCGCCTCTGTTTTGACAAATAAATAAAAGTTTAGCTTCATGTAGGCAAAGCGTCTGAAAAAATCAGGCCATGACTGTCAGGTAATGCCAAGCAGGCAATCTGGTGCATGGAACTGGCAGCTTGAATGCATGCCTTCCTGGTTCCCAGTTGCCTTGTCCTAGCATCATGAAATGGCAGCTTAACATTGGGGTTGGGGAAAGGAAGAGAACTATTCAGCAAGTTATTTTCTTTTTCTTTTTTTTTTTTATGTTTGTTTCTACCGCTTTATTTTTATTTATTTATTTACTTAGAGACACTAAAAAGGGTATACAGATTTTATGTGTACAGCTCAACGATCTGTGACAAAGCAAACACACTCCAGTAACCAGCATCCAGATCAAGTTACGGAGCGTTGCCAACACCCTAGAACTCACCCCTCATGCCCTCCTCTAATCACTGTACCTTCTCTCCACTCTCCAAAGCAGTGTAACACAGAGATTAGCTCTGTTTTCAAACAAGCAGTTGGAATGATACAATGTGTACATTTTGTGCCTGACTTCCTTTACTCAACATTACGTTTGTAAGATTTATCCATGTTACTATGTGGAGCTGTATTAGTTCATTTTCATTGTTGTATAATGCATTATATGACCAAATGACAATTATTTATCCTTTCTGCCAACAAACGTGTGCTGTTTCCACCTTGGGAATGTTTTAAATAGTTTTGCTATAAGCGTTGTTGCATACCTTCTGGTGCACATATATACACATTTCCATTAGGCATGTGTGTATATACTAGGAGTAGGATTTCTGGGTCATAGCGTATACATTTTCAACTTCTGTAAAGAGTACCAACCAGCTTTCAAAGTGTGTGTTGCAATTTATGCCTTTATCAGAAATGTATGAGAATTCCAGTTGCTTCTCATACTCACCAAGACTTAATTTTATCAGATAGTCTTTTTAACTTTAGCCATTCTGGAGTATATAGTACTATTTCAATATGGTTTTAATATGCATTTCCTTAATTAATAATGAAGTTTTACGTTTTTGTCCTTTATTGGCTATTTGAATATTCACTTTTATAAAATGCCTGCTCAAGTTTTTCACCCATTTTTATCTTGTGTTGATTTTCTAGGAGTCCTTTACATATTCTGTCCACAACCCCTTTGTCAGTTATAAGAGTAGCATACATGACTTGAGCCACAAAATATGTGTATAAATTTGAAATGTAAATTTCAACTGATTTCTTACAGGTTTAGTTACCATTTCAGTTTTATAGTATAGAACTAAGCTAAACAAAGTATTTTACAAATCTGTGATAAATAATTCTTAAATAGAAAGAGTACATTTTTTATTAAAATACATCTTCTAAAGACAAGAACAGGGCAAGTTTTTTTTTTAATTAGCTCCCTTATCCTTAAATGAATAAAATACCCAATGTTAAAAAGTCAGCAAGTTATTTTCCTGTTGCATTTGGATTTTGACTAGTATACAATTTTTCTTTTCTTTTTTTTTTTTTTTTTTTTTTTTTTTGAGAAAGAGTTTCACTCTTGTCACCCAGGCTGGAGTGCAATGGTTTGATCTTGGCTCATTGCAACCTCCACCTCCTGGGTTCAAGCGATTATCATGCCTCAGTCTCCTGAGTAGCTGGGATTACAGGCATGCACCACCAAGCCTAGTTAATTTCTTATTTTTCGTAGAGATGGGGTTTTACCATGTCAGCCAGGCTGGTCTCGAACACCTGACCTCAGGTGATCTGCGTGCCTTAGCCTCTAAAAATGCAGGTGTGCAAAAATTACAGATGTGATGTAAGGCAAATTTTGCAAATTGCAAATTTTGCAAATGCAAAAATTACAGGTGTGAGCCAGTGCGCCCAGCCATATATAACATTTTAAATCTCAGCTACAAAGTGTTTTCACATACATATTCTCAACTGATTTTTATAATCAATTTGAGATGCATTGTCAGTTTCATTTTACAAATGGAAAAAAAGGAAGCTGAGGCAAAGGTCAGGCAGTGAAACCAAAGCATCACAGCCAGTAGATCAAGCTGTAGGGTGGGATCCAAGTCTTCGTTTCTCTCGTTCTACTGTGTTGCAGCATGCTGTCAAGAGGATGCAGTCCTGGTCGGATCTTTAACAGGAATGATGATGGTGGTGCTGGAATTGTTGGCCCTTTTTCTGCTCTGCTCCTATGTAACATCTTCTTGGTTTTTGTTCCTTTCCCTCCCCTTCTGTTTCTTTCAGCTTGGATTCCTTAGCACCACCACAGCTCAGCCAGAACAGAAGGCCTCGAATCTCATTGGCACATACCGCCATGTTGACCGTGCCACCGGCCAGGTGCTAACCTGTGACAAGTGTCCAGCAGGAACCTATGTCTCTGAGCATTGTACCAACACAAGCCTGCGCGTCTGCAGCAGTTGCCCTGTGGGGACCTTTACCAGGCATGAGAATGGCATAGAGAAATGCCATGACTGTAGTCAGCCATGCCCATGGCCAATGATTGAGAAATTACCTTGTGCTGCCTTGACTGACCGAGAATGCACTTGCCCACCTGGCATGTTCCAGTCTAACGCTACCTGTGCCCCCCATACGGTGTGTCCTGTGGGTTGGGGTGTGCGGAAGAAAGGGACAGAGACTGAGGATGTGCGGTGTAAGCAGTGTGCTCGGGGTACCTTCTCAGATGTGCCTTCTAGTGTGATGAAATGCAAAGCATACACAGACTGTCTGAGTCAGAACCTGGTGGTGATCAAGCCGGGGACCAAGGAGACAGACAACGTCTGTGGCACACTCCCGTCCTTCTCCAGCTCCACCTCACCTTCCCCTGGCACAGCCATCTTTCCACGCCCTGAGCACATGGAAACCCATGAAGTCCCTTCCTCCACTTATGTTCCCAAAGGTAACTTAACCTCATGAATTATTTATTTGAGGAAGGCTTTGAGCCCAGTGGAGGTACCAAGAGTGGGCTTATACCAAAGATGTTTTCTCCATTTCGTGTATTCCAAAGTCACCCCTTGGAGAGAGGCCTTCATATGGTGGCTAATTAAATCTGGCTTTTTTGGACTTAATAGAAACATGTAGACTCAGAATTTTTCTGTTAGGGGAGATCAGATATCTAAAAACTAGGTCACATCAAGCTATAAAATATGAACCAAGAGAAACAAGGACAGCGTGTGACCTTATGTAAGTTACTTAACCTCTTCAGGCCTCAGTTTCAAACTTGTCAAACAAATGAATAATTTAGATGTTTAAGGTTCCTTCCAGATCAAAAGTTTTCCAACATGGAGTCAGTCCCAGGTAGACATAGCCAGGAGCAGAGAAGAGGGAGAAAGGAAGAAAATACCATTACATCCGGAAGCGAGAGATGAATTTTGAATCCAGGTGGGGCAAAGAATGGGTAGGAAAGTTAGAAGCTCAGGAAATAAGCAAATTTGTATCAGATTGAAGGTAACTAGCACTCATGTCTGGAAAATAATAACTTTATTTTTTCCAAATGATTTTAACTTTACTCCTTATATCAATTATTCAAGTTTTCCATCAGAACCTCAAGCAGAATATAAAATTTATCCTTTATTTTCAAATCCTTTTTGATTTAATGTAATTTTCATGAGATGATGACCAACTTGAGTTGTTCCTCCTAGTGTCCTCTCATGCATGATTACATTTAGCCTTCATGATAAGCCTGTGAAGACAGCCATCTTACAATTGCCAGTTGAAATGAAGAAACAGCCTCCAAGAGCTCAGATGGCCACTCTAGCTTTGCTTAGGCCAAGTCCTGTCTCTTGGGACTCAAAATTCCCATCTCTCATACTTCTTAATGAAAATTACTTATGGAGGCTTCTCTGAGAGAAGTCTGCTAAGCTGCCAGCCCAAATCTTGTTTAATCTTTTGATAACAGATGCTCTTATTTGCTGACCTGTCCTACCAAGTCTTTCACCAGTCAAATTTGCATTTGAATTCTTTTTTTTATCTTAGTCATATTCTCAGTTTTACCACTGCATCATAAAATAGTCAAAAGGTGGGAGAAGGAGGATGGACAAAATAATTAAATTTGAACTGGTTCTCTGAAAACTCAAAATAAGAATTGATTAGATCTCTGCACATATATGTGCCTGCTCAATATGTGAAGTACAGGAGAAGCTGCTGTCAAGCTCAGCTGTTGGATCCTTAAGGTTGCCCTTGGTTTTGGTGTAAGAATGTGAGTTTAGTGGTTCAGTTCCATTTTTGCCTTCCACATGAAGGTGCCATTAGGGTCTTTATGAAAATGTGCAACACAATTTATTCTTAAGCCCCAAGGGTCATCTTATCTTTGATTATCTGGCCTAGCTTGGAGATGACCAGGGAAAGGAGGGAATGTATAGATCCCCAAATATGGAAAAGCTCTTCCCCCCTCCTTACTCTTTTTTCTAGGCATGAACTCAACAGAATCCAACTCTTCTGCCTCTGTTAGACCAAAGGTACTGAGTAGCATCCAGGAAGGGACAGTCCCTGACAACACAAGCTCAGCAAGGGGGAAGGAAGACGTGAACAAGACCCTCCCAAACCTTCAGGTAGTCAACCACCAGCAAGGCCCCCACCACAGACACATCCTGAAGCTGCTGCCGTCCATGGAGGCCACTGGGGGCGAGAAGTCCAGCACGCCCATCAAGGGCCCCAAGAGGGGACATCCTAGACAGAACCTACACAAGCATTTTGACATCAATGAGCATTTGCCCTGGATGATTGTGCTTTTCCTGCTGCTGGTGCTTGTGGTGATTGTGGTGTGCAGTATCCGGAAAAGCTCGAGGACTCTGAAAAAGGGGCCCCGGCAGGATCCCAGTGCCATTGTGGAAAAGGCAGGGCTGAAGAAATCCATGACTCCAACCCAGAACCGGGAGAAATGGATCTACTACTGCAATGGCCATGGTGAGCCTTCTCTCTTCTCTCCTTGCTCACAGATCTCTCTACCACTTTTTCCCTAGTCCCTGTTTTCTGAAGGAATGGGAATGCGTAGTTTGTGGAATCTCCTTTGTAGACCAAACACTACTTGATCTAGTCGTGTTATAGAAAAAGAGATTGACCGTCTCATTAGAAGTAATGCATTCAGAGAGAATAATCTCTCTTCCTCCTTTTCCCCTGGTACCTTTAAAACAGAAGAATGTTGTGGAATCAGAGACCTGATTGACTCCTAGGGACTTTGTTTGACCTTGTCATTTAACAAATGAGAAATTTGAGTTTAGAGAGGTTTGGCAACATTGATCCAAACAAGAGGCTAGTTGTTTTTGAGGACAGATGGGACGAGACTCCTGACTGTTGGAGCACTTGCTTTTGCTATACGATTAGGCTGTGAAGCAAATGAAGGGGACAAAACCCAACTTGTCATAAGTTTGCCATTTTCAGTCAGAACCTTGCTTTTAGATTCCTAACAATTTCGTCACATATATATTTTCCCCACTTAAATTTTAGGATCCCATGTCTATCAGGAGGGTAGGATGGTCTTTTGGATTGTAGACCCCAGAAGCATAATATGTCGGTCATCATCTGAGCCTCAGCATTACATCTCTTTCCTGGTAGTCAGCATGTGTTGAATACAGGCTGGAATATTTTGGCCTTTCCTCTTTTGAGGGCAAAAAATAGCTTATAGAACTTGTCCCAGAGCTAAGTTTGATCTGAAGACTGCAGTTTTCAGACTGTGCAGTAACTTCTCTTTCTTTAAATCCTAAATGAAACTTCAGCCCAGTTTTGATAACCCCATTCAGGTGTGTCCTCTCCCCTCAAAGAGAAAGGGGTATATCTATTTTTCTAAAAAGCAGTTTGGCTTTTTGGGGTCTTACAAATATTTATACCATTTGGCGTGGCAATTCCATTCTTGTGAATATATCATAAAGGTATAATCAGAAACACTGAAACAAAGATATAAGCACAAAGATCTTAAACTTTTAACCCAACATCATGTCTCATAGAAATTGAAAATAACAGAAGGACAGTTTTAGGGAAAAACTAAGTAAATTATGGTATATTCATAGAATGGAATATTATGTTGACATTCAAGATTTTATGAAGTTTTTGATTTTAGCCAGGAAAGTGTTTATACTAGGTTAAAGGAAAAAAACAAACACCAAACTACATACTTTGTAGAATATAATCCCAACTCTCATTAAACTTGAGAATAAGACTGAATGGAAATATGCCAAAGTGACAATTTTTTTTCCCCAGTGTGGTGGGATTTATGTGTGGGTTTCTTTTTTCTTTATTAGTTTTCTGTACTTTCCCCAAGTTGTCTGTACTAAGTACATGCCACTTCTATAACGAAACGTTTAGAAAAAGTTAAAAAAGTCTTGCAACTCATTTTGCTTCCCCTTATTGATTTGTGTAAATCAAGTTTGTCCATCCCATGACCCAGGACAGCTTTGGCTTTGAATGCAGCCCGACACAAATTCATAAACTTTCTGAGGGTTTTTTTTTTTTATTTTTTTTTTGAGACAGAATTTAGCTCTTGTTGCTCAGGCTGGAGTGCAATGGTGTGATCTCAGCTCACCACAACTTCACCTCCCAGGTTCAAGCGATTCTCCTGCCTCAGCCTCCTGAGTAGCTGGGATTACAGGCATGTACCACCATGCCCAGCTAATTTTGTATTTTTACTAGAGATGGGGTTTCTCCATGTTGGTCAGGCTGGTCTTGAACTCCCAACCTCAGGTGATCCGCCCGCCTCGGCCTCCCAAAGTGCTGGGATTACAGGTGTGAGCCACCTTGCCCAGCGTTTTTTGTTTGTTTTTTTAGCTTATCAGCTATTATTGGTGTATTTTATGTGGCCCAAGACGATTCTTCTTCCAGTGTGGCTCAGGGAAGCCAAAAGATTGGACACCTATGATGTAGATGGTCAAAAGTCAAGTGAAAGTCGGGCAGAGGCAAACATCCTATTTGGGTCTTATCAGACTAAGCCTGCATAAACTTGAATAAGACAACTATTTACTGGAAGCCTGTCTGGGGAAAGCTTCAATTCCCCCTTCTTTTTAATTAAAAAAAAAAAAATCTTTTTATTTGTACATAATTCCAAACTTTTGAAAAGTTGCAGCAACAGTACAAAGAATACCTACATACCTGTGCCCACATTTATCTATTATTAACATATTGCTCTTTTGCTTTGTCATTTGCTCTCTCTACGTAAAAAATACACCTATTGGCCCAGGCGTGGTGGCTCATGCCTGTAATCCCAGCACTTTGGGAGGCCGAGGCATGCAGATCAACTGAGGTCAGGAGTTTGAGACCCGCCTGGCCAACATGGCGAAACCTCGTATCTACTAAAAATACAGTAATTAGCCAGGTATGGTGGCACACGCCTATAGTCCCAGTTTTTCGGGAGGCTAGGGCAGGAGAATCACTTGAACCTGGGAGGCGGAGGTTGCAGTGAGCCAGGATCGTGCCGCTGCACTCCGGCCTGGGCCACAGAGTGAGACTTCATCTCAAAAAAAAAAAAAATCACATATAGATTTTATATTGTAAAATATGTATTATAGAATAGCTTATTATATATTATATAACATGTAATATATAATATATAATTATGTGCATATATACACATACATACATGGAAAAAATAATTTTTCTTAATTATTTTATGGCCTTTTATCCCCTGATACTTTAGCATGTATTTCCTGACAATAAGACTGTTCTCTTCAGAAAACATACTACAGTTTTCAACCTTAATAAATTTAGCAGGGTTACAATCCTTTGCCTTTCATTTGCCAATATTGTATGTTGACCCAATAAGGCCCTTGGTAGATAATATACTTTTTTTTCTCTAGTGTAGGATCCAGTCTAGGATCAGAATTGCATTAAACTGCCCTGTAAGTGCCTAGTCAGGATATTTGTTCTGTTGCAGATTTACCCAATTAGTAGAAAACCATGTGAACATCCTGATAGATAATTAAATATCTGGAACTGTCCTCTCATTATTCACTTTATTACAAAAGCAACTCCATTCCTTTAGTAGTTGCATTTATAGATTATGGTCAGCTACATTTTTAAACTCTCTTTTGCAGTCTGGTTTTTAAAATTCTTGAGAACACAGCAAGTTGTAGAGTAAAAACTGGTCCAGCAGCAGAAAGCAATTTAATATAATGACCTTAGACGTTCTTATGACCATGGTAACCTTATAAACTACTATGCCTGTGTCCTTAAAACAATATCCTATTTTGTAAAAATAATGGAAGTGCCAAATCAAACAAAGCCTGATCCTACTCGTCTGTGAAAGCAGTACCACAGCAATATGCTTTTCAAACTAAATTACAGTAGTTTCATTGAGGCATAACTATCTCTTCCAATAGTTTAGGCTTGTTCCTCAGATTTTTGCATTGGGATATTTATATTTAAGGTGTTTTTCTAAGGAAAGTCTTTTCTTTCCAAATTGCTAGTCTCAAACATGCAACCGGGTAAAATCCTATTACAAAGAGAGGTTCTGTTTAGTAAAGCTATTCCAGGTGCTCAGAGAGGCCTCTAGAAACAGGGCTTTGTTGGTCTGATTGCATTGAGTTCTGGCCAGCAGATAATCCCGTATAATAAGATCTTTTCCTGGTCCTTGTCTATTTCACACTGAATTGTTCATGAGGATAAGGTGGGAGGGAAATGGCTTAGCCTTGGGTTGTTTTCTATCAGAGGTCTTCTAAAACCTCACTTATCCCTGCCTACCCTCAGTAGAACAAGCCATGCTCCTGGATGCCATATACATCCTCCAAACTTTGAAGCTAGGCCATTGGTTTCTGTCTTTCTTGCGAACAAAAACCTCTTTTATTATTCAGCTCTACTCATCCATCTTTGTCTACCATGGACTTATAGTTTTTAAAGCTGAACTCCAGAAAGCTACAATCCTACTTTCATGGAGTCCTAGTATTGGAAACATAAGAGGAGGCCTCGCATGGCTAGGAGATGGAAGAATAAAGGTGCTGTGGTATTTTGTACTCTTTCTTCCTTTCTGAAGTCAGAGCAATTTTATGTTTGGTAAATGTTGGTATATGTTTGGGGACTGGACTGTGATTTCACGTAATGTATCTATTTCAGCAACAGGAATTGGAAGTATCTTCAGAATGTTTACATATAAAAATATAGTTAAGAGGTTGAAGTGTCAGCCAGATAAGAATATTGTTAATACTCAATTTGTCATGCTTTTATCGTTTTCTGAAAATGTATTTCTTTTTGTTGTATAACCTCAATGTAATGGGGTAAGTGGAGGGGGAGGGTCCAAAAATTTCAATTTAATTAAAAATTAAGGATTTATGTGGATTCACATTAATTGAGAGGTTACGTGGAAAACATTTTTTTATTTGATCTGTTTTGTCACAAAAGAACAAAAGTAAAGATAGTAGAATTTAATCCCTATACAATTGGCCATACATTGCACTGAGAAAAGTCACCAATGATCTGCAAACAGCCACTTTGTTCATTTCCTTAGAGCTATGGAGGCTACAAAACTGTATTCCAGTCCCAATTGAAAAACAGGGTAGCTGAGAACAGAAACCAATTGCTGTTTGCTCATTGCAGTTTCTAATTTGTGCCGTTACTATTTCCCTTTTCCTTCTTTCTTCCTCTCCTTCCTCCCTTCCCTACTTTCCTATTATCCTTCTCTCCCCCATTCTTCCTCCCTCTTTAACTATTTGCAAAAAGTAGGAAGTCTTGTTCTCAGCAACTAGTGGGCCTAGAAATTTAGAGGGGAAGTTTGAAAAGCAGGTGAGGAGTAGGAATTGCCCTGAAAGTACTTATGGATGAAGAAGCTCTGCAAAGTGACAATAGGAACAAAACATCGGCAGTTTCTGGCTTGGATCATATTTCCTTTTTCCTTCAGACTGTGAAGAAAAGTGAGGGAAAAAAGGTGAGAGACAAAGGAATTGGGTATACCTCGTTTAAACCTGCTCAGTTTCTCTGCTCTGCCTTGAGGAGACACTGTAGTAAGCATTTGATAGAGACAGTGATCCCACTTCACGTAGTTACCTGAGGCACATGCCATAGATAGGCAGCATCTCCTTTAAATCAACTGCAACAGGGATTACGAAATCAGTTGGGGCAGGCATTATTTCTCAAGCAGATTGTTTTGTATCCTCTACAGCAAAAGGGCAAAGGTCTTATTCTGTAGAACTGGATTCTAAGATGCAATTTCTTCATTCCTTTAGCTCTCGCCATCTGTCACTGTTTAACTCTTTGTGGCTATGTGGTTTGTCTCCCCACATAGCTTCTAAGTTCTTAGAGAGAAGACATTGGGTCTTACTGTATGTCCCCTGTGCCTGGAATAGGGCTTGAGGAGGGGTGGTCCAGAGCTGAGCTAGCACATATGGTAACCACTAGCCTCATGAGCTATTTAATTTAAAACTAAGATTAACTGAAGTTAAAAATTCAGTTCCTCAGTTGCACCAGCCACATCTTAAGTACTCAGTAGCCGCACATAGCTTGTGGTTACCATATTGGATAGGACAGATAAAGGACATTGCCATCATCATACAAAGTTCTCTTGGATAGCACTGGTGTAAAGCATCCATAAACTAAGTAATCTACATATGCTTTTAAAGGCCAGATTGTTTTAAAGACATTGGATTGGTTTTTTTCTTGTTGATTTATACTGATGTTGGTGTTAGGGATTTAAACATAGAGACCTTCAGGTGGGTTCTTTATACTAAATTGCCATAGATGGTAAGAATTATTTTTCAGAGCTAAAGGAAGCTTCCATAATAGCACTGCTTTAAAATATGCAAAAACTGACTAGGAAAAGATTGCTGACATCCCTCATCTGATTTGCTTATTTCAAAGTGAAACACATCAGCCCATGGACACTGGAGAGCAGGGTGATGCCAAGAGAGAGAACCCTGCTAATTCAAAGGCCAAGGCAGCTTCGTAAATGCTTAGGTGCTCGTGTTTAACTAGTGTGGAAATGGATTAACCTTGTGCGTGGCGTTAGCAGACAAGCATGAGATGCTTGTAGGAGTAATGTGGTTGGGCTGAAGTGGGAGTGAGGGAGGCACAGGAGATGAAGCTTTTGGGTAAGAAAGAAGCATCATAGACTAGAAATTCATAAACCTGGGTTCTAAAATTCTGGATTTGCCATTTCCTAGTCATGGACTCTCAGTTAAAACCTTTTACTTCTCTGGGCCTCTGTTTATAATGTTAGAAAATTTTAAAAAATGCATTAGAATATGCAGTTAGGAACAAAGACTCTGGAGTCTGGTTTCCCTTTGCTTACCAGCTGCGTGAGCCAGGGCAAGTTACTTAACCACTCTGTGCTTTAGTTTCTTCATGTGTAATACAGGGATACTAATAGTACACAGGCTGTAGTGAGGATTACATACATGAGTGTGTGCCCAGTGCTTGGGACATTGCTGGCCACATGGTCCACAGTTCACAAGTGATAGCAGTGATGAGGACGAGGGTGCAAACGCTGGAGATGATGCAGAGGATGGATCATCATCATCCTCACCACTGACATCATCACCTCCTTCCTCTCTGGCAGTCTCAGTTTGTTTCCCGATTAAGTCACAGAAATGACCACTAGCAAGAAAGAAACATTCTCCTTTAAAATACTATACTTAGGGGTTGGGCGCAGTGGCTCACGCCTGTAATCCCAGCACTTTGGAGGCCGAGGCAGGCCGATCATTTGAGGTCAGTAGTTCAAGACCAGCCTGGCCAACTTGGCGAAACTCTGTCTCTACTAAAAATATAAAATTAACCAGGCGTGGTGGCGGGCGCCTGTAATCCCAGGTACTCAGGAGGCTGAGGCTGGGGAATCACTGGAACTCAGGAGGCAGAGGTTGCAGTGAGCCAAGATCGTGCCACTGTACTTCAGCCTGGGCAACAAGAGAAAAACTCCATCTCAAAAAAACAAAACAAAACAAAACAAAACCAAAAAAACTGTACTTAGGTAGGAGCAACACTGCCACCTTAAAGGAGCTTATTAGGAAGATGGGTTTCCCTCCATACCAGATATGATTATTAGCTTAATTAATTTACACATGTAGGCAGTGCTCTCTCAAATGGGCAGAGCCTCTGAGATCATCAAGCAAGACTCTTCAGTGGCTTTAGACTTGGATATAAATCTATGCTGTCCAAAACAATATTTTCCCTAAGCTATCTATACCATGGGTCAGCAAGTTAGGAGATATTTTAAGAGAATCTAGGAGATATTTTAGGATTATAGGCTGCAACTACTCCACTCTGTTTGAAAGTGTAGTAGTGTGAAAGTGGCCAGAGACACCATGTAAATTATGGGTGTGGCTGTGTTCCAACAAAGCTTTATTTGCAAGAACAGGTGGTTTGTCCTGCAGGTTGTCGCCTACCAGCATCTGGTCTATGCCATAGACTTGTCATCTCTTAGCAGCTTCTTCTCTTTCACCTTCTGCTGGCTTGCACAGCTTGGATAAACAGTTTGATTCTTGGAGGCTTTCTCGAATTTCAACAGTTCGAGCTCAGTTTTTCCTCTAGCAGTAACTATTTCTAAGTCTGCTGAAGGGGTAAGTAACAAAGGAGAACCATCAGCTATGAGTGGGAGCAAAAAAGGTGGCAGCTGTCCTTGTATTTTCTCTTAAAAATTGTTCTATGCTTCCTCCATCTCCTAACAGATGTCGGCTTTCACCAGGAGACTCCATCTTATGTATGGGTCCACCTCACAGGTGTACCTGCCATGTACCTGCTACAACTCATCTCTTTGCCAAACTGGAGCCATAGAGAAGAGAGGAGGGGGTCTGGGAGAGCTCAGGTTCAAATCCATTCAGCTACTAAAAGGCTGGATGATCTCAGGCAAGGCACTTTCTCTCTTTGGATCTCATCTTTCTTTGTAAAATCAGGAGACTTGAACCCATCACAGAAGGGCCACCAGATTTTGATCAGTGTGACAATTTATCTGTGCCTTACCTGAGTGTGCCTACTGTCTTCCTGGTGTCTATCAGGAAAAACACTGGCCTGAGGGGTCCTGCAATGTGCTGTAGGGTGGAGAACACTGCGCTGCCAGTCAGAGGGAAGAGGCCAGGCTCAATGCCAACCTCATGCCACTGAAGGATTGTGTGCTCACTGCAACATGAAAGAGCTTTCCCCCAGGCTTTTGAACGTGTGAGGGCAGGTTAGTGAAAATTTCTATTTAAATTAGGTCACAGGGTTGGGGGAAAACCAAGAGAATGTGTAATAACTCTGTGTGCTTTTAGGGAGAATGTGAGACATTTTTTTTTCTTTTTTTAAAATTACACTTTAAGCACTAGGGTACATGTGCACAACATGCAGATTTGATACATAGGTATACATGTGCCATGTTGGTTTGCTGCACCTATCAACTCATCATTTACATTAGGTATTTCTGCTAATGCTATCCTTCCCCGAGTCCGCCACCCCCCAACAGGCCCCGGTGGGTGATGTTCCCCACCCTGTGTCCAAGTAATCTCGTTGTTCAGTTCCCACCTATGAGTGAGAACATGCGGTGTTTGGTTTTCTGTCCTTGTGATAGTTTGCTGAGAATGATGGTTTCCAACTTCATCCATGTCCCTGTAAAGGACATGAACTCATCTTTTTTATGGCTGCATAGTATTCCATGGTGTATATGTGCCACATTTTTTTAATCCAGTCTATCATTGATGGACATTTGGGTTTTTTCCAGGTCTTTGCTATTGTGAATAGTGCTGCAATAAACATATGTGTGCATGTATCTTTATAGTAGCATGATTTATAATCCTTTGGGTGTATAACCAGTAATGGGATTGCTGGGTCAAATGATAATTCTAGTTCTAGATCCTTGAGGAATCGCCACACTGTCTTCCACAATGGTTGAACTAATTTACACTCCCACATTAGGAGTGGGAATATAGGAACATAAAAGCATTCCTATTTCTCCACATCCTCTCCAGTATCTGTTGTTTCCTGACTTTTTAATGATTGCCATTCTAACTGGAGTAAGATGGTATCTCATTGTGGTTTTGATTTGCATTTCTCTGATGACCAGTGATGATGAGCATTTTTTCATGTGTCTGTTGGCTGCATAGATGTCTTCTTTTGAGAAGTGTCTGTTCATATCCTTTGCCCACTTTTTGATGGGGTTGTTTGTTTTTTTCTTGTAAATTTGTTTCAGTTCTTTGTAGATTCTGGTTATTAGCCCTTTGTCTGATGGGTAGACTGCAAAAATTTTCTCCCATTCCGTAGGCTGCCTGTTCACTCTGATGATAGTTTCTTTTGCTGTGCAGAAGCTCTTTAGTTTAATTAGATCCCATTTGTCAATTTTGGCTTTTGTTGCCATTGCTTTTGGTGTTTTAGTCATGAAGTCCTTGCCCATGCCTATGTCCTGAATGGTATTGCCTAGGTTTTCTTCTAGAGTTTTTATGGTTTTAGGTCTAACATTAAATCTTTAATCCATGTTGAATTAATTTTTGTATAAGGTGTAAGGAAGGGATCCAGTTTCAGCTTTCTACATGTGGCTAGCCAGTTTTCCCAACACCATTTATTAAATAGGGAATCCTTTCCCCATTTCTTGTTTTTGTCAGGTTTGTCAAAGATCAGGTGGTTATAGATGTGTGTGGTGTTATTTCTGAGGCCTGTGTTCTGTTCCATTGGTCTATATATCTGTTTTGGTACCAGTACCATGCTATTTTGGTTACTATAGCCTTGTAGTATAGTTTGAAGTCAGGTAGCGTGATGCCTCCAGCTTTGTTCTTTTTGCTTAGGATTGTCTTGGCAATGCAGGCCCTTTTTTTGGTCCCATATGAACTTTAAAGTAGTTTTTTCCAATTCCGTGAAGAAAATCATTGGTAGCTTGATGGGGATGGCATTGAATCTATAAATTACTTTGGGCAGTATGGCCATTTTCACAATATTCATTCTTCCTATCCATGAGCATGGAATATTCTTCCAGTTATTTGTGTCCTCTTATTTCGTTGAGCAGTGTTTGTAGTTCTCCTTGAAGAGGTCCCTCACATCCCTTGTAAGTTGGATTCCTAGGTATTTTATTTTCTTTATAGCAATTGTGAATGGAAGTTCACTCATGATTTGGCTCTCATTTGTCTGTTAATGGTGTATAGGAATGCTTGTGATTTTTGCACATTGATTTTATATCCTCAGCTTAAGGAGATTTGGGGCTGAGATGATGGGATTTTCTAAATATATGGTCATGTCATCTGCAAACAGGGACAATTTGACTTCCTCATTTCGTAATTGAATACCCTTTATTTCTTTCTCTTGCCTGATTGCCCTGGCCAGAACTTCCAACTTTATGGTGAATAGGAGTGGTGAGAGAGGGCATCCTTGTCTTGTGCCATTTTTCAAAGGGAAAGTTTCCAGTTTTTGCCCATTCAGTATGATGTTGGCTGTGGGTTTGTCATCAATAGCACTTATTATTTTGAGATACATTCCATCAATACCTAGTTTATTGAGATTTTTTAGCATGAAGCGCTGTTGAATTTTGTCGAAGGCCTTTTCTGCATCTATTGAGATAATGTTGTTTTTGTCGTTGGTTCTGTTTATGTGATGGATTACATTTATTGATTTGCATATGTTGAACCAGCCTTGCATCCCAGGGATGAAGCTGACTTGATCATGGTGAATAAGCTTTTTGATGTACTGCTGGATTTGGTTTGCAAGTATTTTATTGAGGATTTTCCCATTGATGTTCATCAGGGATATTGGTCTAAAATTCTCTTTTTTTGTTGTGTCTCTGCCAGGCCTTGGTATCAAGATGATGCTGGCCTCATAAAATGAGTTAGGGAGGATTCCCTTTTTTTCTGTTGATTGGAATAGTTTCAGAAGGAATGGTACCAGCTCCTCTTTGTACTTCTGGTAGAATTTGGCTGTGAATCCATCTGGTCCTGGACATTTTTTGGTGGGTAGGCTATTAATTATTGCCTCAATTTCAGAGCCTGTTATTGGTCTATTCAGAGATTCAACTTCCTCCTGGTTTAATCTTAGGAGGGTGTATGTGTCCAGGAATCTATCCATTTCTTCTAGATTTTCTAATTTATTTGCATAGAGGTGTTTATAGTATTCTCTGATGGTAGTTTGTATTTCTGTGGGATCGGTGGTGATATCCCTTTTATCATTTTTTATTGCATCAATTTGATTCTTCTCTCTTCTTCTTTATTAGTCTTGCTAATGGTCTACCAATTTTATTGATCTTCTCAAAAAACCAGCTCCTGGATTCATTGATTTTTTGAAGGGTTCTTTGTGTCTTTATCTCTTTCAGTTCTGCTCTGATTTTGCTTTTTTCTTGCCTTCTGCTAGCTTTTGAATGTGTTTGCTCTTGCTTCTCTAGTTCTTTTAATTGTGATGTTAGGGTGTTGATTTTAGATCTTTCCTGCTTTCTCATGTGGGTGTTTAGTGCTATAAATTTCCCTCTACACACTGCTTTAAATGTGTCCCAGAGATTCTGGTACGTTGTGTCTTTGTTCTCATTGGTTTCAAAGAACATCTTTATTTCTGCCTTCATTTTGTTATTTACCCAGTAGTCATTCAGGGGCAGGTTATTCAGTTTCCATGTAGTTGTGTGGTTTTGAGTGAGTTTCTTAATCCTGAGTTCTAATTTAATTGCACTGTGGTCTGAGAGACAGTTTGTTGTGATTTCTGTTCTTTTATATTTGCTGAGGAGTGCTTTACTTCCAATTATATGGTCAATTTTAGAAAAAGTGTGATGTGGTGCTGAGAAGAATGTATATTCTGTTGATTTGGGGTGCAGAGTTCTGTAGATGTCTATTAGGTCTGCTTGTTGTAGAGCTGAGTTCAAGTCTGGATATCCTTGTTACCCTTCTGTTTCGTTGATCTGTCTAATACTGACAATGGGGTGTTAAAGTCTCCCATTATTATTGTGTGGGAGTCTAAGTCTGTTTGTATGTCTCTAAGGACTTGCTTTATGAATCTGGGTGCTCCTGTATTTGGTGCATATATATTAAGGATAGTTAGCTTTTCTTGTCAAATTGATCCCTTTACCATTATGTAATGGCCTTCTTTGTCTCTTTTGATCTTTGTTGGTTTAAAGTCTGTTTTATCAGAGACTAGGATTGCAACCCCTACTTTTTTTTTGCTTTCCATTTGCTTGATAGATCTTCCTCCATCCCCTTATTTTGAGCCTATGTGTGTGTGTGCGTGTGAGATGGGTCTCCTGAATACAGCACAACAATGGGTCTTGACTCTTTATCCAATTTGCCAGTCTGTGTCTTTTAATTGGGGCATTTAGCCCAATTACATTTAAGGTTAATATTGTTATGTGTGAGTTTGATCTTGTCATTATGATGTTTGCTGGTTATTTTGCCCGTTAATTGATGCAGTTTCTTCATAGCATCGACAGTCTTCACAGTTTGGCATGTTTTTGCAGTGGCTGATACTGGTTGTTTCTCTGCATGTTTTGTGCTTCCTTCAGGAGCTCTTGTAAGGCAGGCCTGGTGGTGACAAAATCTCTCAGCATTTGCTTGTCTGTAAAGGATTTTATTTCTCCTTCACTTATGAAGCTTAGTTTGGCTGGATATGATATTCTGGATTGAAAATTATTTTCTTTAAGAATGTTAAATATTGTCCCCCACTCTCTTCTGGCTTATAGGGTTTCTGCCAAAAGATCCACTGTTAGTCTGATGGGCTTCCCTTTGTGGGTAACCTGACCTTTCTCTCTGGCTCCCCTTAACACTTTTTCCTTTATTTCAACCTTGGTGAATCTGACAATTATGTGTCTTGAGGTTGCTCTTCTCGAGGAGTATCTTTGTGGTCTCTGTATTTCCTGAATTTGAATGTTGGCCTGCCTTGGTAGGTTGGGGAAGTTCTCCTGGATAATATTCTGAAGAGTGTTTTCCAACTTGGTTCCATTCTCCCCATCACTTTCAGGTACACTAATCAAATGTAGATTTGGTCTTTTCACATAGTCCCATATTTCTTGGAGGCTCTGTTTGTTTCTTTTTACTCTTTTTTCTCTAACCTTGTCATCTCGCTTTATTTCATTAATTTGATCTTCAATCACTGATACCCTATTTTCCACTTGATCAAATCAGCTATTGAAGCTTGTGCATGTGTCTCGAAGTTCTCGTGCCATGGTTTTCAGCTCCATCAGGTCATTTAAGGTCTTCTCTACACTGTTTATTCTAGTTAGCCATTAGTCTAACTTTTTTTTCAAGGTTTTTAGCTTCCTTGCGATAGGTTCAAACATGCTCCTTTAGCTCGGAGAAGTTTGTTATTACTGATCTTCTGAAGCCTACTTCTGTCAACTCCTCAAAGTCATTCTCCTTTCAGCTTTGTTCCATTGCTGGCAAAGAGCTGTGATCCTTTGGAGGAGAAGATGCGCTCTGATTTTTAGAATTTTCAGCTTTTCTGCTCTGATTTCTCCCCATCTTTGTGGTTTTATCTACCTTTGGTCTTTGATGTTGGTGACCTACAGATGGGGTTTTGGTGTAGATGACCTTTTTGTTTATGTTGATGCTATTCATTTCTGTTTGTTAGTTTTCCTTCTAACAGTCAGGTCCCTCAGCTGCAGGTCTGTTGGATTTTGCTGGAGGTCCACTCCAGACCTTGTTCGCCTGGGTATCACCAGTGGATGTTGCAGAACGGCAAATATTGCAGAACAGCAAATATTGCTGCTTGATCCTTCCTCTGGAAGCTTCATCCGGGAGGGGCAGCTGCCTTTATGAGGTGTCTGTTGGCCCCTGTTGGGAGGTGAGTCCCAGTTAGGCTATACGGGGGTCAGGGACCCACTTGAGGAGGCAGTCTGTCCCTTCTCAGAGCTCATACGCCATGCTGGGAGAACCACTGCTCTCTTTAGAGCTGTCAGACAGGGACATAACTCTCCCCAGTAAAAACTTTCTTAAGTTATGTGTTTACCACAGATCAGTGCATCTTTGTAATTTGTTGGGACTATGTGCTTAAGTTTTACAAGATAATCTAAAAGTGATACTTGTGAATGGAGAAAACTGTCGCTCATATACGGGTAGAGGCTGGGGTTATAGAAATAATTTATTTCACTTCTAGAAAGGCAATGTCCAAGTCTGGTTTCACATGCAGGTTATAGGCTAAGTGCTCTGCTGGGAAGAAGGTGGCTTTCCAGGGGCCCAGGCAGCGCTCTTGTCCACAGGGTATATCTTTAGCCATGACAACCACAAATTTCTTCCTTTAAAAATGCTTATGAGAGATATTAAATTAGAGAGGCATTATTCTCTGTCTTAGATGATATTTCTCCCTCTTTGTTCTGCTGTTTGGTACATTATCTCTTGGTTGAGAGTTATTGTTATCCATATGTTGCATTATTTGCCTAAAGAGAAGCTAAATGGTCAGTCTGCCCAATTCTGAATTAGTTGGAATTTGGCTAAAGCAGGGAAATACATTATATGAAGTAAACATGCTATCCTATTCTGAAATGAGGGAAGTTTGGGATAAGTTTGTAACCAGGTTCACCCTTAAGGAATCTCAAGGCAAAGGAAAAACTAGAAAATAATCTTTACAAAGACTTGTTATTCAGCTGCTTAACTTGTGATGTTTTTATTTAATTATATATATTTGAACACCATGTTCAAGGCACTGTTCCAGGACTAGGGCTTACTAGGCTTTAGTAATATAGTGTTTGTTTTCATTTTATTTTTTGGAAAATTTACAAATTGGAGAGCAATAAAGATCATGGGCAATGTGTGTATGTGTGTGTGTGTGTGTTTGTGTGTGTGTGTTTGTGTCTGTGTGTGTCTGTGTGTGTGTGTTTGTGTGTAAGTCACGGTTAGAGGAGATTCACTTAGTCCAGTCCTCTCATTATACAGAAGATGAAGCTGAGGCACAGGAAGGAAGGGTGACTTGCCCAAAGTCACATGGCCAGTAGGGTTAGAGGGAAGCCAAGGCCTGGCTCTCTAATTCTCGAGACAGTGCTCTTTATATTTGACATGTTGCTTTCCTGGTCAAAGGACTGCAGGGTTCTTCTGCTCAGTACAGAGGACATTCTGGTTTGTAAACAATTACTCAAGTTTCTTGAATGAGAAAACACACAGGCGATTGCAAAAACCTAGAAGATAAATAAGGATATTGGAGACTGAGGTTTGGGGAAGCAAAGGAATGAAGGAACATAGCCCTTTGGCCCTTATCAGGGGCATAGGGTAGATGAGGTGGGGATGGAAGGCATGTCTCAGAGCCTGACCTGCTGTCTCTCCCTGGATAGCCTGGATGACACCGGTAATGGTTCCTAGATGATAATCAAGACAGAAGGGGAAGCGGTATGTGTCTACCTTTTTATGAGTATCTTTTACTTGGATGATTTCAGGCTGGGGGAGGTGAAAGAACTGGCTGTGAGATAAATTAGGAGATCTTGGCTCCAGGTGAAAGCAACTTAAAGAAATCTTAAAATCTTTCAACACAAATGAAACCTTCCCACCTTTGCCTTGAAGAGACAAAGGTGTTCTTCTTTATGCCTCCTTTCCTTGAACCCTCTTAGAGACTTGAGCACCTTTCTAGCTGCTTTTGACATTCTCTGACTTTAACTCAGTTTTACTTGAAAATGTTCTTGTCCAGGATAAATCTATATGAAAGCTCCTCTAGGAGAGCCTTATTATTGGTGAGGGAAGGGAGAGAAGTAATACTTCCTGTTTACTGAATGCTTATGATGTTCCAGGCACTGTTCTATGGAATTTATGTATATTTTCTTGTTGAATTCTCAGAATAACCTTATGATGTCAGGATCGTGCCAATTTTACACATTAGGAGCAGTGGCACAGAAAGATAAAGTAATTTGACTAAGGCCACACCACGAGTCAGTGGGGAGCCTGGACTGGCTCTCAGGCATGTGGCCTTGGATCCTGAGCTGGGAACTAGTGCATACACTGCATCTCACTCTTACCCTTCCATCCTTTGGAGAAGGAGGAGTGGAGGTGTGGACAGATGCTTGAAACCTAGACCATCACAAATATACTGTTGCAACATATTTCTCCTCAATTTCTACTTGTTTCCCTTTCTAGGACCCCATGATGAGGAGTGGGGGTTGATGGAGAGACATATTCAAGATATTTATATTCAAAGAAGCAATCAAGATTCAGAAAGATGGGGTTGATAATTTTTACTTCACCCTGGGAGGCAGCATAGTGCAGTGAAAGGTGAGGGCTCATGCGTCAGATATACCTGGGTTTTGAATATCAGTCCTGTCTATGCCATGGTGCCAGGCCTGTGTCTCACCTGTAATGTGGATATGACTCCTATCTCATGGGATGTCTATGCAGATTGAATGATATAATATGTAACATTGATAAAATTACCAGCTTGGTTGCCCCTTTTTCTTTCCCACAAGGCCAGGGAGATGAGCCATACTGGAGCATTCATGGAGAGCTGGAGTGAGGCGGAGGGACATTATATCTGATTTTCAACTCAAGTAGAAATCCGTCTAGGGTCAAAATGTATGAGTCACATAGGCCAGAAGAAGTGGTTGCAGAGGCAACAACTGCACTAGGAACTTTGACTATAAAATGCCTTAAAGATTGACCAGTACAAGAAGAGTAGAAAAGAAAATCAGAGTGTGAGGCCAGGTGCGGTGACTCACGCCTATAATCTCAGCACTTTGGGAGGCTGAGGCGGGCTGATCACTTGAGGTCAGGAGTTCGAGACCAGCCTGGCCAACATGGTGAAACCCCGTCTCTACTAAAAAATACAAAAATTAGCTGGGCGTAGTGGTGCGTGCCTGTAGTCCCAGCTACTCAGGAGGCTGAGGCAGGAGAATCACTGGAACCTGGGAGGCAGAGGTTACAGTGAGCCGAGATCTCACCACTGCACTCCAGCCTGGGTGACAGAGTGAGACTCTGTCTCA
The DNA here is from genome assembly GCF_000001405.40 of Homo sapiens. Taxonomy (NCBI): domain Eukaryota; kingdom Metazoa; phylum Chordata; class Mammalia; order Primates; family Hominidae; genus Homo; species Homo sapiens. Next base: position 47,267,115 of record NC_000006.12, on the reverse strand, counting down.
AAAACAAAAACAAAAAAAAAAAAGAAAAAAGAAAATCAGACTGTGGCATGGGTAGTCTGACTCTAACAATATTAGAGGCTGGAAGGAAGGAAATTTACTCACACAGGTCTGCTCTTGTAGGGTGGGGAGCACCTGCTAAGTTGATAGGGTGAAGCCTTGGGAGGTGAAAGAAGGGAATATTCTGTGTACAAGTGAAAAAGCAAACCTGCTTATTGGGAGATGTGTGGAGTGAGGCAACTTTGGCTCGGGAGGGAAGCTGTGCAGAGGGAAGGACCCTGTGGGCCTGATTTTACTCCCCGTAATGATAAAGGTCTTGGATTCAAATATTTATAATGTCTCTTTTCATCTTAAAATCCTTTCCTTCGGAGATGCAAAAACTGAAACTTGCAGTTGAAAACAACCTACAACCAACCCCTTCTGTATTTTAGGATTGAAATTCAAATACTAAGTTAAAGTACAGACCAGCTGGCTTGGTGGTCGAACCTCTTATTAGCATAACTTTGATGTCCCAGTTTGAATGTAAAGACTGTTCTTTGGGGAAATAACGCTGCTTAACAAACAAGACATAATTTGCTTAGCATATTTATTTATATATTGAACTAAGTTATATTTTAGGACTTGAGTTTCTGGTGATAACATTTTTTATTTCTTCCATTCTATCCCTTATCCACAATGTACTACTCAAGCAAAGCAAATCATAACATCATCCTTCTTTCCCTAGCAAGCCAGCAAAAATGGTTTTACTCAACAACAGCCCAGTTCAGAGTTCTAAGTTCTTATGAATCCCAACAACAGGCTTAGAAAAAAAATGTTTCCTTCCTTCCCCAAGTGTGATTCCTCTTTTAGGATTGGTCAAATGTGGGAGAATTTGTCTTTATTGGGGGTCGTGAACAAAACCCATCTCCCAGACTCTCAACCCTGCAGACTTCTCCCTCTTTCTAGGGTAAGCAGTAAGGGCCAGTCCAATAGTGGGAGTCGATTTGCAATGCAGTGCAATCATAGGAGTGGAATTGCATGTTTCTTATACAAAGATTTCCTAGAGGTTTCAGTGGTCAGGTGACAGAAGTTGATCAACTGGAAGCTATGCTGTGGATATATTTGAACAATATTAATAAACTCTTCAATCAGGTATCAGGAATACCTTAAGAAAACTTTCATCTGAATTATTAAAACCACCATATGCAGTGTTTGGAAATGAACAAATCAAGTGTGTTAGGAGTGATATGTTACATTAGCACTTTGACACTTTGGTTTTGCTTAAAATGAATTTATGGGGTGTTTGCTACTACCGGCATAGGCAAGATCAGGAGGTGATTTGGGATGCAAAGATGACATAAAATGTGATTACTACAGTATACATTTTTAACCTTTATAGGAAAGGCTTCTTCTGCTACATTGTTTTCACATTCTACTTTTCCTTAACAAAGATTGATATGCTTCCTGAGTGCCATGTCCTGTTCTAAGTTTTTATAAGTATCAACTTCATTTTCATAACCCTATACAGAAGGCCACTATTATCCCTATTTTAGAGATGGGGAAACTGAGGTTTGAAGAGTAACTTCCCCAAGTTCACATAGCTAGGAAGTAGCAGTGCCAGGTTTTAAAGTCAGGCACTGATCTGATGCTAGACACTGTCCCTTAATGATCAGAATCTGGATTTTCCTATAAATTACTCGGTGCTAGAAAGGTCTAACCTTTTGTGGTTGATTTAAAAAAAACAAAACAAAACAAAACAAAACAAAAAAACTGTGCTCAGTCAAGAAAAAAATTATTACCTTAGCAAAGCCCAGCTTGTTCTGGAATAAAACGCCTACAAAATTGTCATCAACAGTAAATTTTCCTCTGTAGAAATCACTCAGATATCCTACTTGTTCATAAATTGCTTGAAATAGAAAAATTCTAAAGCCAGACACCCAATGGCTGAAGGCTCTACAAGGCTGTTTTAAGAAATAGAGGCTGTTTCAAGTAAGTCAGAGGTGATGGAGTCCTTCTAATCTGAACTCCCTTCTGTTTAACTTGGTGTTTTTCTCATCACCAGACAGCAGTGGCAACAGCAGCAGCAGTTGCTGCAACCAAAGCTTTCCCTCCTTTGCCAGATAGACTTTTTGACTTAAAATTCCAGACAGTCATCCTGTCTGTCAGCCCAGATTTCCTATGGGAAGTAGACTTGAAGTGTAAACACCAGGAAGCCAGGCTGAAGGGAGCAGGTTATTCCCTTTAAGAGGCTGCTGTGTCCTAGTGTTCCAGCTATGGGCTGACAGCCGCAGTCATTTTCCAGCAGCGGGGTTGGACTGTTCTCACCCCCGCCCCCATCCCACTGCCTTTTCCACCTCTGAGTCCAGGAATGCCATTTCCACTAGACAACACCTTTCTCTTTAACCTCTTAGGGTGTTTGAGGATTATAAAGCACCCAAAACTGTTGGCAGGAGAAAAGCCTCTTATGCTTGTAGCCTAAAAAGCATTATCTCATGCACAAGGTGGCCAGAGGCATGGCCTTCGACCTTGGGAGTCAGAGACTGTGATTCTCCTCAGACCCACCCTCTAGTGACTGTTCTCTAGCCTTTAGGGTGAAGCTATTAATTAATTAATTTATTATTTTTTGAGATGGAGTCTTGCTCTGTCGCCCAGGCTGGAGTGCAGTGGCGCGATCTCAGCTCACTGCAACCTCTGCCTCCCAGGTTCAAGCGATTCTCTTGCCTCAGCTTCTTGAGTAGCTGGGACCACCATGCCTGGCTAATTTTTGTATTTTTAGTAGAGACAGGGTTTCGCCATGTCGGCCAAGCTGGTCTCAAACTCCTGACCTCAAATGATCCGCCTGCCTTGGCCTCCCAAAGTGCTGGGATTACAGGTGTGAGCCACCGCACCCGGCCTAAGGTATTTATTTTTAAAATGTATATTTCACTCCATGTTTTAACTAACAGCTTTTAAATTTAAGCTGTTTGGGATATTGAAAAGCAAATCAGCATTTCTCCCACATAGGACTCAAATACAAATAGGAAAAAAAAATCTAAAAATGTATGTCCTTGAGTCAACCTGGTCAGGTATTATGTAAGCAGATTTTGCAGAAGAAGAGGAATTTCTGGAATTCTGCTGATGTTCTTCATGAGTAACTGGTGGCTAACATGGCAATGTATGTATAGAATTGGACATATTAGGCTTATTGATGTTGTGTCAAATTTTAACAAATAGGTAAATTCAAATTTATAAGTATAAAAAACCTCTTAACTATATTTCACCAAATCTGACACACAATTAATTGTGAGACATACCACTCTTTTATATACCACTAAGTAGAGAAAGGAAATAATGCAACCAAACTATGAAAAGACATTGATTAAAATATACATTCAGGTGTCTTAGAATTAGTAAATATGGTGATCTTTCAGCTGCAGTCTCACCTTTTTTCCATAGAGTGTGACAACATGATTCTAATGCCACTGTTCAGTTCTCAGTTTTCCTCTGCTTGGCCTATTGGCAGCAATCGACACTGTTGCCTCCCTTTTCCTTGAAACACTTTCTTCCCTTTGCCTCCAAAATACCACATTGTCCTGGTTTTCCTCCTCCATCTTGGGCTGTTTCTTCTCTGTTTCCATGGCGGGTTCCTCCTCATTTTCCTGACCTCTAAACAGTGGAGAGCTCCAGGATTCAGTGCTTGCACCTCTTTTCAATGTACACACTCTCTCTCCCTTGGTGACCCACGACTTTAAATACCATCTATCTGCTGGTAATTCCCAAGTGCATATTCCAGCCTGGACCTTTTACCTGCACTCACGATAGAAATATGCTCCTGCCTGCTTGGCAGACCCAGATGTTTAACAGGCACCTCATGCTTAAGATGTCTAACACCAAATTACAAACCATACCTCCACATCAATTGCCCATCACAGAAAGTGGTCCCCTGTCTTCCACTTGCTCAGGATGAAACCTTAGCATCCTTGATTCCTTTATTACATTCTCACCCCTTATTTGGCTCATTAGTAAATCCTGTCTGTCAGCTCTACCTTCAAAATACATGGAGAAGTCCACCACCTCCCATCACCTCCATGGCCACCACTTTGGCCCAGACCCCTATCACCTCCTTGCTGGATTACTGCTGTGGCCTCTAACTGGTTGCTCCATTTTTATCTGTGCTCCCTTCAGTTTATTCTTGGCACAACAGCTGGAATGATACTGTTTAAATGTAAAGTCAGATTGTGTCATTTCTCTCCCCAAGGTCTCCCGTGACTTTTTATTGAATGCATAGTAGCAGCTTAAAGGCCGGATGTGATCTGCACTCTCCTGACTCCAATTTTTTCTCTCTCTGCGACTCCTCTTGGTCCCTCTCCCTGGCCCACTTGCTCCAGCCATGCCAGCCTTCCTGCTCCTCCTTGTCCATGCCAATACCCTTCCTGCCATTGCACCTGCTGCTCCCTTTGCCCAGAACCCTCTTTCCACAGATAATCTGCACAGCTTTCTCCATTAGGGGCTTGATGCTACCTCTGTGAGGCTTCTCTTAGATGTGGCAGCCTCATCACCTCCTACCCTATCCTCTTTACCTGCTTTATTTTTCTCCTTAGCTCTCCTCCCTATCTAACACAGTTTATGTTTTATTACTTCCCCCCAATGGAATGTAACCTTCACAAAGAAAGGGATTTTGTTTCACTTGGCATTTGTTCACTGCCATATCTCCTGTACCTAGAAAAGTGTCTGGCACAAAGTAGACGCTCAGTAAATTTTTGTTGAATGAATAAGTTAACAGCTTCAGACATTTGAGATAGCTTCAAAAACAGACTAAGATAAGCAGGAAGGAGGGATGTTTTTGTTTTGTTTTTTGCCCAGTGGAATGAAATAAAAGATTATCCATTTTCCTCACAGTATCAGTGATATTTCTTCCATTTGGAAAATTGTCTACTGTTTTGATAGTTTATCGTTGGAAAACATGTTGTCCATTTACTTCAAGAGATCTTTGCACGGTGTTTTTTGTTTTTTTTCTTTCTCTTTCTTAGTAGTCCCCAAGGTTCATCTGAGCTTACGGTTATTGTCTATTAAACCTTCAACTAGATAGTGATAAATTCTGCTTCAGAAATAATTTTTTGCAGCTAAAGTAAAATCTAAACAGATCTTCTAACTTTTACACCTCAGTTAGGGAAGGACTATTTTTAACCTGGGGCATACAAAGTTCCTAGCACTAATAAAGCAGTTTCCTGTGTAGTGGATGCACTGGAAGTTACTGCTGTTGGTATACAAATTTTTAACCATGCTATCGTATACTGGTTACTATGAAACACAGGTACATGTGGGTATGTTGCTTTTAGGAGCACTTACTCTGTTATTAGGCTGGAGAGACCACAGCTTGGACAGCTGATCCCAGCAGAAGGATTTTGCTGCAGTGGGAGAATCTGGGAGAACTTTCCTGCTTATGAGCTCTGGCCACTAAAGTGGACGTAGTGGATCACTCTAAATGGGAAGAGGGCACTGGCAGAGGGAGAGGCCCTTGTACAAGAACAGGGTCCCTGGGAGCCCAGGTTTCACCCAGTGGTGAGCATAGGACACCATAGAACTGTTGTCCTTTCTTCTCATTATTATAGAGGCTAGAGATCTGGCAGGGCCACAAGGCTAGGGTGTGTGTGGGCCTGGGGCCACTCAGGTTCTCAGTGGCTTAGGTTACAGAAGCTAATGAGATGACGAATGGTGAGGAGGGTCAGTCAAGAGGGCAGGGATGACAAAAAAAGACTCTCATTCATTTATCCAAAGATATTTGTGGTATTCCTCTGACAGGTGCTGGGGATGCTGCTAGTCAAAGCAGTGTGGTCTTGGGCTTGGCCTCAAAGGCATCTTGGAGGACAAGACCATTGTATGTGGAACATCAATTCCAGTAATGCTAAAGCCAGGCTTTTATTCCAATTTCTGACTTTGACATATGTTGCTTTGTATAGTTGCTGTATGTGCTGTGGCCATCTCTGTCCCTGTATCTGCAGCTTGTAAGGTTATGGACACAGTGCGTGCCTGTTAGGAGCATGTCTTTTAGGGAGGTTTGGGGGGGTGTTAGAAGGGAGGCTGTCTTGAGTTCATGTCTCCCGTCTTCCATGTGTACATCTCAGGAGACTGCTGTGTGTTGAGAAACTGGCACAGGGATAACTGTGGAGTTGTCTGTCCTGGGAGGAGGTTGTGTATTAATTGCCTCCCTGGGAATTTTCTCATTATTTGTCCCTTTACACTCTCTTTCTAGAAGAATAATGAGAACTGACATTACATGTAACAAGATGTGTTGGGGGTGATTGAATCTTTTTATATGATGAGTTTGATACCATCAAAAAGTTTATAAACCTGTCTCTTAGATGCACCCATTCTGCACGAAGCCTGATTGTGCAGCATGAAACTGAGTGCTATGTTGTATAGTTCCAGGCAGCCTTTGCTTCCTCCAGCTTTGTCTTCACTGTCCTTTATACCTCATCCAAGGAGGGCTTTGATATGGGTTCTCATTGATGACATTCATTCCAGATATTTATCTCCAAAAGGAAAACAGCCTTCACATTTTCTCTAATTATAAAGGTCAATTTGGGTTTTTATTAAAAGAGAAGGAACCCATTTTTGCATCCTGAAGCTGATATTCAGCTTTTAAAAAATGAGCTTCAAATTAGGATTGTCCCCCAGATAATATGTAATTCAAGGTTTTATGATGCACTGGAAATTGCCATTTCTTCCATAATAACCCAGTTTATCAGCTCATACCTCAGTTCTTGAGCTCTCCTGCTGGGGATCAAGTCAGTACCAGCTCACTTGGAAGAACCCATTGAGTACTGCTGTGATGCCCTGCATGTGGCAGAGGCGGTAGCAGCAGCATTTTTCCTTCCACATAAACCCTCCTGTGGATGACTTCAGCCATCTCCTAACATGTACGTGTGAGGTTCCAAGAAACACAGGAAGCCGGGAGTCTGGTGCTTGGCTTCATTGTTCAGCACCAATAATCCCAGTGCTAAAACCTGTGTTTGTACAGAACTCTTCCCATCTTTTAGGTTCATTGGCCCAATGACACTTGTCCAAGCAGAAATGGAGGGGCAGGGGAAGCAGAGCCGAATTGTACTGATATGCCACCCTAGGAGTCTTTAATACTTGATCGCATAAATCTCCTTAACCACTCTACCAGATAAGAGGGGGTGTTTCTATTTTACTTAAGTGAAAAGTGAAATCTGAGAGGTTGCCACTTGCTCAGGGTCATGCAACTAACAAGTCACAAATCTGGAGTTTGAAACCATATCTTGTGACTACTACCAATGATCTTCCCACTACCTGATCCTTCCCATCCTCATGCTTTTCTCCAGGGGCCAGGGCCACCTTCTCAGATAGTTCCTAACTAGTACAGCCTCGGATGTATAGGGCTTGACTCCTTTGATGACCTCCTCAGAAACTTCATCCATTCTCCAGAGCTCCAGGATCTGGCACCACGGGAAAAGGCAATGTTGGCAGGGCACAGTGGCTCACACCCGTAATCCCAGCATTTTGGGAAGCCTAGGAAGGTGGATCACTTGAGGCCAGGAGTTCAAGACCAGTCTGGCCAACATGATGAAACCCCTTCTCTACTAAAAATACAAAAATTAGCTGGGCCTGGTGGTGCACACATGTAGTTCTAGCTACTCGGGAGCCTGAGGCCGGAGAATCTCTTGAACCCAGGAGGTGGAGGTTGCAGTGAGCCAAGATTGCACCACTGCACTCCAGTCCAGCCTGGGTGACTGAGTGAGACTCCGTCTCAAAAAAAAAAAAAGGCAATGTGATGTTCTGTGCCCCTGTCTATCAGCCCTTCAGTGGGTTGAGGGTTGTGTTACTTTTCAATGTAAGGAAAAAGACACTTGGCATCACATCCAGTTAAACAATTTAGATCAATTCAACACATAGCTACTGTCACCAATCTTGACAAAAACCCTGGGAACTCCGATGGGGCAGATGACTGGGCATCCTGCCAAGCAGAGAGGTGGTCTCCATGTCACTTACTGTCATTTCACATTGAGGTTAATAATTGGGGTGGGAACTTTCATTGTCTTCTGAGTGTGGTTTCTTTTCTTTTAATGAAATGCTTTTCTAAATCTTTATGCTATTTGACAGTCCTACCCAAGGTCTCTTTAAATTGCTGTAATTGCAGGGGCTGGTGAACTACAGCCCGTGGGCCATATCCAGCCTACTTTTTTTGTAAGTCGAGTTTTATTAGAACACAGCCACATTCATTTGTGGTGTTGGTGGCTGCTTTCATGCTCCAACAGAGCTGAGGAGTCATGACAGAGACTGTATGGTTTTCAAAGCCTCAAATATTTACTGCTGTCCTTACAGGAAAAGTTTGCTGACTTCTTTCATTCTCTCTCTTTTTCTCTTTCTTTTAGGGTATCATAGATTTAAAGAAAGGAAATAAAGGATGCAGTGGCTCACTCCTATAGTCCCAGCACTTTGGGAAGCTGAGGTGGGCAGATCACTTGAGGTCAGGAGTTTGAGATCAGCCTGGCCAACATGGCAAAACCCCGTCTCTACTAAAAATACAAAAATTAGCCGGGCATGGTGAACACCTGTAGTCCCAGGTACTAGGGAGGCTGAGTTGGGAGAATCTCTTGAACCTAGGAGGCAGAGGCTGCAGTGAGCTGAGATCACAAGAAAAGAAATAAAGTCCCTGGGGAAACTGTTCCAGTGTCTATTAGGTGGTGCAAAAGTTACTGTGGTCTTTGCCATTTTGGTGACCAAAAAAAAAAAAAAAACCACAATTACTTTTATTTTTTTCTTTTTTTTGAGACAGTTTTACTCTGTTGCTTAGGCTGGGGTGCGGTGGTACAATCCTGGCTCACTGCAACCTCTGTCTCTCAGGTTCAAGTGATTCTCCTGCCTCAGCCTCCTGAGTAGCTGGGATTACAGGTGTGCACCACCACGCCTCGCTAATTTTTTGTATTTTTAGTAGAGACAGGGTTTCGCTATGTTGGCCAGGCTGGTTATGAACTCCTGGGTCAAGGGATCCACTCACCTCAGCCTCCCAAAGAATTACAGGCATAAGCCACCCGTCCAGCCCATGATTACTTTTGCACCAACATATGCTTGGTCAGTAATAACAGACCAGGAGGCAGCACACACACTGTGGCCAGCCTTGAGTGCGTTCATCCTAGGCTGGATGGCCATGCCTGAGGAGAATAATTCCAGCAAATAATAATGTTCCTCCACTGCATCACATTCCCTATTAACCACAATTGAGGCATCACTAACTGGGTGGGTGACCTTGCACTAGTCACCAACCCCAACATGCGATTTCCTTGCCAACAAAATTGAACACTTAACCATGTGTATTTATGAAGTATTTATAAACACATCTTATATATGTGTATGTTATATAGATAGTTTAAAAAGGAATAGTAAAATAAATCTCAAATAAAAGTAATAACATGAAAAGAAAACCCATTTCTCCACTGTCCAGCCTAGGAAACAGAACTTTATGAATACCTTTGAAATCCCTTCTGTGCTCCTTCCCCCTCCCCAAAGAGGTAACTATCTCAATTTGGCAAATCGTCCTCCTGCTTTTCTCTGTAGTTGATTGTTTTCTTTTGACTAACACTTTTTCCTACACAAGGAAGGCATTCAAAGCCCCAGTCTGGTCTCCTCACTGGGGTTTTGTGATAATGTGCTAGACTAAAAGGTTGGTATCCCCTGAGGGAGTCATTGATTTATCTTTGATTTATCAACTCCACGGTGGGAGAGGACAGCAGTGAAGAACATTGGCGACCCCAGCCAGTTCATGGAGTTGACTCCATGTTTTCATAGTAGAGAATCTAGCTGAGAGAGAGAACAAGATGAAACCTGATTTGTAGGCCTTAAATTTAGCTTCCAGTCCATTTTAGTTTAGGGAAATTTCATTGTATCTATTCTTTGTGGGTTTTTTTTTCTTTTTTTCTTTATTTTGTGGCTTAAAAAAAGGATAAATACAGTACTGGGTTTTGGAAGGAGGGGTTGTTAAACTTAAACCTTTTAAACTCTGTAATTACTTCGTAAAGGCCGTGTATTTGCATCTGAAATGCATTGAGCCTTAAGTTTAGTCCTCTGTGTATGGAGCTTTCATAATGATGGGAACACTTCCAAAAATAAAGTAACTCTATAGAAAATGTTAATCAGCTTATCCGCAGTGACCCTAGTGAGTTTCTCCATTGTACACATGAGGAAATGGACATGACAGTTAGAGGTTTGCCCAAAGCCACTGTCATCGGCATTATGAAGATTTAAGCAATGGTCCTACTTACCAGAAAACATGGTCATGTTTTCATGTAAGACACTGTGGACCTTAGTCAAATTGATCTAAATTAAGATTCAGGGACTAACAAGACTTTTGGTGTTTGGAAGAGTCTACCACATCAATCACAAAGAGCTGGCTTATTCCTTAAAGTTACCTGCAGGGTTTAAAATCAGTTATGGGTTTTCTGAGGAGTCTATTTGCTTGAAATCAAAAGCTCTGTATCTGACTAAACATTGCTCGGAAAACTGAAAAGGACTTGGTTCAAGTAACTTCACACTGCCAGGGAAAACTGTGTGAGAAGTACAGTAATGACTCAATTTGTGGCATCCTTTTTAAATTTTTTGTGGCATTCTACTTTTTTTGAGATAGAGTCTCCCTCTCTCACCCAGGCTGGAGTGCAGTTGTGTAATCTTGGCTCACTGCAACCTCCCCTCTGGGGCTCAAGCAATCCTCCCACCTCAGTCTCCCAAGTAGCTGGGAATATAGGCCTATGCCACCACACCCAGCTAATTTTTGTATTTTTTGTAGAAATGGGTTTTCACCATGTTGCCCAGGCTGGTCTCAAACTCCTGGACTCAAGCGATCCACCTGCCTCAACCTCCCAAAGTGCTGCATTACAGGTGTGAGCCACCCTGCCCATCCATTCTACTTTTATAGTTGACAGGAAAACAGCCTTCTACTAGGAACTGATTTTTGAAAACCATTTTCAGTGGATTGGTGCAGAATGTGTATACAGTCTTCCACATCATCTGCCTCAATAGGATTGCCTGGCAAAGTAAGAATGCGTGTTGAGGAGCCACAGCGTCCTTCGTTTTTACAGAAACTTTTATAATTATTATTGTTTTTATTAGCAATAATTGATAGCTCATTTTATAAATATTTTCCTGAACAACTGATGGGTGCAAAAAATATTTTTATTTTTTTTCTAGGAAACCTTTGATTGAGAAATCAGAACAGTAAACCCCTCTTTATTCTTCTCTTTTCCTTTCTCTCCTAAGCCTCACTTGGGAATGTGACCCTATTTTTTTTTATTGAGTAGTAAATATTTTTTAAGATATTGTTAACTATAACAGCTATGTTATCAGGGCAGGTGAGCGTGACCTCATTCAAAGACATGATATTGGCCAGGCATGGTGGCTCACGCCTGTAATCCCAGCACTTTGGGAGGCCAAGGCAGGCAGATCACCTGAGGTCAGGAGTTTGAGACCAGCCTGGCCAACACTGATGAAACCTCATCTCTACTAAAAATACAAAAATTAGCTGGGTGTGGTGGTGGGTGTCTGTAATCCCAGCTACTTGGGAGGGTGAGGCAGGAGAATCCCTTGAACTCGAGAGGTTAAGGTTGCAGTGAGCCGAGATGGCACCATTGCACTCCAGCCTAGCTGACAAGAGCAAAACTTCATCTCAAAAAAACAAAAAAAAAAACCAAAGACATGACATTGATTCAGAGGACTCACTCACCCGTTGTAGTAAAATACCAGGGCCCTTACTATAAGGGTGATATATGCATCCCACATGTAAATCCTGGCAAAGCCAATGTGTAATTGCAGAGAGAAGACGCCATAAACAGAGAGACACCAAAGTGAGCTACTCAGGGAGAGCCTCCCCTCACGAACGGTTGGTGCCAGGTGCTTATCCTGAGTTTTTGGATCTTGAGATTTGATTTTTGCATTTCACCAATTTCATCATCACCATTTCATCTGTTCATCAGATCTGGGGACCACAGATGCACACTCACTGGGTTTTCAAGTGACTGCTGAGCCAGGATGATAATATATTGAATCATTGGGGACAGCTGTCTGTCAGACTAACCAGCCATAGTCATTATAAGCCAAGGCATTTCCTTCATCTTGGAAGGTACCATCGATACTGTCACATTTCATAGTGGTTACACATACAGGATTTGAATTACAAAACTGGTGAGTTGGGTTCAATAACCAACTCACCTACCTTTGTGATACTGGGCCAGTAGCCTAACTTTTCTAAGTGTATTTTTTTTCTTACCTGTGTAATTGGAATATTAATGCCTTATAAAGATGTTCAGTGAGCTAATGCCTTAACATAATACCTGGAAGATAATAGCTATTGTTATTATACAGTCATTTTGGCTGCTGTCTTCATTATAACTATGCAAGCCAAGTTGGAAGACTGAATAATGAATTAGAAAATTGCTTGTTGAACATGAATTTGAGCACAACTTAGGTGTTCTTCAGGAATGCTTCTATTGGCCTGGAACAGCTGGGCACACTGTTAGTTGATATAAAGGACACCATTCCCAGAATTTGAAAACCTTTTACCTAGACAGTTCTGGGTAAAGTCCATTACAGTTTTAATTTGCAGCTTCCCTTTTTCTAAATGTCATGAAGTCACCATGTTTTTAGATGGGAGCCTCTAACTTACTTGGTTACTATTGTATTTAGTACAGTAGTCCTCCCTTATCCACAGTTTAGCTTTCCAAGGTTTCAGTTGCCTGTGGTCCACTGTGGTCCGAAAATACTAAATGGGAAATTCCAGAAATAAACAATTCATAAGTTTTAGATTATGCACTATTCTGAGTAATGCGATCAAATCTCACATTCCCGTACCATCCTGCTCTGTCCTGCTGGGGAAGGGAATCATCCCTTTGTCCACCATATCCATGCTGGAGACCTCACCTGCCTGTGAGTCACTTAGTAGCCGTCTAGGTTATCAGATTGACTGTCTCAGTACTGGTACCACAGTGCCTGTGTTCAAGTCACCCTTATTTTACTTAATATTGGCCCAAAGCTCGAGAGGAGTGATGCTGATAATTTGGATATGCCAGCGGCCATAAAGTGCTTCCTTTAAGTGAAAACATGAAAGTTCCCCACTTAATAAGAAAAGTCAATTGTATGCTGAGGTTGCTAAGATCTACAAGAAGAAGGAATCTTCTATCCATACATTGTGAAGAAGGAAAAAGAAATTCATGCGTAGTATGTATAGGGCTCTGTACCATCCATGGCTTCAAGGCATCCACTGGGGATCTTGGAACTTATCCACCCCTCTCCTTCAACAAGGGTGTATTACTATAGTAACAGAGGAATCACCGTGAATACCTTATTTGGGTTTGGCTTTCGAAACATCTTTTTGGGTCTGATTTATTATAATTCCATGATCATTCCTTCTTCTGGTTCCACACTCAGGAAGTGAAATTTGTATGAGGGTACCAGCTAGTCCACAAGATGAGCTGCTTGTGCCAAGTGCTTAAGGGAGGCAATGCATTCCTTTGACATACAGCGATAGGAAAGCGTGCCTCTTCTAGTTCATTCATTAAAGCAGAGCTGCCTTATGTAAGAAGCTTCCCTTACAAGCCCTCATTTGTTTTTTATTTTTTCTCTGGTGTAGGTATCGATATCCTGAAGCTTGTAGCAGCCCAAGTGGGAAGCCAGTGGAAAGATATCTATCAGTTTCTTTGCAATGCCAGTGAGAGGGAGGTTGCTGCTTTCTCCAATGGGTACACAGCCGACCACGAGCGGGCCTACGCAGCTCTGCAGCACTGGACCATCCGGGGCCCCGAGGCCAGCCTCGCCCAGCTAATTAGCGCCCTGCGCCAGCACCGGAGAAACGATGTTGTGGAGAAGATTCGTGGGCTGATGGAAGACACCACCCAGGTAATGGAGCCCTTGTTGTGTGTCATTACCACCGACCTATTGCCCCTATGCTTCAAATTTTATCAGTTGTATGGGAACAAAGAAAAATAACATATTCGGTGGATAGGCACACACACACACACACGCATACGCCTGCACACACACACACACACCCTACCTTCTAGGACGGGGGTTCTCAGTGGCCGTCTATTAGAATCATCTAGAAAACTTTAAAAAAAAATACTGATGCTCAGACCCTACCTGCAGACCAGTCACATCAGAATCTCCAGGGGGCAGAGCGTGAATCGGTATTTGTAAAAGCTCTCTTTGTTACTCCATTTACAATCCATTTTGCATGACACACTTTGAACAAAACCAAGAAAAAATACTTTTTACTACACCGCCTCTCCTCCAGAGGGTGTTTTTGTGATGTGGCTTATGAAGGCAGCATTCTTGCCTCCTGAGGATGCAGGTGGTGCTAGCGGCAGTTGATGACAGAACTGATTCTCCTCCTTGGGTTGTTCCGTGGAGCACATCAGATGGGAACTGAGGGGACCCAGGAGTGTGATTTCTTTATAGCTAATAAGCCCTGGCTTTGGAGCCAGACAGCGCTGGATTTGAATCCTGGCTCTGGTACATATTAGCTTAGGTGATGAAGGGTAAGTTACTTCAACTTTCCTTGCCTCTGTTATTCACATTTTCAAGTCTGCTATATAAGATTAAGATGAGAAATAAAGCATATAAAATGCCTGACTCATTGAAAGTGTTCTACAAGTGGTAGTTACGACCATGATGTAACTCATTTTACTTAGCCTTTCTTTAATTGTATGTACTTCCCTGAAAGGCCATGAATAAAGTTCAGATTTGGATATTGAATCATATTTTCCACAGACTTCAATTCAGGTTTCAGAACATATTCCCAAAGTAAAGAAAATGCTGCCACTAAGACTAGATAAAACCCACTTAAGATTTAAAGGGCCGGTCTGTGTTATTATTCCAGTGGTCCAAATTTGTTACCTAAAAGAGCTAGGTAGAGATTTTTTATGACATCAATTCAGTTTACTATCATTCTATATCACATTTTGTGTATCAAAGTATTTCATTTTGCATACTTTATACTTACGTTTAAGTATACTTTATGTACTTAAGAAGTCCAAATGCTTTTATCTTTTTATACTGATAGCGCAGTAATTCTTGACAATTGATGTAATCATTTATCAGGTGAATCTTTTATCCAAGTAACTGGATAATAACAATTTATAGGTGCTAATTGACTTTGAAGGTGGTCTTTTAAAGCTCTGGCATATTTTTAACTTCTTTGAAGTGTGGAATTTCAGAAAAAAATACTTATTAATAGACCCAAGTGATAAACATTCAGAGGCATACACCAGTGTCTTATGACTTTCTAAGAAATAATTTAGGTGTGAAATATTATTCACAAGTAAAACTAGGCTTTAAGTAGCTGGATTTGGGGGAAAGTGAGGGAGATGTTAACCCTCCAATTAAGTAAAATGGCGGCAGTTTGAATACAGGGAGTTTAGAGGCAAAGCATTGCCACGCATTCTTAGAGACTGGCTTTAAGGAGAGAGCTGGAAGACAAGCCTAAGGCTCAAAGAAGGATTTAGATACGTGAGAATAAGTCGCCTAATGTCCTTGATGATGCCTAAAAGAAAGATAACATATGACTGATGCAAGGTTAGGATTTGGTTAACCCAAACCTGTGGTGGGCCCATGGAAAAATAAGAAGGTGAGAGTGCATGTCAAAAAGAGTGATTCATAATAAAATCATTAGGTCAACGAATGAGAGAACAAAGCAGCTTCTTCCTAAGTGCCAAACTCTTGTACACCTTAATTATTTCCTTCCCCTTATCTCTTCTATAATACCAAAAGATTCTAATAGTAGCTATTTTTTGTTGTTTATTTTTTGAGAACAGTAATGTCAAAGCACTCTACAACTTTCTCGTTGGTTCTGCTATAGCCTTTGAGTTATGATGGAGGCTGAGAAGGCAATATTAAATTTTTGATTTCACATTTCAACAATATACATCAATGTCTAGCAGCGTTTTGGATCCAGCTCTAACTCTAATTTTAATAGCCAATGAACATGGATTTTTGGCTGCCAGTTCTTATTACAGGTT
Source organism: Homo sapiens (assembly GCF_000001405.40). Taxonomy (NCBI): domain Eukaryota; kingdom Metazoa; phylum Chordata; class Mammalia; order Primates; family Hominidae; genus Homo; species Homo sapiens. The sequence continues at coordinate 47,251,138 of NC_000006.12, read as the reverse complement.
GAGTATCCTTTATCTGATATGCTTGGGACTGGAAGTGTTTTAGATTTTGGATTTTTTCAGACTTTGGAATATTTGCATATACATAATAAGATAGTTTGGGGATAGGTCCCAAATCTAAACATGAAATTCATTTATGTTTCACATATACCTTACATACATAGCCTGAAGGTAATTTTATACAAAATTAGAAAAAGTGTATGCATGAAGCAAAGTTTGTGTTAAGTACTCATGTGTGGAATTTTCCACTTGTGGCATTATGTTGGTGCTCAAAAAGTTTTGGATTTTGAATTTTTGGATTAGGGATGCTCAAGTGGTAATTGCACAGTATGTTACTCTCTGTCCATTGTTTATTTCTGAAATTTGTCCCATCTAACAAGTGAATCAGAAGGCAGGGGGCTTAATTGAGACTCCTTATTCTCATCCTGTGATGGGCTTGTACTCCCTGTGTATGGTGGTACTGCTGGGGATTTGGGGCTTTGCCCCAGGAGTTATTGGACTCTTAATGGGTAAAAATGACTATTTTTTTTCAATGGTCAATGTTTTTTCTCTTCATAAGCCTGAAAGTGCCTATGTTATGTTCCACTAAAAGGATTAGCCCTGGTGTGGCTTTTTGTTGCCTCTGTCAAGAACAGCCGGTTCATTATTAACCATGGTGGCCTATTAGCCATTTTTAAATTAAACCCATTCAGAGTCTGACTCTTTCTTTATCTGAGGTATGAGCTGTATTTTTCAGCACTCTCTTCTTTCAAGTTCAATATCTAAACTGAACCCAGCCTTCCAGAATCATAGCTATTCTTCCCTTCTGGGACATGAGCATTTGGAATAAGCAGCAAAACAGTGGGATAATAGTTGTAAGTTATTGCAATTTTACCAAAGCTATTAAAAAACAAAACACTGCCCTAATACAGCATTCCAGTTTGTATGTTATCTCTTTTCCCATCCTTTTACTTTGATTTTTTTCTCTGTCTTTATTTAAAAAATGTCTCTTATAAGAAGCATATATTTCAGATTTTTTTCTTAAATCTAGTCTGATAGCTTTTGATAATTAGAGAATTTCAGTGTGTTTACATTTTTATGTAATTATATAATTGCTTTTTAAATGTAATTTTTAAAATGTAATTACTCAAATATTTGGGTTTAAATCTACCACATCTTTGTTTTCAATTTGTCCTCTCGTCTTTTTTTATTTTTTTCTCTCTCCATCTTTTCTTGCTTTCTCTTGGAATAATCAAGTATTTTTTTCTTATTCCATTTTTCCTCATCTGTTAGCTTGTTAATTTCACATTTTTTACTTCACTTTTAAGGGATACCCAAGGGATTACAACACACATGCTTAATTATGAGATATAGGCAATAAATGTGTACTTTTTACCATTTTACAGATACTACAACCTTAGAAGACTTTAATCCTATTTATCCTCCTCTTATACTTCGCTTTTGTTTTCATGAATTTTAATGTTACACTTTTAATACTGCTAAAAGGCAGAGTTATTACAGTTTTACACAGTCAGGAGTCACACAGATTTATCTGCATATTGATCTTTTCCATTCTTAACATTCTTAATACCTTCCTCCTGGAGCTTCAACTTCTACCTGAGAAAATTTTTCTTTTGCCTAAAGAATACTTCTATGTGTAGGTTTCCAGCAGTAAACTCTGTTTTTCTTGGTCTGAAAAGTGCCTATTTATAAATAAATAAATTGCATTATTTCACCTTAGTTTTTGAAGGATAGCTGGAAATAAAATTCTAGCTTGCCAGTTATTTTCCTTTAGTCCTTTAATGCCTGGATTTAAGTTTCCCCTGCTAACCAGCAAACGAGAGGATGTGATTTTATTTTTAAATCTATATGACATAACACATTTTGTGCACAGTATTATAACAGGCACTTTGGGCAATGCAAAGATGAGTAAGACAAAGTCAATGCCATCAAGGAAGCTTACAGTTGGATGGAAGGAAGAAGTTTACACATACTTATATAATCTGAAGGAGTAAATCCAAGAGGTTGGGAGGAGGAATGTGCTGGATCGCCATCTAACCAGCCAGTAAGGCTCCGATTAGAACATCAGTATGGAGACGTGTGCCGGGTTAAATCCCTGTCCTGGCAACATAGTCATTTTAGGGACCCTGAGTAAATTACTTGGCCTCTCTGCCTCAGTTTCTTCATGAGACAATAGGAACAACATGCGTGCCTGTCCTATGGGTTACTCTGAGAATGAGGTGAGTGTGACCCACTGTAAGCATTTGTCAGATGTTGACTATTAATAGTTGCAATTATTTCCAGGCTCTGGAGGCAAGAGAGATGGAAGAATGTTCCTAACTAGCTAAAACTCATACACATAATGGGTCTTTTAGATGCTGAATACTGAGGGTCACTTAGTGTTGGGTGGGGATGTTCACCCAATTCCAGGACTGCTGAAAGCAGGTGGCCGAGCAGGAAGTGCTATCTGGGTTCAGTGCCCCAGAGCTGGAAATCCCAGCTAACTGTAGCTATGTGTTGCTTACTGCCTGAGCACATGTTCCTAGGCTGGCTGGAATGTTTTCTCTAGCAAGGGAGATAATGGTCTGCTTCCTCAATAGCTGTCAGAGAAACAAAATTGAGCAAGTGAATTTCTGGTTTTCCTTATGATTTGGTTTTCTATGTTTTTTTTTCACTCCCCCCTTTTATTTTAGAGCCTTTGTATGTGCAGAGAGACTTAACCAGTGCACTCTTTCCCTGCGCCTTGGCTAGGGTGGGAGGAAAGGAGTCTGTTTCTTCTCCTTAGGAAACCCTGGGCAAACAATTTCTCTAACTCTGAGATTTTTCCATTTAAAATGGGAATTACAGAACCTGCCCTTCACACTCTGAGTGGTTATCAAAATTAATTTTGATAATCAAATTACTGGGGGCCATACTAGAGTGAGATATTAAAGTGATGCTTTGCAGCTAGGTTCAGAAGTATTATATCTGTGGTTAGAGTTTCAGCATCCCTTCATTGCTTCATGAGAGAAAGGGGTGGAAAAAGAAATTTTATAGATACTTAAAAAATGATGGTATTAAAAACAACCACAACAATTTAAAATAATATAAATTGTTACTTTAGCTGTCTGCTTTGATCAGAGATTCACAAATGTAAAGGACTGATGTTAACCAGGAAGCGGAGTGGAGAATCAATGCTCTACTTCTTATCTCTCCTTCCATAAGATTAAGCAGATTAAAACTACACTATAATTTCACAACCAGTGGACCCACCGCCAATGTTTTGTGGTGGTTGTTGTTGATTTCTATATAATAGAATTAATTATTCTTTGTTAGGATATTTTAGTCCTTTCCAGAACCACATAGGGGACCTATGTCTCAGGAACAGAGCATTTGTGCACTTAGGCACTCTCTCTCTCTCTACTATAGTAGACTCTGTGTTGGATCCTGGATGGCTTTGCTCTGTGTAATCAACTCAGAGAATCCCAACAGCTAGAGAAGTACTGGGCCTTCTATTTTGGTGAGAGCAGCACTCCTGCCTCTGCTGCAGAGGGAACTACAGTTACTGATTTTTTGCTTACCAGCTGCAGGATGCAGCTGTCCTTATCTACGGGTCTGACTGAGACCAGCTATTTTCAGAAATTTAATACAGTGAGGACGAGTTGAAGCAAATACCAGCTGTACATTAACTGTTGACTTTTTGGCTATTCAAATTAGTCTTTGTCATTAATTTTCCAATTTGTCATCTCTTAGAAATTAGGGATCTTGTCCTAAGACCTGAGGACCTAAGGTAACAGCTAAACTTGCATGTATCTAGCAGCTGCCCTCTGCTGTGTTACTGCAGCATGGAGGGTTATTTAAGGTCAAGTTACTTAATTCATGGGGTGTGACTGCAGGCTCTGGGGAACTTCTGGGGTGGTGAGGAGAAGAGGACATTATAAAGGGATTGCTGACACACATAGAACCAGGAACATTTAGTGATGCTTGTGTTTAAAGTTGTCATTGCGCACAAAGGAGCAATGTTTATAAATAGGCTTTAGATTTTTAATGACATTTCAGGCTGTTCTATTTATTATCATAGTCCAAAGTTTCATTCAGTTAGTTGACAACCTTTTGTCAAACACCAGCTGTGAGCCTGGTACTGGATAAAGAAGAAAAGTGGTCAATGCCTTTCAATAACTCACTTGTGGTGATGGAGACACGTGTGCAAATAATTATAATTCAGTGGGATAAGCAAATGTTATAATAGAAGTGTGCATGAGGAATTATAAGCATCAGGGTGAAGAAGTACTCAACCTGCCAAAAAAATACATAGAAAGCTAGAGCAGATATATATTTGTCCATTTGAAAGTCACTTAAAAAAATCAGACTAGTTTTTTTTCAAGACTATATTTTGGTCTTCTTTCCTGAAACTTTCACATTTGGTTTCTGCCTAGGAAGCCCCACCTGCTTTTTCATATTAAGGGCTTCTCAAATCTTTGACTCTGCAAAGAACGTCTGTTTTACTTACATCCTTGTTTTGCTCAGTAGCAAGCTTTTTAGAAACCCTTAACTGTTCTGTAATATTTAAGGTATAGAAATAAGGTTTTAATATCCCAGTTCATGTCACGTGCTAGATATTGAACTTTGAATCTCCAGGAACTACTAGAAGGAACTGACAAATTCAAGAATTTGACTTTGTCTCTCTGAATTGGGTTTGAATTTTGCTTTTGCCACTCACTATGTGACCTTGGGCAAGTCCTATACAGTCTCCAAGCTTTGTAAGTGCTTTGTAAAGATCTTGCTGAGAAATAGAGGTGAGTGTAAATGCCCAGTCCTGCACTTGACATAGAGCAGGGGGCTCAGTAAATCTTAGCAACTATTTTCTGTGTTGGAATTTGAATTCTACATTGTCCTTTTTTTGACTTGACAGCAAATGCATTATGTTTTCAGTAAATGCACATTAAGTTGAAATCAGCATTTGCTAAATATCTGTTGTGTCCCAAACACTGTCTGGGTGCTCTATAGCTGGTTTATTTAGCAAGCTTCATGGTCCTGAGAAGTATAGGTGGGTATATTCTCATTAAGATAGTGATATGGTTTGGGTCTGTGTCCCTGCCCAAACCTCATGTTGAATTGTAATTCCCAATGTTGGAGGTGGGGCCTGGTGGGAGGTGACTGGATCATGTGGGCAGATTTCCTGCTTTGGCACTGTTCTTGCAATAGAGTTCTCACGAGATCTGATTGTGTGAAAGCATGTGGCACCTCCCCCTATCACCACTGCTCTGACCATGTAAGACATGCCTGCTTCCCCTTTGCCTTCTGCCATGATTATAAGTTTCCTGAAGCCTCCCCAGTCATGCTTCCTATACAGCTTGCAGAACCGTGAGCATATGAAACCTCATTTCTTTATAAATTATCCAACTTCAGGTATTTCTTTATAGCAGTATGAAAACTGACTAATACAGATATATTACTATATTTCATTGAATCCCATGTCAATTGTAAGATATACCATTGTCATTATGTATTACTGAGAAAGAAAATACTGTTAATTATAATTGTAAGAGACACCTCTATTTCAGAGATGTTAAAATGTGAAAAAAATATGCATCATAGAATTTTAATAAATATAGTAGTTGAGCTTGCTGTATGCAGATCGTAAGGAGAAAAGTCTAGGAAACAGATTCTTGGGGTCTTTATATTAATATACACTCCCTGCCCAACACACACACACACACACACAAACACACACACACACACACACACACACACACTTCTTCTTAGTATTGCCTTTAAGGTTGAGATAATTCAACACAGACAATTTATTTAATAGATTATCAGAGCACCCATTATGTATTGAGCCCTGTACCAGGCACTGAGATACTAAATGAAACAAAACAAAACACAAAGCAGAATCATCCCTTAGGATGCTGACAGTTTTATAGGAGGGATAGATATGTGAGCCAGACTTGAGAATATATTCTGTGAAGCTGCTATACAGAGGGATGGAAGTGGGCTTTAATTTTTTTCTGAGACAGAGTGTCTCACCATTCAGAAAAGGCTGGGTCTGTTAGTGGATGACATTTCCCACCCCTTTAATCTACACCCTTCCTGGCTTTCTCAAAAAGTGCATTGGGAGGAAATCAGAATCAATACTGTGAAAAGAAGCTTATTTTCTCCATCAATTACCAGTGCAGGAGAGCACATTTTCACTTTTTCTTTTTAAAGGCAAAACACCGATTTGGATAAAGTTGAATAGCTTCCAGCTTTGGCCTAGCTTCTCCACTCTGTGTTTGTGAAAGTGTCCCTTATTCTGTTATAACCCAAGTGTCAATAACAGGTACACTTGCTGATGAGGAATTGCATCATGGTCAGCAGTAGGTTTTATTTTATATCAGTTAATTTCGAGGTTTTCATCACTTATTTTTCACCATTTCCTTGGGAGAGACTAATGTCATTCCTGGTTTTTTAATAAACAATTGCCACAGAGGAAACTTTGATCGATCTACAGTTGGACTTTCACAGGACAGGCTGAAATTAAATGCCCAACAACTAAAATGACTTATCACCAAAAAAGTACTAGAAAAAAAACTTGGGGGAAATGTTTTGTTTTTATAATCACAACAGTAGAGAATAACATAAAGCACAGAAGCCGTACAAGAACAATGCAACTACTTAACAATAAATACACAAGCCAGAAAACACCGTATACAAATCAAAAGACAAAATAATCACAGGTTGAAATTGTTTGAAACATAGGGTTCAGTTTCTTGAAAAATAAGGAGTTTTTACAAATTAAGAAAAAAAATGTGCAGTCTTGTGAACAAGACAGTTCACAGAGAAGGAAATACTGAAGCCTTTTTTTTTTTTTTTTTTTTGAGACGGAGTCTTGCTGTGTCGCCCAGGCTGGCGTGCAGTGGCGCCATCTCGGGTCACTGCAAGCTCCCCCTCCCGGGTTCACGCCATTCTCCTGCCTCTGCCTCCCGAGTAGCTGGGAATACAGGTCCCCGCCACCACGCCTGGCTAATTTTTTTTGTATTTTTTAGTAGAGATGGGGTTTCACCGTGTTAGCCAGGATGGTCTCTATCTCCTGACCTTGTGATCCGCCCGCCTCGGCCTCCCGAAGTGCTGGGATTACAGGTGTGAGCCACCGCGCCCAGCCTGAAGACTTTTTAAACATGCAGATTTTTAACCTCTCAGGCTGGCATGGAGACCTATAATTCCACATCTAGGAAGATATCTTACACATGTTCACATGCATTCAGAATGATGCAAGTACACATATATTCATTGTAGTGTCATGTGTAATAGCAAAAGAGTGAGGAGATCTACAAATGCCCTTCACTAGAGGACTGGTTATCTAAGTTATTGAACATCTGTACAATGGAACAGCATGCACTTGTCAGAAGAAGTGAGTCAGCTCTTCATGTGCTAACCTCAAGAAGGGTTAAACGAAAAAAGGCCAGGTGAAGAATAGTATGTAGGATGGGGCACAGTGGCTCACACCTATAATCTCAGCACTTTGGGAGGCCAAGGTGGGCAGATCACTTGAAGTTAGGAGTTTGAGAACAGCCTGGCCAACATGGTGAAACCCCATCTCTACTAAAACTACAAAAATCATCTGGGCCTGGTGGTGCATGCCTGTAATCCCAGCTAGTCAGGAGGCTAAGGCACGAAAATCAATTGAATACAGGATATGGAGGCTGCAGTGAGCCGAGATTGCACCACTGCACTCCAGCCTGGGAGACACGAAAAAAACAAAACCAAAAAAACAACAGTATGTACATTGTGCCACCATATTGCAAAAATATATACATATATATACACACACACACAGTATATACATAGATGTTAAAAATTGTTTTAAAAAATAAGGGGGGTGGAGAACATATATACTTATTTATTGGTATAAGTATAGACTGTCTCTATCTCTGGAAGAGTATATTGTGACTTGGTAACAGTAGTTACCACCACGGAGGGAAACTGAGTTGCCGAGACTTGGAAGTCAGAGGTTAAGGTCAAAGGTTAACTTAGACTTGTAGACCATATGCATTGTAATTCTAATGGCATGAATCTAATTAATGGACTTATTATGCAATGCTAATTTAATCAGATTTGATGAGTTCAAAAAGCCCGAGTCATAAAGATGAACTTAAGCCTTCTTACTTCAAGGTCTTGAGTTTCCTACGAAATTACTTTCCATCCTCCACAGTGTCTTATGGCAAGCTTTAAAAAGGTTTGCGAAACTTTTTCTCATGGATAGAATTATCGAAAGGCTTTTTTGTGGGAAAGATTTTCCAATAGAAGTTTAGGGAAACCTAAGGAATTTCCAATGGAGCATGATCTCCTCATGTTCCGATGGTGCTGAGCTCTTAAAAGTCTTGGCAATATTTTCAAACGTGAGTGGGCTCCAGCTCTGAACCAAGAGAACCCACTTATTCACTGTCCTCACTTCCTCTTTTTGAGAAAGCTAATCAGTGAGTCAGCTCAGGGCTGCAACACCACTACCGTTGATGTCAGCAGCCTGGACAGCCTGCAGACACCCGTGCCGGTAGCGGGGCGGGGCTGCCCCCCCTTTTCCCTCCCTCCGGAGCCAGCTGGTTCTTACCAGCTTTGGCAGCTTTGTGCAGCACTATTTGTTGTGGCTTTTCTCCTGTACATACAGGAAAGGCACAGCTCTCTTGCTTAGGGCAAGGATTGGCTATTGACACTTTGACTTAAATGGGGGTGGATTTATAGACTTTGGGGCTCAATTTTGAAATTAACTCTTAGAAATGATGAGAATTCTAAGACGAGGTATATACAGAAAATTATAGCCAACTACCTTGATTTGAGTTTGGGGTATTTAAGCGAGAAACCCACCGTGACCAGCTAACCTAGTCTAACTTCATAGGCCTTAAGTAAGGTTGCAGTTGAAACAAAACCTTTTCATTATTCTGTGCTTGAACAGATCTGGGGTGAGTGGGAGTGTTTTTTAAAATAATTCCCCAGTGGTTTTGGCATTTTTTTGGCCAGGTTAATCCTGAGATTCCCCTGATGGTGGGTGAGTTTGTTCTGCAGGCTCTGCATTGGCTCCCAGCTTAAGGTTCACTCACCTATGCCATCTCTGTGGTCTGGCTTGGGGGTTCCCAAGGAAGCTGAGCAGAACATCTTGGTGTTGTGCTCCTGTTCTTTCTTCCATCCCATGACATCCAGTGATCCCAGGGAGCTCTAGACAGCAGATGGCCCTCGCTGTCCACTTGGCAATTGACAATTTAGATTTAAGTGTTGGTGCTGTTCCCTACTTATGCAATGGAAGCACCTCCTTGCTTCATGTACTAAAGTCTGGGCTGTGCAGGAGAAGAAGAAAGAAGGAAAGAAAACAAGAGGTTTTAACTCAACAATTAGAAGCCCAGGAAAAGTTTGGGGAATTTTTCTCTTAAAGTTACTTGACTCTTGGCCCTTCTCTTTAATTTTTTAAAATAATGTTTTAAGAGAAGACTTACGAAGCAAAGAAAATTTGGAAGCACATTACAACAAATAATAAATCTACCATCTAGATTCAATTGTTATTCACATTTTGGCATATTTGCTTTATCTATGTATGTATACGTTTCCAGTCCATATTCCCATTTCGAAGACTTTCTCTAAATTTCTTATAACTGATAATCCTTCTTTCAAGCATTTAGAAATCAGCATTTTTCCATTTGCCTCTTAAGATTTTTGTTTGCAAAAAAAAAATTGGGTACATTTGGGTTCTGCTTGCCAAGACCCCTTACTCTGGATTGAATTGAACAAGAATTCACACTCAGAAGAATAATTTTAAAATCATTGTCTCTCATCATCTGAAACTTTTTTTTTAGGGTGATGTATTTGTTTTTATTTTTTAAGGGAGAAATCATTATATACAAGTATTTTACAGTGTCCGAACTTAGGAATTGAATAGATTCAGATAAATTGTTTTGTGATGAGGCTGGTAACCTCATTATATGAACCCTTATTTATATCTGAAATCCTGGAACCACATAGATTTGAATAAGAAAGCATTTCTTATTATCTGAATTCCTCTTCTCTAAAGACCACATAGATTCAGATATCAAGAAATACTTTTCTGGCAAAGAAAATATGCCTTTTTTTCCTCCCAGAGCCCATCTTATATGCCTGTATAGGCCTATAGAAGGTCTTGAAATCTAATTTGATTTTGATTATGTGGGCAGCTGGGAGAGCAGGGGAAACAGGCTTGAGATAATATCATAATTCTTAAATAGTTGTAATTTTATATTTATTCGCGACTAGAATTCCTTTGAGATAAACCTTTAGTAGAAATTGAATTTGTTTGTTTGTTTTTTTAACCAGCCACTTGTCTGTTGGGATCTGAAATATTTTCAATAGAAAACAAAGTTATTGGCTACAGTTGAGGTATCTGGTATTCACAGAATCTCTCATATTTATCTTAGCGCAGTCATCCAGCTGGAGTGTAAGTCTGCCATTGAGTCCCAGGTACTTGCAGATCTCAACCTCTACCCACTTCACTCTAGCGGAGGGGCTCGGGCAATGCCCTGTGGTCATGTGATCGCTTGTAATCAGTTTACAGGGTTTGTCAATTTTCTCTAAATGCTGTGGGGTCCAGACAGGGAAGTGACATGGCAGCAAAGAGGGTAACTTTGAAACTAGACAGACCTGGTCTTGAATCCTGGTTCTATGGCTTGGGGCAAGTTATTACCTCTTAGAGCCTCAGTTTCCTCATCTGTAAAATGGGGCTGATACAACTTCCTTAGCAGCAAACGAATCACAGATATTTTCTGCTGAATCACCTAGCACAGTATTGGCAATGGCTTATTTCTTCAGGTCTCTTTTTGTTACCTCATATGGAAAAGCAGTAAGTTTCAGTTAGATTTAGCAAATGGGCTTTTAAAAACCATTATTAAAGTGAGAGATTTTCACAAATGTAACATAGAACTCTTCCTTCTTTCTAAGTGTTGAATGAGGTCTGGAGGGAAAATTAAATCAAAACAGCGACTTTACTGTAAGGAGCTTTCTGCTGGGGACTATCAGGCATATCTAGTTATATTAGGGAAAAGGGGCCTGGTGGTATTGAACTGGGTAGTGTCAGGAGCCAAGGGGTTAAATGGAACCATTTTAGCAGGCTGGCAAAGAGCATCCAGGCTGGGCAATTAATGCTTCATTTCAGGGGGTCGCTGATGCATCAAAGTCATTAATTAGTTTTATGAAAACAGATTGTGCAACCACAGGGAGATTGTAATTGGGTAGTAATTGAAAATAACTTTGTGGTAAACTTTCGTTGAGCAGGTAGTTCAGGTGGGGGTAACTTGGAAGGGGAAAGAGAATTGGAGTGGGGGATTAGGGCATGAGGAGAATGAAATAGCAACAGTAAGACAAGCAATAAATAAGACATAATTTGAATGAAAGGAACACAGAAGTGACCTGGTCTAACCTATTTAGGTTAGAAGTGAGACCACAGGTCTGATGAGGGAAGTGGTTTTCCTAGTGCCACACAGCTAGTTAGTGTTATGTCTTCTCTCTTTTCTTGCAATGCTTTTTCCAGGATTTTCATGACTTTGATTTTTAGGAGCTGACTATGGGGAACATGAAGTACATGCCACACAGATGGCAGTTGAGGCTGGAGTTCTCGCCTATTCCTGCTCTCAGAGTCTACCCAAGAATGCTGCCAGATCTTGCTGCCTCGAAATCTTATTTCATTTATCTACCACCCTTGTCATGAATAAAATTTGGAAGGATTTTCCTTTACCATCCATGGCTCTGCCATCCCCGGGGCTAGGGGAATACTGCAACCTCCACCAGTGTGTCATCTCAGGAAAGGTCAGTCAACAGGGAAGTGATTTTTCAGTTTGATATTAGAAGTGGAGAATTATTTTTGGGCTTCAGTTTCCTTTTTTTTTTTTTTTTTTTTTTTTTGAGATGGAGTCTTGCTCTGTTGCCCAGGCTGGAGTGCAGGGGCGTGATCTCGCCTCACTGCAACCTCCGCCTCCCCAGTTCAAGCAATCCTCCTGCCTCAGCCTCCTGAGCAGCTGGGATTACAGGCATGTGCCACCATGCCCGGCTAATTTTTGTAGTTTTAGTAGAGACAGGGTTTCGCTATGTTGACCAGGCTGGTCTTGAACTCCTGACCTACAGTGATCTGCCCATTTGGCCTCCCAAAGTGTTGGGATTACAGGTGTAAGCCACTGCGCCCAGCCTCAGTTTCCCATTTTGATTTGGTTAAGCATCCAGAGTGGGTACTTCAGTTTTTTAGAAGTCTGCTTGGTGCAGGAATGTAGGGTTGGCAAGGACACAGCTGGAAATGGGGAAAGGCAATGATGACAGTCATGGTTCATTGTGGTACAATCCAGATACAAGTTAAATCATTATTCTCATAAACACTGCTACCAAACTCAGTAGCCCAGAGATGTTCAGATTCCCAAAGCAGTAGTCTGTTTACCTAATCCATTTGGATGGTTCCTTGTACTCAGTGGTAGAGGTGCTCGGAAAGGAAAATTGTCAGCAGCAGAGCTTTAGGTGTGACTCAGCCTTGAGTGAGTTGAACCATTTATCTTTCTTCCCTTATCAGTTTGGACTAATAAGTATCTGGAAGGACTAAGTGTGTTTGCATGGAAACTAATCAGAAGGACATTTGGAACTTGTTTGGCTGAAAGAAATGCCATGCTCTTGAAGTTCACAAAATAGAATTGTTCTCTTTTGGGCTGCTTTGGGAGCCCCCTACCATTTTGGTCTATTTACTGTCCCCACCTCATTTCTCACATGAGTCTTCCAAGTTAGGATTATGTCATGGCAGTAGGCAAAAAGAACTGTAGTTTTCAAGTTTCTCCAAAGGAGCTTCAAATAAGTGACAGATACATTGCCTTTACAGGCCACGTTTTCTTAATATCTGCCTTATTGAAATAAGCTGGGGCATGTATGAATGCCGTGTCCACAAACATTTCACAAAAGTATAGAGAGGAGCTCAGCCACATTGATAATCTTCCTGTTACCCTGTTTCTTGGCTACCTATATAAATAAGAGCTGCTACAGCCACAACATTTTCAAGGTAGCAGAAGGAAAATATACTTATCGGTAGTGACTGCTTTTAAAAACAACATTTATTGATTTTCTAGCTGTCAAAGTTAATATATCTTTTTTTCTTTCTTTTTTTTTGAGACAGAGTCTCACTCCGTCGTCCAGGCTGGAGGGCAGTGGCACGATCTTGGCTCACTGCAACCTCCACCTCCCTGGTTCAAGCGATTCTCCTGCCTCAGACTCCCAAGTAGTTGGGATTACAGGCGCCTGCCACCACGCCTGGCTCATTTTTGTATTTTTAGTGGAGACAGGGTTTCACCATGTTGCCCAGGCTTGTCTTGAACTCCTGACCTCAAGTGACCCACCCACCTTGGCCTCCCAAAGTGCTAGTATTATAGGTCAACTGGTTATGGTCAACTGAAATGGGAGGATGTATGTATAAAATATTAAATGGAACAAAAAAAAATAGGTGTGAGTCACCGTGCCCAGCCTAATATATCTTTACAGAGAATTTGGAAAACTCAAAGAACCTTAGGAAATAAATTATTTTATTTTATAAGTATCTTGGTAAGTTTATGCTCAAAGTTTTTATAAGAGGATCCTCTTCTCTGGAAATATGGCTTTCTTGTTTAGAGTATTTGTTTTCTCTTTAGTATCTAAATCTTATTGTAGGTGTTCTTCATTGGCTATAAACTCAGAATACTGAACCATAAACTTTCAGAATTAATAAAACAAGGAATTAATTTATTTCACATATTCCGATGACTCACTGTTCTGATTAGAAAGCAGAAGTAACACAATGCCTAGTACGGTAGCAGTACTGCAAACCGGCTTTGATGGATATTGTATATATTATGGTAAAGCACGGAAAGAAATTTCTATGAGCATTTTTTTTTCTTTTGGGAAAAAGTGAAAACAACTTTAGATGAAGTCAAAATGCAACCAGCTACGGTTGCACAAAGTGAGAGATACTTATAGTTAGTAACTGAGTAGATTTTCTGGAAAGATGATTTTTAAATGGTCTCTGGCTTTAGTGATGCTTGTTAGCTCTGCTGTGATGCTAATAGCATTTGTAGGGGCATTTTCATATTCACCTGACTCATTGTTAATTACAGGAGAGCATCAGTTCAGCATTCTGTCTTTCCAATTATGTCGGAAATCATGTGCTTAAGTTTTACTAATAGGACCTTTTGGTGAAATCGGGGGGGGAAATTAAACATTTCAAGTTTTCAAATGAATTTAGGAAACAGGTGAGTGGACTTTTTGCTCATTGGCATGTGATTTGTGGGTGGAAATTTCCTTTTAAGCAAGAACAGTGTACTATATTGACTGACCATGTCTTCCAAGGTATTGTCCCTGAGAACCAGGATGTAGACAAGTGTTCTTAGTCTAACTGAGTGAATTAAAAAAGTGTGTTGGCGTGAATGGCCATGTGCATTTTCAAGGAGGAGGGGCATGCGCCAGGGCCTATGGAATTAACATTTTACAAGCATATACGTAACATTTGTCTGTAGGTCAGAAAGGGACTGCTAGGTGTGCATGTTTCCCAAGTCTGAAACTTGCCCTGGAAGCAGCAGCAGGGTGTGGGTGGTGGTTCAGAGGAAAAACGCTGTTGGAACATTAGACATGTGCAGTAATCAGTTATCTTCACAATCTGCAATCAGTTGCAAGAATTTCTCAGGCCTTAAAATTTGTAAAAGAAGCAGTTGTGTTTGCTTTGTGCCTTATATAACTATCCCACGTAATACTTTGAAATATCAATGTCTTCGTTGAAAAGCTTGAAAACATTTTACTTGAAGTGTGTGAGTGAAGGGATGAGGATTCTAAGGAGTGGTGATTAACAGCTTGGGGAGAGTGCCCATCATTCCCTGAACCCTGCTCTGTGTGATCTGGCCAGCTGGCTCCCAGGTTTTTTTATCCATGCCGGAAGAGCCAATAAAAAGATAAAGTCAATTACTAGGAGAGGCCACAAGTGCCTGCCAGAGTTCTGATGTATTTTCTCAAATGAAAGGGCCAAATAGAGATGTCAAGCAGGCCTGAGTTGAGCACTGGCTTTCTGCCAGTAGCTGTGTGCCCTCTTTGGGCCGCAGTCACTTTACTGGTAAAATGAAGTCACATCACCTATCACTTCCCCTTCTCTCCACTGCACACCCCCAGTACAAGCCATAGTCATACTGTATGTAGCCACTGTAGGAGCGTCCTAACTGCTCTCCCTACTTTGAATCTTGCCTCCCTAAAATCCATTCTCTACCCACCAGCCAGAGTGGTGGTGAAGCTCACCATCTTTATCTGAAACCATCTTGTGTGTTTGTTATTGTCTCTCTGACCTCCCCACTCCAGAATGCAATCTTCACAGTCTCTGTTCTATCCTTTTGGTCATTACTCTCCTCCTAGCCACTGACACCTCTCATTTTCTCCTGTTCTCATTCTTAATTTTAGCAGTTTTTTTCCTGAGCTAGTTTGAAATGGGAGTCAGAAAACCTGGGGTCTAGTTTTAGTTCTGTGACTTCCTTGTTGGCCCTTAGTTAAGAAAGTCACTTCACTTCTCCAGGCCCCAGTTTCCTTCCCTGTGAAGCTGAGTGTAAGAGTCAGCAAGCACTGCAGTAACAAAGGACCGCAGACTGCATGGCTTAAACAACAGAAATTGGTCTTCTCACAATTCTGGAGCCTCAGAAGGCCAAGACCAAGGTGTCTTCTGAGGTCTCTCTCTTGGCTTGCAGATGGCTGCCTTATCACCATGTCTTCACTGTGTCTTCCCTCTGTGTGCGTCTGTGTCCTCATCGCTTCTTTTTATTAAAGACACCAGTTATATCGGAGTGTAGCCAACCCTAAAGACCTCATTTTACTGTAATTACCTCTTTAAAGGCCCTCTCTCACAGTAGTCGCATTCTGAAGTACTGGGGGTCAGGGCTTCAACATGGAGGTGGCATAATTCATTCAGCTCATAATACTAAATTATATCTAAGACTCCTTTCAGCTCTACAAAATTATATTTTAAATCGGGGATCTTTCTCCTTACACCCATGTTCCCTTCTACTCCCCTGAGATAATAGCTTGGTTCATATGCCTCCCCGTTTTTAGTACTCATGCATATCCTCACTGTATTTTTGAAGGGTTTAAAAGTCTGTGTATGTGTCTAGCAATCATATAAATAAGTTAAGGTCAACTGAAGTGGGAGGATGTATATATAAAATGTTAAATGGAACAAAAAAAATAGCCTCTGAGGAGGGATTTTAATTTTACTGTTTTTTTTTCTATATATAATAAAAAAAAATTTTCCCTCCTACAGCTGGAAACTGACAAACTAGCTCTCCCGATGAGCCCCAGCCCGCTTAGCCCGAGCCCCATCCCCAGCCCCAACGCGAAACTTGAGAATTCCGCTCTCCTGACGGTGGAGCCTTCCCCACAGGACAAGAACAAGGGCTTCTTCGTGGATGAGTCGGAGCCCCTTCTCCGCTGTGACTCTACATCCAGCGGCTCCTCCGCGCTGAGCAGGAACGGTTCCTTTATTACCAAAGGTACGGGCATCGCAGCAGACCTCACACACGCACTTAAACCCCCCAAAGAGCCCCTGGGATTCGTCCCTCCCCGTCCACAGTCCAGTTGTAGCTGAGAGTTGAGTCATCTGAATTACCTGCCCAGGAAGACCAGTCCAAAACTTCAAGATACGCTGGCCCGAGAGTAACCTCGCCATTGGCTGGCGAAGACACGCCTCCAAAATCTTTGCAGCTCGCACTGCCCGGTGGAGAGCTATCGGCCACCCTTTATCCTCATGATGCTATCAAATGTGTGTTTCGGGGAAGGCCTGATAAAATGTAGTCTGGCAAGATTTTTGAAAATTATTTACCAAGCTTGCTGTATCCAAAGATTTAAAGTTGAACTTATCTTGAGAGTCAGAAGTACAGGTTTTAGGCCGTGCGCAGCAGCTCACGCCTGTAATCCGAGCACTTTGGAAGGCCGAGGTGGGCGGATCACTTGAAGCCAGGAGTTAGAGATGAGCCTGGCCAACATGGTGAAACCCCATCTCTACTAAAAAAAAAGAAAAATTAGCCCGCTGTAGTTCCAGCTACTCAGAGGCTGAGGCAAAAGAATCACTTGAACCTGAGACGCGGAGGCTGCAGTGAGCTGAGATTGTGCCACTGTACTCCAGACTGGGTGACAAGAGCAAAACTTTGTCCCAAAAAAAAGAAAACTACAGGTTTTAGTGACTTAAAAATACCCTAAAATTCACTTTGTTAAACTACATTGCAAATACCAATATTTTAAACATTATGGATTGGTAGTTTTGGCAAAGAATTTGCAACTTTTAATTTTTAATATCGGGGTAGGGAATTAGCATACACTATTTATGACAGTTTTTAAAGAAATTTTCTAGTTTTGGGTAATTCCAGTTATATTTTAGTGAAAGGGTTATATTTGATATTTTACGTATTTATAAAATGTTATATTTACATATTTATAATTTGTGTACTTTATATATTTATATTAATCTATTTTACATTTACATAAAATATTTATATTTTAGTTTATATTTTATGTTATATAATATATTTTAGAAAAAGTGCTTTATAATAGTAATAAAAGTTATAGTTCCTCATCCCAATGTAAGGTATGACCTGAGAAGAAATCATATTTTCTTATTTATGTGCTTTTACTCTCTCAGCAGTTTAGTTCTAAAATATTACAATGTAATCAGAAAGTCACATAAGTAGACTACATTGTCTTGGAATTTTTGATCATTTGGAAAGGGGTGGGCCTATGTATATCTTAGTTTAGTAAACACATTTCAGATAGGGAAAGCAGTAAAGGTTTTTTAGTTTTTTGTTTTTGTTTCTTTGGTTTCTTTAAGTATCTCACCATTCACCTTCTGAATTCTAAAATAATTTAGAAGTTACTTAAGTCTAGGCAAATGTCACATTAATGATAACTCAGCAAGCCATTCAAGCAAGACCTTGTCTGATCTCTACCAGGCAAATCTTGTTTGCTATCTTACACGTGCAACACAAGTAAAAACTCTTGTGTTGTTTCGAATGTGCCAGAGGATCACTCACTCTCTCACTGTAATGGAGGATGGAGAATAATAGGCTGGGGGGGACATAGATGTCTCTCTCTCTAGGACCCTGCTCTCCTTCCTCCAGGCCTTGCCAGTACAGTCACCTTACAGCTGTCTTTGCTTCCCTCTCTTCTCTGCAGAAAAGAAGGACACAGTGTTGCGGCAGGTACGCCTGGACCCCTGTGACTTGCAGCCTATCTTTGATGACATGCTCCACTTTCTAAATCCTGAGGAGCTGCGGGTGATTGAAGAGATTCCCCAGGCTGAGGACAAACTAGACCGGCTATTCGAAATTATTGGAGTCAAGAGCCAGGAAGCCAGCCAGACCCTCCTGGACTCTGTTTATAGCCATCTTCCTGACCTGCTGTAGAACATAGGGATACTGCATTCTGGAAATTACTCAATTTAGTGGCAGGGTGGTTTTTTAATTTTCTTCTGTTTCTGATTTTTGTTGTTTGGGGTGTGTGTGTGTGTTTGTGTGTGTGTGTGTGTGTGTGTGTGTGTGTGTGTTTAACAGAGAATATGGCCAGTGCTTGAGTTCTTTCTCCTTCTCTCTCTCTCTTTTTTTTTTAAATAACTCTTCTGGGAAGTTGGTTTATAAGCCTTTGCCAGGTGTAACTGTTGTGAAATACCCACCACTAAAGTTTTTTAAGTTCCATATTTTCTCCATTTTGCCTTCTTATGTATTTTCAAGATTATTCTGTGCACTTTAAATTTACTTAACTTACCATAAATGCAGTGTGACTTTTCCCACACACTGGATTGTGAGGCTCTTAACTTCTTAAAAGTATAATGGCATCTTGTGAATCCTATAAGCAGTCTTTATGTCTCTTAACATTCACACCTACTTTTTAAAAACAAATATTATTACTATTTTTATTATTGTTTGTCCTTTATAAATTTTCTTAAAGATTAAGAAAATTTAAGACCCCATTGAGTTACTGTAATGCAATTCAACTTTGAGTTATCTTTTAAATATGTCTTGTATAGTTCATATTCATGGCTGAAACTTGACCACACTATTGCTGATTGTATGGTTTTCACCTGGACACCGTGTAGAATGCTTGATTACTTGTACTCTTCTTATGCTAATATGCTCTGGGCTGGAGAAATGAAATCCTCAAGCCATCAGGATTTGCTATTTAAGTGGCTTGACAACTGGGCCACCAAAGAACTTGAACTTCACCTTTTAGGATTTGAGCTGTTCTGGAACACATTGCTGCACTTTGGAAAGTCAAAATCAAGTGCCAGTGGCGCCCTTTCCATAGAGAATTTGCCCAGCTTTGCTTTAAAAGATGTCTTGTTTTTTATATACACATAATCAATAGGTCCAATCTGCTCTCAAGGCCTTGGTCCTGGTGGGATTCCTTCACCAATTACTTTAATTAAAAATGGCTGCAACTGTAAGAACCCTTGTCTGATATATTTGCAACTATGCTCCCATTTACAAATGTACCTTCTAATGCTCAGTTGCCAGGTTCCAATGCAAAGGTGGCGTGGACTCCCTTTGTGTGGGTGGGGTTTGTGGGTAGTGGTGAAGGACCGATATCAGAAAAATGCCTTCAAGTGTACTAATTTATTAATAAACATTAGGTGTTTGTTACTTAAGTAGTCCGAGTATATTTAATCGTTGAATTTCTTGCTTTGTACATGTCCTCTAGTTGTGACTCTTTGATTAGTCTTTTGCAAAAGTATGTGTGCTCTAAAAACCTCAGCTATTCTAATCTGTAAATCGTGGAAATTAGCAAAGATTTCAGGCAGGGCATCCACTTCCATTTTCTCACTGAAAGAGGAACTTAAAATTGCTAAGGTCTGGTTGTTGGAATTCTGTAGAGCCACAGTTCCCAAGCAAAGGGAGACATGCAATGAATATGATATGATATATGATATGCTATAATGTATTCTACAATTCTATAGATTTGTGTTTGGAAAGGTACCTGGAGGTTCGTAGGGAAGGACTTTAGTGAAAACTACCAAGCACTTCCTAGTCTTTTGGATTAAGTCTGAGAATTCAGTTTTTGAGATTGTCCTTATTATAGGAAATGGGTAGATACCTCATTGTTCCTGAATAAGTTCAGAGGGCTCTCATGGTCTTGAGGCAGGGTGAGATCTCATGTTGATAGAATATATTGTAGCATATCATATATCATATCATATTCATTGCATGTTTCCCTT
This sequence comes from Homo sapiens, assembly GCF_000001405.40. Classification (NCBI taxonomy): domain Eukaryota; kingdom Metazoa; phylum Chordata; class Mammalia; order Primates; family Hominidae; genus Homo; species Homo sapiens. The sequence goes on along the minus strand of NC_000006.12, from coordinate 47,230,959 downwards.
TGCTTGGGAACCGTGGCTCTACAGAATTCCAACAACCAGAACCTTAGCAATTTTAAGTTCCTCTTTCAGTGAGAAACTGGAAGTGGATGCCCTGCCCGAACATTTGGACACCCACGTCAGCGACATTAAAGGGTTTTTCTGGTTTCATCCACTTCCACATGGTTGGTTTCTAGAGAACTATCCTGGTATTTAATTACACTGGTTCTTACACCAGGTTTCCCCGCCTTTTGTCAATAAAAGACAGGAACTCTTATCAGGAAGGAAAGCAAACTAGAATGGGTCACAGATGGTAGTGGAGGAGACAGCGTTTGCATTTCAGAGGATCTCAGAACTGCCACTAATTTCATGTGGGGGTAGAAAACACAAAGAATGAATGGTTATTATGATTAAGTTTGTGGGTTATTTGTACCTTGTGTCTTGGGATGCTTTCGTTAATAACTCACATTTACACAGGTTTATACTTTGCAAAGTGATTTTTGTATTACCTTATTGAATCCTCACAACTATAAGGTAGGTACTATTATTGTGTCCATTTTATAGATTTAAAAACAGGCTTATAAAGGCTAAAGAACTTGTGTAAGGCCTATAGCAAAGTTGTAGAGATCAGACTTGAATCCATGTCTTCTGACTGTCTGAATCCAAGACTGACTGTTCCATGTATTTAGGACCAGTGACCGGAAATTCCTTGTTGGCTGAAATAGTGGGCAGAGATCACAGTGATGAAATTTATTTGTCAGTCAGTACTTGTGAAAATATTGGAATGAGGTGACATCTGTTGATGATCCATAGGGAAGGAACATAGGAGATGTGGTTAAATGAAAGCTTAATATTGAACTAACATGATATATAGCTTTTCTAAAAAGAATGGAACCTCCAGCCGCATTATTAAAAAATCAGAAGTTCTGATCAGAGCCGATGATAGTGTCATTTGTATACTGTGTGGCACACTTTAGAGCTTTCCTCTAGCTTTGGCCTGTCTTACTGTGAGGAGTATGGCTGAAGTGAAAGGTTTCCAGTGTGTCGTGGGGACATAGGGGGATACCAGGAAGAGTAAGAAACAGAATCAGGAGCAACTGTTGGCAAATCTAAGCCTGACAATGAAGACCAGGCAACAGGAGAAAGATTAGCTTCAGTTATTTGAAGGGCTAAGGAAGAGATGATGTATTTTTCTCTAGAGGATAATATACTTTCCTCTAGGCTGATGTAGGCTAAGTGCAATTAGACTGAGCTGCTTTTCAAATAAGAGAATGAGTCCTGCTCTGGGAAAAAGTTGGGCCTGCATCAGTGGTTCTCAAACTTTCATGTAAATAAGAATCATCTGGGAATAAGCAGTCAATTAAAAAGGCAGATTCGGAGAGAATTCAATTCAGGTTTGTGGTGAATTCCAGAATGAGTTTCCTACACTTACAGAAAGTGCTTTAGATCCTTGCCACTGTGGATGAGGACCGGCAGTATCCATAATACTAGGAAGCATTGTGTTAGGAATGCAGAATTTGAGGCCACTGTGTTGTGCTCCCTAAACTTGAATATGCAACTGAAACACCTGGGTATCTTAAAGGCAGATTCGGTTTTAATTGTTCTGTGGGACTGGGCTGAGGCTGCATTTCTTTCTTTCTTTCTTTCTTTTTTATTTTTTTTGAGACGGAGTCTCTCACTCTGGAGTGCAGTGGCAACGATCTCGGCTCATTGCAACCTCCGCCTCCCAGGTTCAAGCAATTCTGCCTCAGCCTCCCAAGTAGCTGGGACTACAGGCACCCGCCACCACATCTGGCTACTTTTTTTTGTATTTTTAGTAGAGACGGGGTTTCCCTATGTTGGCCAGGCTGGGCTCGAACTCCTGACCTTGTGATTCGCCCGTCTCGGCCTCCCAAAGTGCTGGGATTACAGGCGTGAGCCACCATGCCCAGCCTGAGGCTGCATTTCTAACAAGCTCCTGGGTGATGTGGATGCTCCCGGTCATGAGATAACACTGGGTAGCCTGAAACAGGCCAATTATGCCTCAGTTTCATGCAAAGGGTAGCACTAATATGGGAGATTATACCACTTCCATGTGAGAGAAGTAAACAAATTCTGATGACCCAACGAGATTTCTAGAACCAGACAATCTTGGGCAAATTCTACAGTAGTGGGTCTTAATTCTGACTACACATTGAAATCAGCGGGAAAACTTTGAGAGACCCAATGCCCAGGCCATATGCAAGATCAACAATGTCAGAATCACAGGAGATAGGACTCAGGCAGCAGCACTTTTTTTTAAATTTTAAATTTTAAATTTTTTTTTATTTGGGGGGAAGCTTTAAAAAAAGGTTTACTTTAGGTTCAGGGGTCCATGTGCAGGTTGTATGTATATATATGTGTGTGTGTGTGTGTGTGTGTGTGTGTGTGTGTAAACTTGTCACAGGAGTTTATTGTACAGATTATTTTGTCACCCAAATATTATACTAAGCCTAGTATCTAATAGTTATTTTTTTCTGATGCTCTCCCCTGGCCACCATCCAACCTCAAATAGGCCCCAATGTCTTGTTCCCCTCTTTGTGTCCATGTGTTCTCATCATTTAACTTCCACTTATAAGTGAGAACATGCAGTGTTTGGCTTTCTGTTCCTGCATTAGTTTACAAAGGATGATGGCCTCCAGCTCCATCCGTGTTCCTGCAAAGGACATGATCTCATCCTTTTTTATGGCTGTATAGTATTCCATGGTACCACATTCCGTATGTACCACATTTTCTTTATCCAGTTTACCATACGTGGACATTTAGTTGATTCCATGTCTTTGCTACTGTGAGTAGTGCTGCAATGAACATATGCATGCATGTGTCTTTATGGTAGAATGGTTTATATTCCTTTGGGCATATACCCAGTAATGGGATTGAGCAGCATTTTTTAAAGCTCTCCAGGAGATCCCAGTGTATAGTCAGCTTGGAGAACGATGTATTTAAAGCTTAGGAACAGAGACTTTCTCAAGCCTCACCCAAGATCTGATGAACAAACCTTCCAGGGAGTTAACCTGAAGATCTGTAATTGAAAAGTGATTTTGCTATAGCCAGTCCTACTTGACTCTGCATGTTTGCTTTAGGACCCATAACCTTACAGTAAGATTTATGTGATTATGCTAAGAATTGATACACACCAAGCACTAATGAGGCAACACCTTAAAGCTCAATTGCATGGATGAACCTACCTGCAAGTACAGTAATCAATTCTTCATGGTTTTTAGCATAATGTATAGGGTATTATTAGTCAAGAATATTTGGGAAATGATGTTATTCTGATTTAAGTTACTATATTTATATTTGATAGAATGCCAATTTTCAAAGAGATACAGTGAGATATAATGAGTGATAAAACTGCCCTGACTATGTTAGAGTCTCAGACTGCCCCATTTGGAGCAGCAATCTCGTACAATACTGCAGATGTAACAGGTACCTATGCTGGTCTTTGACTTAAGAAAAAAGATGTGATCTCTTGTTGAGCAGAACTGAGGTCCTTACCTTGGAAGGAGCTTCGGACATCACCTGGAGAACCCTGCGGTTTTCTGGTAGGGGAGCTAGACTCACATCTGCTAGTTAGTGGTGGAGCCTGGTCACCCTAGCACCTGTCAGCACTCTTTTATGATTCCAATCTATCTCTTTTTGCTTCTTTTCTTACTACCTTTCTTGAAAGTAAGTAGAAAATGAGATCCACTCATCTGAGTAAGGATTGAGTTTTAAAAAGGCTTTTATCGTACTGGACTTTGAAGTAGCTGTTTACATGAAACACATTTGGATTTTGGAGTCTCGGATTTCCAATATAGATATTCATAGAATAGCTTGCCAGGATTCATAAGAAACATGCCAATGGGCGCCTCTAGGAAGAAAAATGGGCTAGCAAGGAGGTAGGAGGCAAAGAAGGACACGTTCTTGTCATGATTTGTTCTTTTGAGCATTTTGAGTAGTACATCATTTGTATATATTATTGAATTCAAAAAGTTGTAAATAAAAACTGTAGAATGTTTCTATGGCATCCAGGAAATGTGCACTTGATGGTAAGAGTCATATGCTCTAGACTTAAAATGCTAGCAATAGCTTTGTGAGGAGCGTTTTGCTAAAATCTGCAAAGGGAATCAGCCTCTTGCCCTGCTCTCCAGGAGAAGTGGCCACCTTCCCCATCCCTCCACAACCTCTTTATGAGAATTTGACATCCTTTTCTTGGGCTTAGATCACAAACACAAAAGTAATACAAAGTTCAAATGGAGAGAATTCAAAGTTCGAAATTTAGGGAGATGGGGCAGAGTAGCTAATTTCTGGCCAAAACATCTTTTTATATTTCTTAGCACAGAAATCTCTCATAATCAGGCCGGGCACAGTGGCTCATGCCTGTAATCCCAGCGCTTTGGGAGGCCGAGGCAGGTGCATCACCTGAGGTGACCAACATGGAAAAACCTTCTCTCTACTAAAAATACAAAATTAGCTGGGCCTGGTGGCTCATGCCTGTAATCCCAGCTACTTGGGAGGCTGAGGTGGGAGAATCGCTTGAACCTGGGAGGTAGGAGGTTGCGGTGAGCCTAGATCATGCCATTGCACTCCAGCCTGGACAACAAGTGTGAAACTCTGTCTAAAAAAAAAAAAAAAAGACATCTCTCATAATCAATGTCTCTGTGAGGAAAAATATCAAAGATTTCTTAAGGATCCTTCAGCAGTTCATCTCTCCAAAGGAGATACTTCTGTTCTGCACTGGCACTGTCTCATTGTCACTCATCTACTGCTTTATCCACAGCAACATGCCAAACAGGGAATCTCATGGGGAAGGAGAAGGCAGAAAGGCAGCTCATTTCCAAGAATCCTATGACAATTGTTTCTCACTGCTTCCAGAAACTTCGAACAGCCAATTTCACAGCATTGTTTTTTTTTTTGTTGTTGTTGCTGTTTAAATACAGTGCACTCACCCACAGAAACATTCATTTCATCACTCCACTCATCTATCCATGAAATATTTGAGCAACTACCAGGCACTATGTTAGAAGCTAGAAGTACAAAGAAGAATTTGATACAAGATTGTAACTACCAATGAGAACAAGGCATTAGTTCACTGCTGTATTCTCAGCATCTAGACCCATGCCTGGAACATGGTAGGTGTTCTGTCACTGCAATGTTGAATAAATAAATGAATGCATGGTCCTGGCTTCAAGAATTCACAACTTAGAAAGAGAAACAGATTTATGAACATCATCAAATGTATCCGAGTGAAGTGATAGTAATATGAAGAGAATATTAGGAAAGCCAGAAACTAAATATGAATCAAGGAAAAATATTGCAAGATCCCTACTGTAAACCTTCTTTCTTATTAATTTTAAAGAAAATTGCATCAAAAACAAAGGGCTGACAGTTGCAGTTCCATGCATTTCAAAGCTTGAGGAAGGAAGATGAAAAGGGGAAGAAAACAAAAGGAAAAATACAGGTATACAGTAGACATGATTTTATAAGCAAGGATTTTGAATCATTTATAAATTGGTTGTTCCACCATTTCCCAGGCTTATTGTTTACTATCATTACAAGACAAGACGTGAGGCCCAGTCATGCTACTCCTTTGTGCATATCACATACTCAGAGGGTAGAAAGGATATATGTCCCCTCATGGAAAGACTCTTCCTATAAAGTATTCAATGCACTTGACATTATTCACTCTTCAATCTTAACCTGAATCTTATTATGTGGGGTCTGTTATTTCCATTCTACTAATGAGGAATCTGAGGCGAAGAGAGACAGCGACTTTCCTAAAGTCACACAGCTAGTAAAGGGTATAACCAGGAAGGCTTGTTACAGAGATGAGTGAGCCAGGCATGGTGGTAAATCCTGGAGACAAAATGGCAAATAAAGTGGATCTGATTCCTGTTTTCCTAGAGCCTCTCACCTGGACTCAACTGAAATTGAATTTTGAGGTAGGCAGGCTTTTTCCTTAGTAAAAGATTTTGTTCTTTTAAATAATTTAAGACACACAAGTTTCAAAAATATCACAGTGAGTTTCTATTTCCTTCACCTAGCTTTTTATTTTAATAGTTTCTCTATTCTTCACATAGCTTTTTCTAAGAATAAATATCTTGTGTAGCCATAGACATTATCAAAATCAGAAAATTGACATTGGTACAATATTACTAACTGAAACTACAGAACATAGTTCATGTTAGTTTTTAACCTGTACTTTTTTGGGGGTGGATATGAAATGTTATCACATGTATTGGTTCACTTGGTAACCACCACCATAATCGGAATATGGAACCATTTCTTCACACAAAGAAACCTCCTTCTGCTAACTTTATATTCATACCTTACTTTCAACCGTAAACCCTGGCAACTGTGTCCATCACTATAGTTTTGTGATTTAGAGAATGTTAAATAAATGGAATCATAAAGGATATAGCCTTCTGAGATTGACCTTATTTCACTTGGCGTAATTCCCTTGAGATCGGACCACAATTGTTTTGCATATCAGTACTCCTTATTCACAATTTTGAAATTCTTCACCTGGATGGGGCTGGAGAGAACTTGATGCTTTCCCCAGAATGAAGAGTCCCAATTTATATATCAGTGTTAGGAAGAAAACAAAACAAATACTTAAGGTGAGATTTTCATGGACTTCAAAAAAAAAACAAACAACTTTTATTTTAAGTTCAGGGGTGCATGTGCAGGTTTGTTAAATAGGTAAACTTGTGTCATGGGGTATGTTGTACAGATTATTTCATCACCCACGTATTAAGCCTATTATCCATTAGTTATTTTTCCTGATCCTCTCCCTCCTCCCACCCTCCAACCTCCAATAGGCCCCAATGTGTGTTGTTCTCCTCTATGCATCCATGTGTTCTTATCATTTAGCTCCACTTATAAGTGAGAACATGTGGTATTTAGTTTTCTGTTCCTGAAATCGTTTGCTAAGGATAATGGCATCCAGTTCCATCTATGTTCCTGCAAAGGAGATTATCTTGTTCTTTGTTGTGGCTGAATAGTATTCCATGGTATACATGTACCACATTTTCTTTTTCTTTTCTTTTTTTTTTCTATTGAGATGGAGTCTCGCTCTGTTGCCCAGGCTGGAGTGCAGTGGCATGATCTTGGCTCACCGGAACCTCCGCCTCCCAGGTTCAAGTGATTCTGCTGTCGCAGTCTCCCCTGAGTAGCTGAGATTACAGGTGTGTGCCACCATGCCTGGCTAATTTTTGTATTTTTAGTAGAGATGGGGTTTCACCATTTTGCCCAGGCTGGTCTTGAACTCCTGACCTCAAGTGATCTGCCCACCTTGGCCTCCCAAAGTGCTGGGATTACAGGCATGAGCTACTGTGCCTGGCCTTTATCATAGAATGATTTATATTCCTTGGGGGATATACTCAGTTATGGTATTACTGGGTCAAATTGTATTTCTGCTTTTAGGTCTTTTAGGAATCACCACACCAATTTCTACAGTGGTTGAACTAATTTACTCCAACCAACAATGTTTAAGCATTCCTTTTTCTCCACAACCTCACCAGCATCTGTTATTTTTTGACTTTTTTAATAATAGCCATTCTGACTGGTGTGAGATGGTATTTCATTGTGGTTTTGGTTAGCACTTCTCTAATCATCAGTTATGTTGTTGAACTTTTGTTCATATGATTGTTGGCTGCATGTATGTCTTCTTTTGAAAAGGGTCTGTTCATATCCTTTGCCCACTTCATAATGGGTTTTTTTTTCCTTGTAAATTTACAAAAACAGGAGCATAGATCAATGGAACAGAAGAGAGAACCGAGAAATAAGGCCACACACCTAAGACCATCTGATCTTGGACAAAGCTGACAAAAATAAGTAATGGGGAAAAGACTCCCTATCCAGTAGATGGTGCTGGGATAACTGACTAGCCATATGCAGAAGATTGAGGCTAGACCCCTTCCCCACACCATATACAGAAATCAACTCTAGATGCTTAAACACTTAAATGTGAAACCCAAAACTATAAAAACCCTAGAAGACAACATAGGCAATACCATTTTGGACATAAGAACAGGCAAAGATTGCACGGCAAAGATAAAAAAGGTAATTGCAACAAAAGCAAAAATTGACAAATGGGATCTAATTAAACTAAAGAGCATCTATACAGCAAAGGAAACTATCAACAGAGTAAAGAGACAACCTACAGAATGGAGGAAAATGTTTGCAAACTGTGAATTTGACAAAGGTCTAATTTCCAGCATCCATAAGGAACTTGAACAAATTTCATGGACTATTTTAAAAAGTGTGTCATTAATATAAAACTATTTATATTAGCAGTATTTAATCATTAACACCTGTAAAGAAAAAGAAAAATAGAAGGTAAATGTTCTTACTGAGATAGCAGAGCTTTAAGATTCATTTTCATTTTAAGTTTTATTTTTCCAGTGTATTAACATTCAGAGGTCTGTTATACTAACATTAATTATTAATGTTTTCATTTCCATAATAGTTAAGAGCTTTTTCAAGCACTCATGTCTGTAAAAAATATTTTAAAGTTTTTTTTTGTCGTAGCAGGAAAAAAATAGAAAAATATAGTTTGTTCTTTTTAATTGCTGAGTAGTATTCCATGGTAAGATGTACCATAGTTTCCTTGACCGTTCAAACATTGAAGGACATTTGGACTGTTTCCAGTTTCTGGCTATTATAAATAAAGCTATGAACATTCGTATACAGGTTTTTGTGCAGACCTACGTTTTCATTTCTTTAGGGCAAATACACCTGAGTTTTTTGGGGTGTATGTTTCATTTCTTTAGGGTAAATACACCTGAGTTAATTGTTGGGGAGTATGGTAAGTGTATGTTTAACTTTATAATAGACTGTCAAGCTGTTTTCACAGTAGTGGTACTATTGATATGGCTCCAATGGGTGGAGGAACACCAGGGGTCTTGTCTCCAGTCTAACTGGAAAAAACGACACAGACACACATGGAGTGGTTTTAAGGAGCGGAGAGTTTAGTAGGCAAGAAAGAAGGGAGAAGAAAGAAAGAAGCTCCTCTGTATAGAGACAGAGGGAGGGGGGCTCCAAAGCTGAGAGAGGGAACCCTAAGTGCCACGGATACCAGCCAGTTTTATGAGTAGGCTGGAGGAGGTGGTGTCTGATTTGCATAGGGCTCAGGGGATTGGTTTGACCAGGCATGTCATTCACGTAGCCGGTGAAAAAGCTGGCACTCTCACCCTAGCCTTTTAATATGCAAATGCAGGGCGTAATGATGTTCCACACACGTGGGGATAGGGGGGGTTGGGCGTGTTGCTAGGATCATGTGGGGCAAGGGCAAGAAGGCCGCGGGAATTGCCATGTTTGGGTGGACCCAGTTTCTAATGTCCTGTATTTGCATATGAAAGGTTGCCAGCCTGGCTCTAAGAGCTGCTTTAAAAACGAAAACTTCCCAAGGATCCCTTTTCCTCTCTATCTGCCTAAAATAATTTCTTAATAACTACTACAACAGTATTGTATGATATAATCCCATATCGATGTATAAGAGATTCACTTGCACTGTATCCATGCTAGTCTTTGGTATTGGCAATATTCTTTATTATAGTCATTCAACTAAGAGTGTAGTGGCACGAACTTAAATTTATGAAGTTATGGGCTGGGCGCAGTGTCTCACACCTGTAATCCCAGCACTTTGGGAGGCCAAAGCTGGAGGATTGCTCGAGTCTAGGAGTTCAAGACCAGCCTGTGCAACATGGCGAAATCCTGTCTTAACTAAAAATACGAAAAATTAGCTGGGCATGGTGGTGCATGCCTGTAGTCCCAGCTACTTGGGGGGCTAAGGTTCAAGGATCCGTGAACCTGGGAGGTCGAGGTTGCAGTGAGCTGAGATTGCACCACTGTACTCCAGCCTGGGCAACCGGAGTGAGCCCTTGCCTCAAAAAATAAAAAATAAAAAAGTTATGAAGACATGCAACTAAGTAAGAATTTAAAATTGAAAAGTGCTATCTCAGCCGGGTTTGGTGGCTTACGCCTGTAATCCCAGCACTTTGAGAAGCTGAGGCAGGCGGATCACCTGAGGTCAGAAGTTTGAGACCAGACTGGCCAATATGGTAAAACCTCATCTCTACTAAAAATACAAAAAAAATCTGGGTGTGATGGTGGACTGAGGCATGAGAATCGCTTGAACCTGGAGGCAGAGGTTGCAGTGAGGTGAGATTGTGCCACCACTCCAGCCTAGGAGACAGAGCCAGACTCTGTCTCAAAAAAAAAAAGAAAGAAAAAAGAAAAGTGCTATCTCTCTGATGCTTACTTCTATTTAATTGCTACAATTTCATTCTTATTTTCTTAAAAAAATTCACTTTACATGTGTTAAGAACACTTAACATGAGTCTACTTCCTTAAAATATTAAGTGTACAGTATAGTATTGTTGACCATAGACACAATGTTGTACTGTAGGTCTCTAGAACTTATTCATCTTGCTTAACTGAACCTTTAGGCCTGTTGATTATTAATTCCCCATTTCCCCTTGGAAACAGTATTCTACTCTTTGCTTTTATGAATTTGACGTTTTAGAGTCCTCATATAAATGGAATCATGCAGTATTTGTCTTTCTGTGACTATTTCACTTATCATAATGTCCTCAAGGTTTATCCAGGTTGTCGCACATTACAGAATTTTCTTCTTTTAAGGCTGAACAATATTCCATTGTCTATATATGCATTTTCTTTGTCTATTCATCTATCGGTGGACATTTAGGTTGTTTCTATATCCTGGCTATTGTATGAATAGTGCTACAATAAATATGGGAGCACTAATATCTCTTCAAGATCCTGATTTCAATACTTTTGGATAAAGACCCAGACGTGGGATTGTTGGATTACAATAGAACAATAGAACAATAGTTCTATTTTTAATTTTTGAGGAACTTCCATACTGTTTTCTATAGGGGTTGCATCATTTTGCATTCCTATCAATAGTGTAAAAGGGTTCCAATTTCTCCACATCCTCCTCAACAATTACCTTAAATTTTCCCATACCAATCATCTTTATTTCCTTCTCCTGCCTGATTGCCCTGGCCAGAACTTCCAACACTATGTTGAATAGGAGTGGTGAGAGAGGGCATCCCTGTCTTGTGCCAGTTTTCAAAGGGAATGCTTCCAGTTTTTGCCCATTCAGTATGATATTGGCTGTGGGTTTGTCATAGATAGCTCTTATTATTTTGAGATACGTCCCATCAATTCCTAATTTATTGAGAGGTTTTAGCATGAAGGGTTGTTGAATTTTGTCAAAGGCCTTTTCTGCATCTGTTGAGATAATCATATGGTTTTTGTCATTGGTTCTGTTTATATGCTGGATTACGTTTATTGATTTGTGTATGTTGAACCAGCCTTGCATCCCAGGGATGAAGCCCACTTGATCATGGTGGATAAGCTTTTGATGTGCTGCTGGATTCGGTTTGCAAATATTTTATTGAGGATTTTTGCATCGATGTTCATCAGGGATATTGGTCTAAAGTTGTCTTTTTTTGTTGTGTCTCTGCCATGCTTTGGTATCAGGATGATGCTGGCCTCATAAAATGAGTTATGGAGGATTCCCTCTTTTTCTATTGATTGGAATAGTTTCAGAAGGAATGGTACCAGCTCCTCCTTGTACCTCTGGTAGAGTTAGGCTGTGAATCCATCTGGTTGTGGACTTTTTTTGGTTGGTAAGCTATTAATTATTGCCTCAATTTCAGAGCCTGTTATTGGTCTATTCAGAGATTCAACTGCTTCCTGGTTTAGTCTTGGGAGGGTGTATGTGTCCAGGAATCTATCCATTTCTTCTAGATTTTCTAGTTTATTTGCGTAGAGATGTTTCTAATATTCTCTGATGGTAGTTTGTATTTCTGTGGGATCGGTGGTGATATCCCCTTTATCATTTTTTATTGCATCTATTTGATTCTTCTCTCTTTTCTTCTTTATTAGTCTTGCTAGCGGTCTATCAATTTCGTTGATCTTTTCAAAAAACCAGCTCCTGGATTCATTGATTTTTTGAAGGGTTTTTTGTGTCTCTATTTCCTTCAATTCTGCTCTAATCTTAGTTATTTCTTGCCTTCTGCCAGCTTTTGAATGTATTTGCTCTTGATTCTCCAGTTCTTTCAATTGTGATGTTAGGGTGTCAATTTTAGATCTTTCCTGTTTTCTGTTGTGGGCATTTAGTGCTATAAATTTCCCTCTACACACTGCTTCAAATGTGTCCCAGAGATTCTGGTATGTTGTGTCTTTGTTCTCGTTGGTTTCAAAGAACATCTTTATTTCTGCCTTCATTTTGTTATGTACCCAGTAGTCATTCAGGAGCAAGTTGTCCAGGGCAATCAGGCAGGAGAAGGAAATAAAGGGTATTCAATTAGGAAAAGAGGAAGTCAAATTGTCCCTGTTTGCAGATGACATGATTGTATATCTAGAAAACTTCATCGTCTCAGCCCAAAATCTCCTTAAGCTGATAGGCAACTTCAGCAAAGTCTCAATATACAAAATAAATGTGCAAAAATCACAAGCATTCTTATACACCAATAACAGACAAACAGAGAGCCAAATCATGAGTGAACTCCCATTCACAATTGCTTCAAAGAGAATAAAATACCTAGGAATCCAACTTACAAGGGACGTGAAGGACCTCTTCAAGGAGAACTACAAACCACTGCTCAGTGAAATAAAAGAGGATGCAAACAAATGGAAGAACATTCCATGCTCATGGGTAGGAAGAATCAATATCGTGAAAATGGCCATACTGCCCAAAGTAATTTATGGATTCAATGCCATCCCCATCAAGCTACCAATGACTTTCTTCACAGAATTGGAAAAAGCTACTTTAAAGTTCATATGGAACCAAAAAAGAGCCCACATCGCCAAGTCAATCCTAAGCCAAAAGAACAAAGCTGGAGGCATCACGCTACCTGACTTCAAACTATACTACAAGGCGACAGTAACCAAAACAGCATGGTACTGGTACCAAAGCAGAGATATAGACCAATAGAACAGAACAGAGCCCTCAGAAATAATGCCACATATCTACAACCATCTGATCTTTGACAAACCTGACAAAAACAAGAAATGGGGAAACAATTCCCTATTTAATAAATGGTGCTGGGAAAACTGGCTAGCCATATGTAGAAAGCTGAAACTGGATCCCTTCCTTACACCTTATACAAAAATTAATTCAAGATGTATTAAAGACTTAAATGTTAGACCTAAAACCATAAAAACCCTGGAAGAAAACCTCGGCAATACCATTCAGGACATAGGCATAGGCAAGGACTTCATGTCTAAAACACCAAAAGCAATGGTAACAAAAGACAAAATTGACAAATGGGATCTAATTAAACTAAAGAGCTTCTGTACAGCAAAAGAAACTACCATCAGAGTGAACAAGCAACCTACAGAATGGGAGAAAATTTTTGCAATCTACACATCTGACAAAGGGCTAATATCCAGAATCTACAATGAACTCAAATAAATTTACAAGAAAAAAACAAATAACCCCATCAAAAAGTAGGCAAAGGATATGAACAGACACTTCTCAAAAGAAGACATTTATGCAGCCAAAAGACACATGAAAAAATGCTCATCATCACTGGCCATCAGAGAAATGCAAATCAAAATCACAATGAGATACCATCTCATACCAGTTAAAATGGCAATCATTAAAAAGTCAGGAAACAACAGGTGCTGGAGAGGATGTGGAGAAATAGGAACACTTTTACACTGTTGGTGGGACTGTAGACTAGTTCAACCATTGTGGAAGTCAGTGTGGTGATTCCTCAGGGATCTAGAGCTAGAAATACCATTTGACCCAGCAATCCCATTACTGGGTATATACCCAAAGGATTACAAATCATGCTGCTATAAAGACATATGCACACGTATGATTATTGTGGCACTATTCACAATAGGAAAGACTTGGAACCAAGCCAAATGTCCAACAATGATAGACTGGATTAAGAAAATGTGGCACATATACACCATGGAATACTATGCAGCCATAAAATATGATGAGTTCATGTCCTTTGTAGGGACATGGATGAAGTTGGAAACCATCATTCTCAGCAAACTATCACAAGGACAAAAAGCTAAACACCGCATGTTCTCACTCATAGGTGGGAACTGAACAATGAGAACACATAGACACAGGAAGGGGGAACATCACACACCAGCGCCTGTTGTGGGGTCGGGGGAGAGGGGAGGGATAGCATTAGGAGCTATACCTAATGTTAAATGATGAGTTAATGGGTGCAGCACACCAACATGGCACATGTGTACGTATGTAACTAACCTGCACGTTGTGCACATGTACCCTAAAACTTAAAGTGTAATAAAACAAAAGACATTTAAAAAAATCATCTTTACAGATGCAAAGTGATATTTCCTTGTGGTTTTGATTTGCATTTTTCTGATGATTAATGACATTGAACATCTTTTCATATACCTGTTGACCATTTGTATGTCTTTAGAGAAATGCCTCTTCGAGTCTTTAGCCCATTTTTAAATTGGGATATTAGTATTTTTGCTCTTGAGTAGTAGTAATTCCTTATATATTTTGAAAATATATATTTTGAAAAACTCCTTCTTGGATAAATGGTTTGCAAATATTTTCTTCCAATCTATAATTTGCCCTTTCACAATGTTGATGGTTTTCTTTGTTCTGCAGAAGCTTTTTAGTTTGATGTAGTCCTACTTATCTATTTTTGCTTTTGTTGCCTGTGCTTCTGGTGTCATATCTATGCAATGAATGCCAAGAACAATGACAAGGGGATTTTTCCCTGTATTTTCTTTGTTTTTCTTCAACTTTAATTTTAATTTCCATGGTACATGTGCAGGATGTCCAGTTTTGTTACATAGATAAATGTGTGTCATGGTGGTTTGCTGCACAGATTAATCCATCACCTAGGTGTTAAGCCCAGCATCCATTAGCTAGTCTTCCTGATGTCTTTCTCTCTCCCCTGCCAACAGGCCTCAGTGCATGTTGTTCCCCCCATGTGTCCATGTGTTCTCATCCATCAGCTCCCACTTATAGGTGAGAACATGTGGTGTTTGGTTTTCTGTTCCTGTGTTAGTATGCTGAAGATAATGGCTTCTAGCTCCATCCATGATGATCTCCATCAGATCATGCAAAGGATATGATCTTGTTCCTTTTTATGGTTCCATAGTATTCATGGTGTATATATACCACATTTTCTTTATTCAGTCTATCATTGATTGAAATTTGGGTTAATTTCATGTTTTTGCTATTGTTAATAGTGCTGCAATGAACATATGCATGCATGTGTCTTTATAATAGAATAATTTATATTCCTTTGGGTGTATACTCAGTAATGGTATTACTGGGTCAAATGGAATTTCTGCTTTTAGGTTTTTGAGAAATCGCCATACCAATTTCCACAATAATTCAACTGATTTACACTCTCACCAACAATATGTAATCATTCCTTTTTCTCCACAACCTCACCAGCATCTGCTATTTTTTGACTTTTTAATAAAAGCCATTCTGACTGGTGTGAATGATATCTCATTGTGGTTTTGATTAGCATTTCTCTAACGATTGGTTATGTTGTTGAACTTTTGTTCATATGATTGTTTGCTGCATGTATGTCTTCTTTTGAGAAATGTCTGTTCACGTCCTTTGCCCACTTTTTAATTGGGTTGTTTGTCTTGTTCTTGTGAATTTAAGTTCCTTGTAGACTCTGGATATTAGAACTTTGTGAGAAAATTTCTTGCAGAAATTTTCTCCCATTCTGTAGGTTGTCAGTTCACTCTGATGATAGTTTATTTTTGCTGTGCAGAAGCTCTTTAGTTTAATTAGATCCCATATGTCAATTTTTGCTTTTGTTGCAATTGCTTTTGGCATTTTCATCATGACATCTTTGCTGTTGCCTATGTCCTGCATGGTATTGCCTAGGTTTTCTTCTAGCATTTCTACAGTTTTTGGTTTTACATTTATGTCTTTACTCCATCTTGAGTTAATTTTTGTATAAAGTGTAAGGAAAGGGTCCAGTTTCAATTTTCTGCATGTGGCTAGCCAGTTTTCCCAGCACCATTTAGTAAATAGAGATTCCTTTCCCCATTGCTTGTTTTTGTCAGGTTTGTTGAAGATCAGATGGTTGTAGGTGTGCAATCTTATTTCTGAGTTCTCTATTCTGTTCCATTGGTCTATATGTCTGTTTTGGTACCAGTACAATGCTGTTTTGGTTACTGTAGCCTTGTAGAGTAGTTTAAAGTTGAGTAGCGTGATGCCTCCAGCTTTGTTCTTTTTGCTTAGGACTGTCTTGGCTATATGAGCTCTCTTTTGGTTTCATATAAATTTTAAAATAGTTTTTTCTAGTTCTGTGAAGAATGTCAAGGATAATTTAATGGGAAGAGCATTGAATCTATAAATTACTTTGGGTAGTATGGCCATTTTCACGATATTGATTCTTCCTATCCATGAGCATGGAATATTTTTCCATTTGTTTGCATCCTCTCTGATTTCCTTGAGAAATGATTTGTAGTTCTCCTTGAAGAGGTCCTTCATTTCCCTTGTTAGCTGTATTCTTAGATTTTTTATTCTGTTTGTAGAAATTGCAAATGGGAATTCATTTATAATTTGGCTCTCTGCTTGTCTGTTGCTAGCGTATAGGAATGCTAGCAATTTTTGCACTTTGATTTTGTATCCTGAGACTGCTGAAGTTGCTTATCAGCTTAAGAAGGTTTTGGGCTGAGATGATGGAGTTTTCTAGATATGGGATTATGTCATCTGCAAACAAAGATAATTCGACTTTCTCTCTTCCTATTTGAATATGCTTTATTTCTTTCTCTTGCCTGATTGCCCTGGCCAGAACTTCCAATACTGTGTTGAATAGGAATGGTGAGAGGGCATCCTTGTCTTGTGCCAGTGTCCAAGGAGGATGCTTCCAGCTTTTACCCATTCATTATATTGGCTGTGGGTTTGTATATATGGCTCTTATTATTTTGAGGTATGTTCCTTCAGTATCTAGTTTATTAAGTGTTTTTAACATGAAGGGATGTTGAATTTTATCAGAGGCCTTTTCTACATCTATTGAGATAATCATGTGGTTTTTGTCTTTACTTCTGTTTATGTTATGAATTATACTTACTGATTTGCATATGTTGAACCAAACTTTCATCCTTGGGATGAAGTCAACTTGACCACGGTGGATAAGCTTTTTCGTGTGCTGCTGGATTTGGTTTGCCAGTGTTTTATTGAGGATTTTTGTATCAATGTTCATCAGGGATATTAGCCTGAAATTTTCTTTACTTGTTGTATCTCTGCCAGGTTTTGGCATCAGGATAATGCTGGCTGTATAAAATGAGTTAGGGAAGAACCTTTCCTTTTCAATTATTTGAAATGGTTTCAGTAGAAATGGAACCAGCTCCTCTTTGTACCTCTGGTAGAATTCGTCTGTAAATCCATCTGGTCCTGGTCTTTTTTTTTTTTTTTTTTTTTTGGTTGGTAGGCTATTTATTACTGCCTCAATTTCAGAACTCATTATTGGTCTATTCAGGGATTTAATTTCTTCCTGTTTCTGTCTTGGGAGGGTGTATGTGTCCAGGAATTTATCTATTTCTTCTAGATTTCTCTTGCCTAGTTTATGTGCATAGAGATGTTTATAGTATTCTCTGATGGTTTGTATTCTGTGGGGTCAGGGTGATATCCCCTTTATCATCTTTTATTGTGTCTATTTGATTCTCCTCTCTTTTCTTCTTTATTAGTCTAGCTAGTGGCCTATCTATTTTATTAATTTTTTTTTTCAAAAAAACAACTCCTGGATTTGTTGATTTTTTGAAGGTTTATTTGTGTCTCTATCTCCTTCAGTTCAGCTCTGGTTTTGGTTGTTTCTTGTCTTCTGCTAGCTTTGAGGTTTATTTGCTCTTGGTTTTCTAGTTCTTTTAGTAGTGATGTTCACTTGTCAATTAGAGATCTTTCTAGCTTTTTGATGTGGAGCATTTAGTGCTATAAATTTCCCTTTTAACACCTCTTTAGCTGCGTCCCAGATATTCTCGTACGTTGTCTCTTTGTTCTTCTTAGTTTTAAAGAACTTGATTTCTGCCATGATTTCATTATTTACCCAGGAGTCATTCAGGAGCAGGTTGTTCAATTTCCATGTAGTTATGTGGTTTTGAGTGAGTTTCTAATTTGAGTTCTAATTTGATTGTGCTGAGTCTGAGATACTGTTTGTTATGATCTCAGTTCTTTTGCATTTGCTGAGGAGTGTTTTACTTCCAATTATGCAATCAATTCTAGAGTCAGTCTATGTGGCAATGGGAAGAATGTATGTATATTCTGTTGGTTTTGGGTGGAGAGTTCTGTAGATATCTGTCAGGTCCACTTGATCCAGAGCTGAGTTCAGGTCCTGAATATGTTTGTTAATTTTCTGTCTCAATGATTTGTCTAAAATCATCAGTGGGGTGTTGAAGTTTCCCATTGTTATTGTATGGAAGTCTAAGTCTCTTTGTAGGCCTCTAAGACCTTGCTTTATGAATCTGGGTGCTCCTGTATTGGGTGCATATATATTTAGGATAGTTAGCTCTTCTTGGTGAATTGAACACTTTACCATTCCTTTCTTTGTCTTTTTGATCTTTGTTAGTTTAGGATCGCAATCCCTGCTTTTTTCTGTTTTCCATTTACTTGGTAAATTTTTCACCATTCCTTTATTTTGAGCCTATGTGTGTCTTTGCATATGAGATGGGTTTCTTGAACACAGCATACTGATGGATCTTGACTTTTTCCAGCTTGCCATTCCGTGTCTTTTAATTGGGGCATTTAGCCCATTTACATTTAAGGTTAATACTGTGATGTGATTTGATCCTGTCATTATGATGCCGGCTGGTTATTTTGCAGACTTGTTTATGTAGTTGCTTCGTAGTATCTCTAGTCTGTGTACTTCAGTGTGTTTTTGTAGTGGCTGGTAACAGTTTTTCCTTTCCATATTTAGTGCTTCCTTCAGAAGCTCTTGCAAGGCAGGCCTGGTGGTGATGAATTCCCTCAGCATTTGCTTGCCTTAAAAGGATCTTATTTCTCCTTTGCTTATGAAGCTTAGTTTGGCTGGATATGAAATTCTGGGTTGGACACTCTTTTCTTTAAGAATGTTGAATATTGTCCCCCAGTCTCTCCTGGCTTGTAGGGTTTCTGCTGAAAGGCCCATTTTTAGTCTGATGGGCTTCCCTTTGTGGGTGGTCTGGCCTTTCTTTCTGGCTACGCTTAGAGGAGTTCTGGTGGGAACTCCTCTCATTTTTTCTTTCATTTCAACTTTGGAGAATCTGATGATTATGTGTATTGGAGTTGAACTTCTCATGGAGTATCTTACTGGGTTTTGAATTTGAATGTTAGCCTGTCTTGCTAGGTTGAGAAAGTTCTCATGGATGATATTCTTTTTTTTTTTTTTTTTTTGATTCAAAGTCTCACTCTGTTGCCCAGCTTGAGTTCAGTGGTGTGATCTTGGCTCACTACAGCCTCCACCTCCAGGGTCCAAATGACTCTCCTGCCTCAGCCTCCTGAGTAGCTGGGACTACAGGCACATGCAACCTCACTGAGCTAATTGTTATATTTTCAGTAGAGATGGGGTTTCACCATGTTGGCCAGGCTGGTCTTGAACTCTTGGCCTCAAGTGGTCCACCTGCCTCGGCCTCCTAAAGTGCTAGAATAACAGGTGTAAGCTACTGCACCTGGCCTCCTGGATGATATCCTAAAGTATGTTTTCCAACTTGGTTCTGTTCTCCCCCTCTCTTTCAGGTACCCCAATCAGTAGTAGGTTCAGTCTTTTCTCATATGTTTTGTTTGTTCCTTTTCATTTTTTCTTTATCTTGTCTACCTGTCATATTTCAGAAAGATAGTCTACAATCTCTGAGATGCTTTTCTCTGCTTGGTCTATTTGGTTATTGATACTTGTGTGACTGCATTGTGAAGTTCTCGGTGTGTTTTTTAGCTTCATCAAGTCATTTATGTTCTTCTCTAAACTGGCTATTATTCTGGTTATCTGCTTCTGTAATGTTTTATCATGATTCTTAGTTTCTTTGCATTGGGTTAGAACACGCTCCTTTAGCTCAGCGAAGTTAGTTATTACCCACCTTTGGAAGCCTACTTCTGTCAATTCAGCCATCTCAGCCTCAGCCTAGTTCTGTGCCCTTGCTGGAGAGCTGTCATGATCATTTGGAGGAGAAGAGGCACTCTGGCTTTTTGAGTTTTCAGCATTTTTGTATTGATTCTTTCTCATCTTTGTGGGTTTATCTACCTTCAATCTTTAAGGTTGCCGACCTTTGAATGGGGTTTCTGTGGGGTCTTTTTTGTTGATGTTGTTCTTGTTGTTGCTTTCTATTCTGTTTTTCTTTTAACTGTCAGGCCCCCCTTCTGTAGAGCTGCTGTGGTTTGCTGGGGGTCCACTCCAGATCCTAATCGTCTCAGTCCCTCCCACACCTGGAGGTATCACCACTGAAGGCTGAAAAACAGCAAAGATGGCAGCCAGCTCCTTCCTCTGTAAGCTTTGTCCCGGGGGATTGATCTAATGAGGGCCCAAATGCTCCTTTAGGAGGTGTCTGGAGACCCCTGTTGGGAGGTCTCACTCAGTCAGGAGGAACAAGATCAGGGACCATCTGAAAGAAGCAGTCTGGCTGCCCCTTGGCAGAGCAGGTGCACTGTGCTGGTGGGAACTCCTCTCATCCACACTGCCCATATTCTCCAGAGCCAGCAGGCAAGAAAGGTTAAGTCCACTGAACCACAGAGACCATGGCCGCCCCTGCCCCCAGGGGCTCTGTCCCGGGGAGATTAGGGTTTTGTCAGTAAAATCCTGGCCGGAGTTGCTGAAATTCATGCACGGAGGCTCCTCCCAGTGAGGAGGGATGGATTGGGTTCCCACATAAAGAAGCAGTCTGGCCATGAACTGCCACAGCAACTGTGCTGCACTGTGGGGAATTCCTCATGGTTTGGACTGCCCAAACTCTCCAAAGCCAGCAGGCCAGGACCCCCAACTCGAGCTGTAGAGATGGCAGCTGCCCTTCTCCCCTCGTTGGAACTCAGTTGTCTCAGGTAGTCTCCAGCCTGCTGCCACTGGCTGGCTGGAATTCCAAGCCAGTGGGTCTTAACTTGTGAGGTGCCACGGGAGTGAGTTCCACAGAATGATGTCACTTGGCTCCCTGGTTTCAGCCTCCTTCCTAGGGGAATGCACAGACTCTTGCCTCACCAGAATTCCTGGGGCCAGAGTATGCAAAAACTCCTGGGTTTCTGTGCATGCCTGAGAAGCTGCCAAGAGCCTGCACAGCTCTGGGCTTCGGACCCAAGGCCCTGGAGGTAGGGGGCAAGCTCACAAGGAGATCTTCTGATCCGAGGGTTGCAAAGATCTGTGGGAAAAGTGTGGTTTCCCGGGCAGGGTGGCACAATCACTCACTGCCTCCCTTGGCTGGAGGTGGGGACTTCCCTGGCTCCATGCCATTCCTGGGTGGGCTGTCACCCCATCCTGCTTTTTCTTGCTTTCCGTGGGTCTCATTGACTGCCTAGTCAGTCCCAATGCCAGAACCTGGATACCTCCGTTGAAGGTGCAGAATTCACTCACCATTTTCATTCTTCTCTGTGAAAGCTGCAGACCACAGCTGCTTCTAACTGGCCATCTTGGCCTGTCCCCCACTCCTAGATACCTGTATTTTCTTCTAGGAGTTTTACAGTTTAAGGTATTATGTTTAAGTCTTTAATCTATTTTGAGTTGATTTTTGTGTGTGGGTGTAAAATAAGGACCAATTTCATTCTCATATTTAGAGATGTCTTGACCAACATGCTTTTTTAGGTTCTGACAGAGGGAAATTTCCCTGTTCAAGTGGGTCCAGGTCAGTGTCAAAGTATGGAGCTGAAATCACTGAAAGGCGTTCTGGGAAAGTTTTGGTGAGATGTTTAGAGTGTTCTACATGAAAAACTTCAGTAGGCCAATACATTTGAAAAAAGCTACGTACTCTGACCCCTTCCACCTTCCTTGAATATTATTATGCTCATTAGTAGCATATTAATGGACTCAAAAAGTCCTGTCGTGAAGGACTTTGCTGTCCTGTCATCTGCTTGACATTATTTAGCACAGCATTTCCCAAATTCACATGATTATGACATACACACTTCCTAACAAATATATACTTTACAATTAATCAGTTTGTTTTTTTACAAAGGCCTATTATCTCATGGAATAGTTATTTTCTTCAGAACAGAGTCCAGGTGACACTGAGCTACATCATAACATTGAAATAAGCTGGATTTGGGATAGAAGTCCTGGGCCCACAGCAGCTATTTGTTAAAGCCAGGAAGGTCAGAGTATATTCAAGCTAAATATCAGAGTAAGGTAATACCCCAGCAGCTAAGGAGGCTCTGAGAGTTTCAAGGAAGCAAGAGGCATGAGACAGATACTGTTACCATGGTAGGTCAAGCTCCAGGTCAGGGACCAGTGATTGGACATATAAGAAAGAAAACTGACACCAGAGAAAAGCAATTACAAAGTGATAATGTGGTGCTGATAACGAGGCAAGGCTTTGGCAGAGCTAGAGATTTCACCTTCACTTTCTCCTTGGGCAGAAACCAAGTCTAGGGGCATAAGTGAGGCTTCAGGCCTGGCAGGGGCTGGAGCTGACTAGGGAATTGTAGGATAGTAAGCCTAGCTGGTCCATTGAGTCAATGGAGTCTGAAGGTCCACATGTGAGCCTGGCTGGAGGACACGTGGGGCAGGTTCCAGAGGGCATGTGTCCCAGGGATCTAGGACTTGTAGGTTGCAAGGATCATTTCCAAGGTCTCACAATATAACATTCAGAGGTGACTCCAGGCAGGAATAGGGTGGGATGCCAGCCAAAGCCCAGAGAACAGAATGTTAGTATCAAAAAATCTAGTAGCCTATGTTGGGCAACTAGTCCCTGACATCTGGAAATAGGAGGTAGAAACCCTAATAGTGGCAGTCTGAAGGTAGGAGTTTAAAGACAGAGATTCTAGGTTCTCAGCGCTCTCCAAACAGCTCCTCCTCTGTCTAAAATCACATCTATACCTAGAGTTGGGGCGCAATTGAGCTTACAAATGAGGGTGAGAGTTGGGTGAAATGTGAGAGTTGGGTCAAGCAAGGCAGTATAATCAAAGCCTAGAAAAACAGGTTGAAAATGAGAGAAACAGGTGAGTGAGCCCCTGACTTAAATGAGAGAACAAATGGGTGGAAATGATGTCACATCTGGATGCAGAAAAACTGGCATTGTCCTGGAACAAGGTTCTTGGTGGATCCTGAATCTAAATCTCATAAAGTGTGAAACTAGATGCCAGTATGATCAAATGCTTCCCTCCACCATTCAAACTGGTCATTAAATCATCTTCCAGAAGTTTGGGTTAAGTTTTACTTTAGAAAAACGAATGATCTATTTAGTAGCTCCAGACATCTGCGACTCAAGGACTAGAGTATTATGTAAATGGAAGGTACATTAGAGGTCATTTAATCACATTTCTCACTCCAGAGCTCTCCAGTGCATACTTCATTGCAATTGAAATTTATGACCCCTAGAACTTAAAAACATCACCCATTCAACCCTTGAGCTCTGAAACAAGTCAAGTGCAACAAATCAAGTGCAAAGTTTAGAATTTTTAACAGGCAAGCAAATGCAGGCAGTGACAATAGCCAGAATACATCATTCAGTGGCAATGATAATCTACACAACTCCAATTCAGCAGCCAGTTGGCAACTCTAAATTTCCTTTTGAGTTCTACAGATGTAGCTGAAAGTCCCAGCTACATGGTTAAACAGCTCTTGTGCCATGAACTGAACATTTCCAAGTAAGTTTCTACAGGTGCACTGCAGATACAGTCGACCTAATAAAACCAACCACCACAATAAAAATGATTATCTGCATCCCCACCCTCCCACCTTATAATTGTTTTGCCTTTATTTCATTGTACAAAGAAAAACAAATCTATAAAAAAGATAAGGTCTAGTCTAATTTCTGTTTTGAAAACATTTTCCAGGAAAATAAATGTTTGCAAACTAAATAAATATGCATGCCCTGGATTTCCCCAGCTAACATGTAAGTTCTTAATCAAGGAAAAATCTCTGGGAGAGGAAACAGTCTTTAGTTAATTATCAAAAAGATAAGCTAGTCTTGGGAGACTATGTTCTCATAGAAGATGATGTCAAAGTTGAAAAGTGCTTTGGTAAATTCAGATGCTTGGGGAGTGCATCATAGTTGTGTATCTCTATCACAGCAGAATTCCCCTCTCTCTCAGCTCTACTCAAACCATCTTCCCATGACTGCAGTCAATATTGTTATCCAAGCTCTCAACTATGCTTAATTCTACATTTTCTACCCTCCTTATTTTCTACCCCCTCTCCACTCAAATTTATTGGTCCAGTCACATGGTACATTTTTCAGTTCTCCAAATGGACCCAAATTTCCTTCACAGATCCTTGCTGGAACTGCTGCTTCTGCCTTGAATGCCCTTCCTCCATGTTCAACTGCTTGCTACCTCCTTTTTTTTAATTGGCTAATTCATTCTCATTCTGCAAGAGTTTCCTGTCACCTCTAAGTCCCCACTGGTCATCTAGATGTTCCTGTCTCATTTTTACTTTGTCTACTGTATGCCAGGAGCTGGGCCCAGTAAATACGAGATTAATAAAAGGAAGTTATTAGAAAGTGAGGGGATTGGTAAGAAAGGAAGGAAGGACATTAAGAAGGGAAGATGAGAGGAAGGTAAGCCAGATGTTATGTGGAGCACAAGAACATACAACATTAAATCCAGTAAGAAGATAATGTGGATGCTGTTAGCCAGGTGTTTCCAATTCAACTGGAGTCAATGAGGCACACCCAAGTGAGGCCCTTAAGGTCACAAGTTACAGGACAACATATACAACAATGGTAAAGAATAAACTGCATAATATAAAGTGGGGAAGCAATTAAAATGGAGAATTAGTCACTTTCTGTCCATCCTGGGAACAGAGTGTCTTGCATTCCTTTTTCCTAGGTCCCATCCCTTGTTTTAGGAAAAGTAAAATTTATGTAAAATGTATGTTTCCCTTCTCTCTTTCCTTTCTCTCTGAAATATCCTCATCAGGAAATGGTACAGTGTCTTGGATATGCTTCAGAATAATTTGAGTTTAGGTGAGGGGTGAATGGAACAAAGTTTAAAAACTTTCTAAGCTTTTTCCCTTAGAAAATCTACAAGCCTAGCTGTGAGTTGATTATTGCTGAATCTGAGTTACAGGTACACTGGGGTTTATTAAACTCCTCTAATTCTGTGTATGTTTGAAATTATTCATCATAAAAAACACAAAATAAATCATTTCAAGGACCATGAGTTCTGCTCCAGTGGAGGCCAAGGAATAGTAATTGAATGTTTATACATGGCTTCAACAAAATGTAATGCTCACATGTAATGTATCAGATACTTAACAAGGCCTAAGATATTTATGGTGATAAATGCAACTCTCCCTATGCTCCTGCTTCCCTCACCTGAAGCCTGGTTATCCTGGACCCTGAGTCAGGTCAGAGATGATTTATTTGGGGGGCAATAGTGAAGGTCCTCAATGGCCCTATAGCTGAGAAGTGGTAATAGCTTTCTCCTCTCATTGGATGCCACTGAGGGCCTCTTATATATTAAATATCCACCAAATATGAAAATACTTACCACTGGAGTGCTCTATCTCCTTTCTTGTTTTCAGGGATGTAATATTGGGATAATCAGAGTACATATCTCTTAGGATTGTTGGAGGATTAAGTGAGCTAGTATATAAAATTACCTACAATTTAGGCCAGCATAAATTTTACTATCAGTGATAGTGTCAGCACTAGCATTAGTAATAGGACTGGGGTTTGTATGGGTATTGGAGAGCTATAACGACGTTTTGAGAAAGGAGAGATTTATGTGCATTGGTAAAGAAGAAGGATTCATGGAAGAAGTGAGCCACACTTTGCTGAATAGGTAGCTTATTTTTAGACAGAGGGAGAAGACAGGACTATCTGGGTAGAAGAGCAGGGAAAGACACCACAGAGTTAGTAATGAGCACAGAGTGCAGGGGACAATAAAGAGGAAAGTGTGGAGGTGAGGGAGGAATGTAGGATGGAGAATGAGGCAGGGCTGGGCTGTGGAGGCCTAGAACAGGGCAGCAAAGTTTAGACTTGAAGCAGGAGGAAGGATGGAACCAGGGGAGTGATCTGATGAGGGAGGGGTGAGATGAAAGCATACTTCGGGAGGGTTAGGCTGGCATAAGCACAGGATGTCTTGGCCTTAGGCAAGTTCAGACAAAAAGTTGACAAGAAGTCCCTAAGGAACTGTCATATTCTGAGGTTTGGCCCTGCTTTGGACTCCAAGTTGTAGTTTTGGTGGCCTCCTTGGGAAGGCAGGAGTTTTCCAGTGGACCTAACAGTCTGTTTTTGGGTCTCATCTTACCATCAGCTTTGCTTCTAGGCTATGCTGTCACCTAACATTTATAGGTAATGTAAGCCAAAGGATTCTGCAGGCTGGGATTTTCAAAAGCACCTCCCAGAATGTGCCTAGTCTGGCTTTCCTCCCCTGCAGAGAGGAGAAAATGTGTTGCTCAATTTGGCCAGAGGCCTTTGCAGTCATATGTCCATGGCTGACCTTGGCTTCTCTTTGGCTTACCTTGTGTGCACCTCTCCACTGAGGCATCCCTCTTCTCCACCTGTTCATACATTGCACTTATTTAAACCTTCTCTACCCACCTCTGATTCCCCTGTGGAGTCTCTGAGGAGAAATTTTACTGCCAGGCCCAGTAACAAGGTTTGGAAAGACAACATGTACTGCCAAGCCCAGGATGGCAAGTTAGTGAGAAGCTGAGTCTCACTGCTCCTAGATTTTTGCATTGGCAGTGTTTTACAGTACCCAGGAAGGCTCCCAGTGGGCATGTGTGCCCCACCCCAAGGTAGTGCCTGAGTGGCTGTTCTTGCTCAGCCATAACCTGCTTCGTCCACGCTCTGCACCAGCTGCAGGCTCCACTGCTCCATTTGTGTAGTGGGTGACTTGGGATTCTTGCTGTCTAAGTCCTTTCCAGCTCCAGCCTTTTAGAATTACCCCTAGGACCTTCTCAGTCTCAGTGTGTTGGCCTAGGTGGAATCTTGACTCTAACCAGGGCCGTGGCTGCCCAGAGAGGTGCATGAAATCAATGGCCATGGAGGAGTCACTTCTGCAAACAACAGTCACACACATATACACAACCACACACGCCTGTACTTCCTGTGACTCTGACTCTGACGTCTCTCTCTTCAGAGAGGGGGAATTTGATTTACATGTTGCCCAAGAAGCTTCAGGGTACATATGACCTGTTTCCTTTTCACTAACATCATCCTGCATCTTGTTAAGGTCCTCATCTGAGACAAAACAAAGGGAAAATCTACATGGTTAACACACTCATGTCATCTCAAAGTCACGGCATATCCTGGTCCTTGTACTTTTCCCATTTCCTTGAATTGCCAGAGCTTCTCCTCTGCTTTTCTCTCTTACACATGCAGTGAAACCCAGGGTGCTCAAGGCCCTGCCATGGCCCATGATGCTGTCCCAGAGACTGCAAGTCAAACTTTCAGCTGAAAAGAAGATTTCAGTTTGGTTAGGGGAGACTGGTAACTGAAACCACAGAGAGTTTATGTGGTAAGTTCCTAGTGAGGGGAGAGACTGTCAATGCCTCATGAGCTTTCAGGAAGCTGAGGGGCTTGCTGGTTTGAAGACTTCCAGGGGGCATGCCTGCTGTGGTAGAGATGCAAAAGTTTGGAAGGATTCTGGTTAGAGGAGTGGACACTGGAGACTTCCCAAGGGAATCTGAGCCAATATGCACCTGAGAAAGAGCAGGTGCATGACAAGCCTGAACTTTCCTGTTGGAGGAAGTGTTTCATGGGCAGTTGGAGATAATGTTGGACAGAGAGAAGGAGGGCATCAATGAAGGACACTGGGGATAAGGTGAACAGTCATTGCCTGGAAAGGTGGGCCCAGGCTGCATAGGTAGCTGCTGTGGCACTTATGAGAAGCTCAGTCAAGTGTTGTAACTAGGTTATGAGTAAACCGTACTAAGGAATCCTAAAACAGCTGTGATGAAATGAGCTTTGATAAAAGATCAGTTTGTTTTTTTCAGGCAATATCTTTCTTGAGAGTTGAAGTTTACCTTCCTTTTACACCATTCTACTCTCTACAGTTGCTTAAAGTGACATTTCATGGACTTTGGACAGAAGTTCCCTGTGGGCAGAACAAGCTGCTCACAATTTCAAGGGTGTGTGTGTGTGTGTGTGTGTGTGAAAGAGAGAGAGAGAGGGAGAGAGAGAAGACATCGAGGAGGCAGAAGAAAAAGGATAGTGTAGTGTCTTACTATTGGTGCTCATTGAAAGTGTTTAATCAATGCTGCTAAATTGAACTGAAGGAGAGAGCAGAATTAAAGAGCTGTAGCAGAGCCACCATGCACCCCCTTTCTTGTTTTGTGGCCTCTTTCACCAACCAAATCCATCCCATCTAGTCACCTCTGTAAAAACAGAATGCTGGCAAAATGAGGGTGAACTGCTTGACAATTAATTTCTTTGGGATGTTTTTGCTCTTTCTTACCCTTAGGTCCTGTAGCTTTTCCTAGTCTTTGGATTCATTAACTTTGCTCTACAATACCAAGACTATTGGCAGTACCCGTCATCCTGGGTCAGCCACCTTACAAAAGCAGGGATCCTTCTGAGTAGGAGTCGTTTTGTGTTAAGTTGTCACCACTACTAAAAAGGTCATACAATGGTCTCCTGAGTTTGGGCCCACACTACCATGGTCAATGATGAGCAGAAGGTGACATATGCCACCTGTCCCAAGGAGTTGAGCTTTTACTCCTGTTAAATCAGTAACCAATTAATCGAACAAGTACTAATTGAATGTCCTTTATGCCAATAAGTATTTGGAGAAAGCCTCCCTTCCTTTGATACCCCAGGAATTTTAACTCTGACTTGAGCTTGGACTTGGCCTTGCTCTGGAATCACTTGGTTCTTCTTAACTATTTTTGTTTCTTCCTCTGAAAACCAAAGAAATATCTCTGACTTCTAAGTGCTCATGGGGCAAGTAGAGAACTTGGATAATTAAAAATCAATACAAGAAACTCTTTCCCTGATTAAGTTCTCTAATACTTTTTGGACTATATGGATATTTTCCCCCTTATTTTAAATGTACAGCTCATGTCTAGAGAAAAGAATAGAGAGCAATATAGCAATCGCCTGGGTACCCATTATTCAGTTTTTTAAAAATATCAACATTTAGCAATAGTTGCTTCGGAATTTTGCTTTTAAAAAATGGACGTTTGTATTTTAATCCCAATTATACTATGTGAGCTGGGGATAAGTTGGTTATCTCTTTCTGCTTGATATTTAACATGCAGTGAAGGGTAGGGCTTTATTGAGGGGAAAGTGGCAAAAATTCCAGATTCTACTACAGAAGAATTGTGAAATATGCTTGGTAGAAATTCCAAAACATTTAAAACTGGAGCTTATAAGTTGTACTAATCAAACAGAATGAAAGTAGATCTTAATTTTGTCAACTACAAAAATTTTTAAATTCAACTACAAAAAGTTTTTTTCTACAAAAATTTTCAACTATGAAACATTTTTTAAAGGTTTTGGAAATCCACCCACAACATAATAGTTTATCCATCATTATAACTATTGTTGTTGCCCTCTTTAAATCAGCCTTTTCCAAATGATCATTGGGTGTTTAGAATTTAAGAATATGACTTATTCCTTTGGTTGTAGTCCCTAGAAACCCAAAAGTTCAATGTTACTTTTTCTAGTTTGGCTTGGTTTAACAATTGCCTAGTGTTCTTTGAAAAGAGAGCAGTGCGTGAATAGATAACTCAGCTTCATTAATGAGTTGCTACTTGAGGACTCTGAGCTTAAAAGTTGAGTTGTTTCACTTGGATCACAGAGTTGATTTGCAGAGTATTCATTCACATATATTGAATTAACCAATCTGATAATGATTTATAGAATTTAGAATATGGAAAGCATGTGAATCATAGTGGAAATACTTAGATAAGTTAAAAATGACTAGCAAATCCTAAGATTTTCCATTTCCATTATAGATACGATTAACAATCATTGTCTCTAAGGACAAAGATTATGTAATGTGCTTAAATCCATGCAAGACCAAGAGTAGTCAGTTAAATTCAATTTGATTCACAACAGTGCCCAATGCACTTAGTTGGAAACTATGAGATGTTTAAAAATGACTAATATGTAGCTAGTTCATTGTCATCAAGTTGTGTAGTCAGGCAGACAGGTCTGTACAACTAAAAAGATTAAAAGGTAGCAAGAAGAAAGTGCTATAACAGGCACAGAAATAAGATGTCATGCAATCAGTCAAATGGGAACAGTTTGCTAATTCAGCAAAGATTTATGTGGCAAGTACGGAACAGTACATTCTAACCACCAGGAATGCAGGAAAGCTTAGGATATGATGGTATTTTATTTGGTCTCAAAGAATGGCTAGGATTTCACTAGAAAGAGAAATTGGGTGTGAAGGGTGTAGGCAAGATAGTGAAAGAAGCAAGAAAGGAGGAAAATGGTCCAGAATGAGCAAATAGTGTAAAGATACAGTGTTTTAAAAAGATACCTGTGCTCGCATCTTTATCACAGCACTATTCAGAATAGCAAAGACATAGAATCAACCCAGGTTCTCATCAGTGATGGATTAGATAAAGAAAATATGGTGGATTGGAGAAAGAAAATTCCAACACCACGAAATATTACACAGTCATAAAAAAAAAAAGAATGAAATCATGTCCTTTGCAGCAACATGGATGCAGCTGGGGGCCATTATCCTAAGTGAATTAATTCAGAAAACCAGATGTCACCTCTTCTCACTTATAAGTGGAACCTAAACATTGAGTCCACACAGACACAAAGATGGGAACAAGAGACACTGGGGACTACTAGAGTGGGGAAGGAGGGAGTGGGGTAAGATTTGAAAAACTACCCATTGAATATTATGTTCATTATTTGGTGACAAATCAATGGAAGCCTAAATCTCAGCATTATGCAATCTATCCATAACAAACCTGCACATGGACCCCCTGAATCTGAAAAAATAATGATATGTTTTAAATTTCCATGATTTGTCTACAGTTCCAGTCTCCAGTGCCTCAGAGTCCATTTGCTTCTCTCAACACTGTGACCTAGCCTTTGTTCACATCACTGACTCAAAGGGCTTTTAGTGCAGTCATTAGTGATTTCTCCACTGTTGAATCCAATGGACACTCTTTGCTCTCATCTTATTTGACCTCTTGGCAACATTGACACTGTGGTCCACTCTTGCCTTCTCATACAGTCTCATCCCTTGGCTTCTGCAACACCTTGTTTTTCCTTCTTTTTCTCTGATCTCTATTCTCAGTTCCCTTTTCTCTTTAAATCCCTTCTTGCCCCCAGTCTTCAGGCATATATTTTCCCATCTTGATAGCCCAGTCCTTGCCACACTATACTTGTATAATCCTTTTTTAACCCTCATGTATCAGCTCAATTATTATTTCCCTCAGGATGCCTTTCCTACCTCCTACTCCCCAAACCTTGCTCCTAACCATTTAGGAGCCTTTCATTGAGTGCCCATAGTACCTAGCTATCTTCTGAGATTAGTACTTGCCATACTTTACTTCCATTGCTTGTAACATCTAAATCTAAATACAGATACCAGGTTTGAGTCTTAGGAAGATGACTCCAAGAGGAGCATGAAGGATGAATTGGAGGGCCATGAAAACTGGAGTGCAGAAAATGATAGGAGGAAATTTTATTTATTTGATTGTAATGAGAGGGCTAGAGATGCAGACGGAGAAGAAGGCAGAAAGAAATCCATTTAAAAGGTGCCATTATAAGGTCTGATGACCCATCAGATGGAAGAAAGGTCTTGTGGGGTACAAAAGAGGGAGCAATTAATACCCAGTGTTCTGTTGTGAGCACATGGATTTGTTTTTGTTCCACTAAATAAATTAGGAAAGATATGGGTTCTGGAGTCAGATGGGCCTGAAGACCAATCTCATTTTTGTTGAACTAGCCATTAATTTTTAGCTAAGTTATGTGACCAGGCTGAGGTTTGATATCGTTCCCCTATAAAATAGGATTGATAAAATCAACCTTGCAGAGTTGTGAGGATTGAAATGAGGTCAAGTAAGAAACACTCCTCGCGCAGGGCCTGACACACACACACCAGCAGGCACTCAGTGAATTAAGATGATGATGGTTTGAGGTCTGAAGATGCTAAATTCCAGATCCCTACAGAACATCCCTGTAAACAAATTAGCTACCCAAGTAGACAAAAGCCATCTTCGACCGTGTCTCTTCCAGCACTTATCAAGATCTAGATTTTCAACATCGAAGCCCTCAAAACATTATCTTAATTTACTGTCTTACACCTTAGAATCTGGGACTATTGTTTTGTTAAAACTCCAGGGCTTACATGGATTCATTGACAAGTGAGGTGCCACTTAGATTTGAACAAGTGGAGATTGGCGAAAGGTCAGGAGCAGTAGTGAAGGGCTAGTACCTAAAGAGTGTGATTCAATAAATAGAAGGCATGCTCCTATCTGTAGGTAAGACTCAAGGTGACGCATTAGCCTTTTCAGCAGCTGTTTCCTCCTTGGCCAGGACTTAACAGAGCAGCAAGATCTTGGCACACATTAAAAATCTCACCCCAAGAAGTTTCACGAAACACTCTCTTTAGTTTGGGTGGATAAAGGAAAAGCAGGCAGAATGCTTCATGTCAATGAATAGGATTGTTGCTATTCTTCTCCTGATGCGTAGAAAGTTTCCAAACTCAGAGTGAGCCCTGTTGGTTGAAGAAACCACTAACTTCAAAAGCAGTCCATCATGGTCTTTCAGCAACGTGGCATTTGTTGAACTGAATTTGGGTGACTTTAAGGGCTCTATTTCCAGTTCACACTCAGGGGCAGGTCCTTGATTTTAAACAAAGAGAGTTGAAACTCTTCTGCAATCTGTAGACTGCCTAGTTAATCAGATAACATCTTCTGAGACAGAATCAAAAGGGAAGTTTCCGAGGGAATTTCAAAGTTATACCATAAATAGCTGAGGAGACTGTAGCTGGTCTAAACTTTTCTTTGATTCCTAGCTCTAATGTGGCCTTTTGGATACACACCAGCTATTTCTCTGATTTATTTCTGAACTACAAAGAGGGTCTTCAACACCTGAGTTCTGAAAAAGAGAAAGTGAAAGTGATGTATGCTCTTTATAGCACTGAGGAGCTAGATTTCAACATATAATGAATTGAACCTTTTTCTTTTTTTTGACTATCAACAACATACACTATAAAGCCAAATCAATACTAATCAACAATACTTAATTATGACTAGGTTCAAATAGAGACCCAGCTGACCATTTTTAGACATTTATAACAAACTGTCATTTCATGCATGTCATCCCATTTAATTATATTAATTTTCACAACAAATTAGTGAATGAGGTATTACTAGTCTCATTCTAAAAATGAAGAAACTGAGTTTCAAGGTCACTTAGCTAATATCTTACTCTAACTGTAACCACCAGATTTTTTTTAAAGAAGAATACTGTTTTTATATAGTAAATAGTAGCCATGAATCAATGCAGAAAAATTTACAAATAAGATATTTTAAAACTTATAAATTAAGGGTAATGAGATAGACTATAAACTACTTGAGGTCACAGGCTATGTCTTACTTTGCTTTTTAGCCCCAGATCTCAATATGAAGGGAGATGTAATAAATGTTTGTGGAACAACATGCATGAATAATAATAATTTTGGGGGCCTTGCATAAATGTATAACCTTGCATGAAATAATAGAATTCCAGAACTGGAAGAGATTTTAGAAGCATCTACATGAGTGGTTCCCAAACTTTAGCATGTAGCATCAGAATTCTCTAAAGGGTTTGTTAAAACACAGATAGCTAGGCCCCAGCCTGAGTTCACAACCCTGGTTCCACCAATTATTAGATGGGTGAAGTAGAATAAAACACTTGTCTCAGTCTCATTTTTCTTATAAACAAAATGGAGATGCTAATAATGTCACCATGTTACAGACTTTTTTTGTAAGGATTCAATGGCCTGAGAAACTCAATTCAATCATCCTGAGAGTTCCTGGTTCAGAAAGTCTGAAATGGGCTTTTGAATCTGCATTTTTAGTAAATTTCCACATGAAGCTGATGCTGCTGGTTCAGGGACCACACTTTAAAAATCACTAACCTGCAACAACTATAACTAACATTTATTAAGGGCTTATGACATGCCAGGCACTATGCTAAAGTACATTGCCTGCATTAAGTCATTCAATCATTACAATAAGTCTGTAAAATGGTGATATTATTAGCATCCCCATTTTATTTATAAGAAGAATGAGACATAGAGAAGTGTTTTATCCAACTTTGCCCATCTAATAACTGGTGGAACCAGGATTGTGAACTCAGGAAGTCTGATGCTAGATCCAGCACTTTTACATTATACTATAGCATTTCAAGGAGTGAACTGCTTCTTGTGTCAACCCTGATACGGGAATGAAGGCTCACAAGAAGTGATTGCCCAAAGTCAGGCCATGAATTGGGAGAAGAGTATGTGAACAAGGACACAAGCTTCCTAATTCAGCATCTTTTAAGCTGCTGCCTTCTCTTGGCATAGAGCACTAGTAGGAGTGGGGGAGGGCTCTAATCCTTCTTCCGATTTGAATCTAATCAGTTTGAGTGTCACTGAGTGTCACAGACGTCCTTATGATGTGCTGACATCCTAATAGTTTCCTTTATTTACATATTATTTCATCTGAGGAAGGGAGGTGGTGATGACCTGGGAGACAGAATAGAAAGTGTGATGAGTCGTGAGGTTGGACGCTCAGTCCCAGAAAAGAAAGGGGTCGGACTGCTGAGTGGCTAAAGAGTGGGTGGAAGGAAATGTGTCCATGTGTCTTGGTAAGCCCTTAGTTATATCTCAACCAATACGTAGAAAATCTAGCTCTGAGCTGGGTGCAGTAGCCCACACCTGTAATTCTAGCACTTGGGAGACTGAGGCGGGCTCATCACTTGAGGTCAGGAGTTTGAGATCGGCCTGGCCAACATGGTGAAACTCCGTCTCTACTGAAAATATAAAAATTAACTGGGCATGGTGGTGCACACCTGTAGTCTCAGCTACTCGGGAGGCCTAGGCAAGAGAATCACTTGAACCCGGGAGGCAGAGGTTGCAGTGAGCCGAGATCATGCTACTGCACTACAGCCTGGGTGACAGAGCAAGACTCTGTCTGAAAAAACAAAAGAAAAGAAAAGAAAATCTAATTCTGAGAGACTTTAGGTAATTGTATTCCCACTCTGAGGTATCTGAGGGACTCTGGGAAGAAAATTGGAGGATGTGTCATTAGCAGAAGCATGGACCTGGGAGGGCCCATAAAGTCATAGGTTCAGTCTCCCAGATACTAGCTATCCTTAAATATGCTATATCCTTTGCCCCAGAATGTGCCCCTGCCCTGGGCCAGCTGTTGGAAAAATATTTACAGACACAGCACACTGCAGTGGGAAAAGCATGGGCCTCAAGCCAAGTCTCTCCTCGCCACTGACAGCTGCATGAACTTAACCAGAGCCATCATCTTACAGAGCTGGCTTCCTCATCTATAAAAGGGGGTATGGTAAGCAGAATAATGACCCTTTCCCCCCTAACATGTTTACATCTTAATTCCTGGAATCTGTAACCATGTGACCTCAAACGGCAAAAAGGGATTTGCAGATGTGATTTAGGACCTTAAGAGGGGAGCGTATCCTGGATTATATAGGTGGATCCAGTGGAATCTCAAGGGTCCTTTTGAGGGAACAGAAGAGTCAGAGTCAGAGAAGGAGATGTGACGATGGAAACAGAAGTCAAAATGATGCTGTTGCTGGCTTTGAGGATGGAAAGTTGATGGAAACATGAGTTTAGGAATGCAGTGGCCTCTGTAACCTGGAAAAGGCAAGGAACTGATTCTTCCCTAGGGCCTCCAGAAGGAGTACAGCCCTGCCAGTACCTTGGTTTTAGCCCCTTGAGACCCATTTCAGACTTATTCCCAGAACTCTAAGATGATATATGTTTGTGTCCATTTAAGCCACTAAAAATGTGGCAATTTGTTACAGTCGCAATAGGAAACTAATATATGAGGCGAATAACAAAGTCCTTGTCTATCTCTTAGGGCTGCTGGGAGAGTCAAATGACATCCTTTATGTGGTGACACTTTAAAAACTGGAACCCACTATCCAAATATAAGGCACTATCATTACTGGCATTACAGTGACTACCTGAGAGAGGAAACAGGGACAGATAAGCACAGTGGTATACTAGTAGATGTTTAATAACCAGCTCTTGGGAGGAGGATGGGTTGGGGGGACTCTGATTTGTAACATTTGCTTATTTCCAGGGAGTAAATACTTCCACCATGGCCCATTTCAAGCTACAACATGAAGTCACTGAAGCGGGAGGTAGTAAAAGACACACACAATCAACTCTCACCACCTCAAGGCAGCTCCAACACACCAGGGCATAAGCACAAATTCAGCCCCGCCACCAAACAAGCAAGCATGGCGCATTTGCTTTCTGGTGGTCTTTCACTACAACCCTCACACAGGAAGGCTAGAACCTTACTGTGAGTCCAGATGTACTATCAGGGAACAACCCTGTCTCAGAATCTGCACTGGGTTCCAGATTTTAATTTTCTGAATGGGATCATATGGTTATTCTCTTCCTTTAATAAGGATGTGTCAAGAGGAAATGGAACCCTTCTCTAGCCTCAAGAGGAATTTGAATTTGGTTGAAAAAGGAATCTCTTAAATTCAGGACTGTCCCGACCAAGTTCCTATAAAAATAATTTTTCCGGCCTGGGAGATAAGGTCTTTTGAAATATGGCTCCTCGCTTAAGTTGGCACAGAGTTCCATCTGACAAATACAAATTGGACACCTCCTATATTCCAGTGCTGGGCTCATGAAAAGATGTAACAACAACAATCAGACGTGGTCCCTGTCCTCAAGGAGCTCACAGTACAGTCCTGTGTTTCTTAGATCCCCGTTCCTCGTGTCTCACACTTAGGTCTTCTGCAAAATCATGTACCACCTATGCTTATAGTTAATTCATATTTTTAAGTTAAAAATTTTAAAGTACCATAATTGGATTTGGCTGGATATAAAAGAAACCCTACTTTAGTGGCTTAACCAAACTAGGGGGTGTTTTTCATGTAATAAAGAGGCTATGGTTAGGAAGCAGCCTCTTTCTTCCTTCCAGCTCTGCCACCCTTAGCGTCTTAATGGTCCAAGATGGCTGTACTTCATCCAACCATTTCACCTTATTTTCATGCTGAAGACAGAGGACAGAGAAGAATCAAAGAGAAAAAGGCACCTGCCCATGGTGGGATCCTTTTTATTGGGAAAACAATAGTTTTCCCCAAATTCCGATCCAGTAGACTTTTGTTTATATCTCGTTGGCCAGAACTGGGTCACACAGCCACCATAGCTACAACAGAGTCTAGGGACATGAATATTTTTAACTGGGAAATTGCTTCCTGAACCAAACTGAGGTTCTGTGAATGAAGTAAGAAGCTAACTTAGCAACTAGTAATAGCTGTCACAATCTCTCTCTACTCAGTCGAACTTGAGAAACATCTGTAAACCTATGTCATTACTGGGCCACCTCCCTTTTTATATACATATATATATATTTTTGAGATGGAGTCTCACTCTGCCACCCAGGCTGAAGTTCAGTGGCATAATCATGGCTCAATGCAGCCTCCACCTCCTGAGCTCAAGCAATTCTTTCACCTTAGCCTCCCAAGTAGCTGGTACTACAGGCATGTACCACCATACCTGGCTAATTTTTCAAAATTTTTAGTAGAGACAAAGTCTCATTATGTTGCCCAGGCTGCTCTCGAACCCCTGAGCTCAAGTGGTCCTCCCAACTCAGCCTCCCAAAGTGCTGGGATTACAGGCATGAGCCACTGCACCCAGCCATATGTTTTCTAATACATGTTAAAATACAAAACAAAATTGAAATGTAAAATTCTATGGAGAGTTTAAATATCAGATCTTGTAAACTCTGACTGTCACTGCCAGTGATTTTCTGGATTACTTTATGGGGCTGTAGAATTTGCTGAAATCTCTTCTTTGGCAAAGGGCTAGCTCAGGTTCCAGACAAAAGGTGGTCTCCAAGAGCATGTGGCAAAAACTGGCTCTTAACTGCTCTTAGGGAGCAGGCATTTAAAGAAATTTTTAAAATCAAGGTATTTGCAATAGGTATTTATTTACAATAAAATGCACACTAAGTGCACAGTTTGATGAGTTTTAACTTATGTATCTCATCTGAAACTAATGCCCCAATCAAGATATAGACCATATAGACTTTTTTTTTTTTTTTTTTTGAGACCAAGTCTCGCTCTATCACCTAGGCTGGAGTGCAGTATTGCAATCTGGGCCCACTGCAACCTCCGCCCCCCGGTTCAAGCGATTCTCCTGCTTCAGCCTCCTGCATAGCTGGGATTACAGGCACAAGCCACCACAGCCAGCTAATTTTTATATTTTCAGTAGAGATGGGGATTCACCATGTTGCCCAAGCTGCTCTCGAACTCCTGGGCTCAAGCGATCCACCCGCCTTGGTCTCCCAAAGTGCTGGAATTACAAGCGTGAGCCACCACGCTCAGTCAAGATACAGACCATTTCTATCATTCTAGAAAATTACTTTGTGTACCTTCCCATTCCCAGTCGACCTCCCCTCCACTCTGGGGTAACAATTATTCTAATTTCTATCTCCTTAAATTAGTTTTGCCAAACTAATATCTTTGGTCTGCATTCAGCATGATTGAGATAAGTGAATTTAACATCAGAATTACAGAAACAATTTGTCACTTTTCAAAAGTATGTAGTTCTTTTTTTAATTTTATTTTATTATTAGTATAATACTTTAAGTTTTAGGGTACATGTGCACAATGTTCAGGTTTGTTACATATGTATACATGTGCCATGTTGCTGTACTGCACCCATTAACTCGTCATTTAGCATTAGGTATATCTCCTAATGGTATCCCTCCCCCACCCCCCACCCCACAACAATCCCTGGAGTGTGATGTTCCCCTTCCTGTGTCCATGTGTTCTCATTGTTCAATTCCCACCTACGAGTGAGAACATGCGGTGTTTGGTTTTTCGTCCTTGCGATAGTTTGCTGAGAATAATGATTTCCAGTTTCATCCATGTCCCTACAAAGGACATGAACTCATCATATTTTATGGTGAGTTCCATGGTGTATATGTGCCACATTTTCTTAATCCAGTCTATCGTTGTTGGACATTTGGGTTCGTTCCAAGTCTTTGCTATTGTGAATAGTGCCGCAATGAACATACGTGTGCATGTGTCTTTATAGCAGCATGATTTATAGTCCTTTGGGTATATACCCAGTAATGGGATGGCTGGATCAAATGGTATTTCTAGTTCTAGATCCCTGAGGAATCACCACACTGACTTCCACAATGGTTGAACTAGTTTACAGTCCCACCAACAGTGTAAAAGTGTTCCTATATCTCCACATCCTCTCCAGCACCTGTTGTTTCCTGACTTTTTAATGATTGCCATTTTAACTGGTGTGAGATGGTATCTCATTGTGGTTTTGATTTTCATTTCTCTGATGGCCAGTGATGATGAGCATTTTTTCATGTGTCTTTTGGCTGCATAAATGTCTTCTTTTGAGAAGTGTCTGTTCATATCCTTTGCCCACTTTTTGATGGGGTTGTTTGTTTTTTTCTTGTAAATTTGTTTGAGTTCATTGTGGATTCTGGATATTAGCCCTTTGTCAGATGAGTAGGTTGTGAAAATTTTCTCCCATTTTATAGGTTGCCTGTTCACTCTGATGGTAGTTTCTTTTGCTGTACAGAAGCTCTTTAGTTTAATTAGATCTCATTTGTCAATTTTGGCTTTTGTTGCTATTGCTTTTGGTGTTTTAGACGTGAAGTCCTTGCCCATGCCTATGTCCTGAATGGTATTGCCTAGGTTTTCTTGTAGGATTTTTATGGTTTTAGGTCTAACATGTAAGTCTTTAATCCATCTTGAATTAATTTTTGTATAAGGTGTAAGGAAGGGATCCAGTTTCAGCTTCCTACATATGGCTAGCCAGTTTTCCCAGCACCATTTATTAAATAGGGAATCCTTTCCTCATTTCTTGTT
Source organism: Homo sapiens (assembly GCF_000001405.40). Lineage (NCBI taxonomy): Eukaryota > Metazoa > Chordata > Mammalia > Primates > Hominidae > Homo > Homo sapiens. The sequence goes on along the minus strand of NC_000006.12, from coordinate 47,190,864 downwards.
TTTGTCAGGTTTGTCAAAGATCAGATAGTTGTAGATATGCGGCATTATTTCTGAGGGCTCTGTTGTGTTCCATTGATCTATATCTCTGTTTTGGTACCAGTACCATGCTGTTTTGGTTACTGTAGCCTTGTAGTATAGTTTGAAGTCAGGTAGCATGATGCCTCCAGCTTTGTTCTTTTGGCTTAGGATTGACTTGGCGATGTGGGCTCTTTTTTGGTTCCATATGAACTTTAAAGTAATTTTTTCCAATTCTGTGAAGAAAGTCATTGGTAGCTTGATGGGGATGGCATTGAATCCATAAATTATCTTGGGCAGTAGGGCCATTTTCAAGATATTGATTCTTCCTACCCATGAGCATGGAATGTTCTTCCATTTGTTTGCATCCTCTTTTATTTCACTGAGCAGTGGTTTGTAGTTCTCCTTGAAGAGGTCCTTCACGTCCCTCGTAAGTTGGATTCCTAGGTATTTTATTCTCTTTGAAGCAATTGTGAATGGGAGTTCACTCATGATTTGGCTCTCTGTTTGTCTGTTACTGGTGTATAAGAATGCTTGTGATTTTTGTGCATTGATTTTGTATCCTGAGATTTTGCTAAGGTTGCTTATCAGCTTAAGGAGATTTTGGGCTGAGACAATGGGGTTTTCTAGATATACAATCATGTCATCTGCAAACAGGGACAATTTGACTTCCTCTTTTCCTTATTGAATACCTTTTATTTCCTTCTCCTGTCTAATTGCCCTGGCCAGAACTTCCAACACTATGTTGAATAGGAGTGGTGAGAGAGGGCATCCCTGTCTTGTGCCAGTTTTCAAAGGGAATGCTTCCAGTTTTTGCCCATTCAGTATGATATTGGCTGTGGGTTTGTCATAGATAGTTCTTATTATTTTGAGATACGTCCCATTAATACCTAATTTATTGAGAGTTTTTAGCATGAAGCATTGTTGAATTTTGTCAAAGGCCTTTTCTGCATCTATTGAGATAATCATGTGGTTTTTGTCTTTGGTTCTGTTTATATGCTGGATTACATTTATTGATTTGTGTATTTTGAACCAGCCTTGCATCCCAGGGATGAAGCCCACTTGATTTTGGTGGATAAACTTTTTGATGTGCTGCTGGATTCGGTTTGCCAGTATTTTACTGAGGATTTTTGCATCAATGTTGGTCAAGGAGATTGGTCTAAAATTCTCTTTTTTTGTTGTGTCTCTGCCAGGCTTTGGTATCTGGACGATACTGGCCTCATAAAATGAGTTAGGGAGGTTTCCCTCTTTTTCTATTGATTGGAATAGTTTCAGAAGGAATGGTACCAGCTCCTCCTTGTACCTCTGGTAGAATTCTGCTGTGAATCCATCTGGTCCTGGACTCTTTTTGGTTGGTATGCTATTGATTATTGCCACAATTTCAGAGCCTGTTATTGGTCTATTCAGAGATTCAACTTCTTCCTGGTTTAGTCTTGGGAGGGTGTATGTGTCCAGGAATCTATCCATTTCTTCTAGATTTTCCCGTTTATTTGCGTAGAGGTTTTTGTAGTATTCTCTGATGGTAGTTTGTATATCTGTGGGATCGGTGGTGATATCCCCTTTATGATTTTTTATTGCATCTATTTGATTCTTCTCTCTTTTCTTCTTTATTAGTCTTGCTAGCGGTCTATCAATTTTGTTGATCTTGTAGTTCTTGGCCTAAGCGGACACTGGATAATACGTACCTTTGAACATTCGGCATATCTTTGCAAATAACAGCTGCTTTTGGTTATGTTGGTGGCCACTGCTGTTCTTTTTCTGGCTGGGAAAGGTTTCAGTCAACATATTGCCTGTGAGGAGCTGATTTTCCTAAAGGACTCTCCTGCCCCCAATGCACATAATTCACAAAGCTCTTCAATATTGAGATCTTGGGTATGGTTATTAATTGGTTAATTCTTTGCCTGTCTCCAGAGCTTCAGCTGGATGAGTAACTGGGTGAATGCCTATGTGGCAAGTTGCTCTTCAGGATGAGAAACTACATGAAAGTGTAGCCCCAAGAAACCAGGTGCTCTCAAATGAGTCACTGGTAACAAGCAGACAACACATGTTTGTCCACTTTACCTGCCCCAACCCCTCCCGCCCTTACTCCAAAGTCTGCTCACACTCCACCCTCTGCAGGTAAAACAACTGGGTGAAAGGACACATTTTTGCAACCAAGATAAGGCTAGAATGACTATTCTCTCTACCCAATTACTCATCAGGAAAGCATTTTTAAGGGTCAGCACAATCATGAGTAAGTTTGTTAAAGGGTTTTCCTTTTTTTTCTCTGACTTACAAGGGAGATGCACTTTGCACTTTTTTTTTCTTTTTTTCTTTCTTTTTTCTTTCTTTCTTTTTTTTTTTTTTTTTAGTAAAAACAAGTATAAGGTGGATATTGTTCCTTGGATACAGACATCTAGCTGAAGCCAAATGCATCTTTGGCCAATAAAATGCCATAGGCCTTCTTGGTTCCACTACACCAAGCTACACTGTGGGACATCCTCGCAGATGTGGGCCCAGGGGTGGTGGGGGCAGCATCTGGCTAACTGACCTGCTTTGGGGTTCTGGCTGCTCTCTTCATTCTCACTTCCAAAGGCTGCTGGAGTCTCTCTGTTAGCTATGACTTGGACATAAAATGATCTCGAAATGTTATGTGTTCCCTCATACTGAGTTATTTTTAACTAAGCCTATAGGCTTCAGCCTGGTATTCTAGTCCCTGCACAATCTGTTTCCAATCAACTGCTATTGCTGGTGTTTACCTTCTGAAGACCTCATTCTTCTCTAACTCATGAGATGTAATAGTTATGGACTCTGGACTCAGAAAAACTCAGGTTCTAAACAATCTCAATTCATTATTGAGTTATAACTTTGCTTTCCCCACCTCCACACGCTTGCTCACATTGTTCTCTTGGCCTGGAACGTCATCTCTGCCCTTTCACATACGAACAAACCCTATTCACATTTAAGGTCAAGCTCAAATACTACCTTGTAGCCCTTCCTAACTACACAACTAGGTACAATCTCCTTTTCTTCTGAGTTAGCTTGGCATCCCATCTGTTTGCCGTTTCTCATACCTGTTTGCCATTTCTCATACCTTGATTTTGTTTCCAGGGCTCTCACTTCTGCGTTTCTACTTTAAATCTCTGTCATAAAACCAATTACATGATAGAGTCACCAGATAAAATACCAGGTAAAATACACCAGATAAAATAAGGACACCCAGTCAAATTTCAACTTCTTGTCAAACAAATACATTTGTTTAAGTATGGCCCAAATATCGCATAGGAAATACTTAAGCAAATTTGTCACTTATGTGAAATTGAAATTTAACCGAGCACCTTGTGTTTTGTGTCTGGCAACTCTTCATACGTGACTCTTTTTAATAAATGGTGAGCATTTATCTGGCTCCTTTGTGGTACTGAACATTATGTGACAGTAGGAACCTTGTCTCATTCATCTTGCAGCCCTGATGTTTCTTCCTCAAAGCACTTGCTGGGCAAATCCTTGTTAATTAATAAAGGGATTTTCATACCAGTAGGTATGGGCACACAGCACAGTTCTGAGAGCCTCAGTGTTGGAATCAGATGGACCTGGATGTGTCATATTCCTACCACAAGACTAAGTTTGTGAGGCTTAGCAAGTTAACTACCTTTCAAAGCATTCTCATTTGTAAAATAGGAAGAAGAGTGTACTTATTCCATAGAGTTATTCTCTTTATGCATATAAAGGGCTTAGCACAATGTCTGGCTTACAGAAAGTGCTTCATAGCTGTTAGCTATTACTTTTGGAAATTATGAAATACATTCAGATCAGAGCAGCAACTACTCTGCTACAGGCAGTAAGAATTACATAAATGACCTAACTATACAGAGTTTGGAGCATACAAATTCAAGACGGATCCCAGACCTCCTTTGGAGAGAGTCCTTAACTTGTTTGATTTTTCTTCCTGTTCCCCAAACCAACAGTATGTCCTCATCTCGGGCTAATGTTTGTGTCTGGCTTTCTAAGATGTCACTTCTTTGTCTCTGGGTCTAAGCCTACCTTCCCCAGCATCCTGAGATACTGTTGTAGCTCTTCACTCCGCCCTTCCTGACAGTATTTTACCTTCCTATTCTCCCTTTCCTCTGGTCCTGGGTGCTTAGTTTCCCAACCAGAAATTAATTGCTGCTTCCTTTGAACAGCATTGCCTTTGTGTGTGTGTAAATATATGAGTATACATGTGTGTGTAACAGGGAAAGAAATAAGTCATTTTGGCATCTCCTAATTATCCAGGCAGAGCTGGTTGGTGGGTGGCCAACTGCAAAATCATTCAAATCTGATATGTATTTGTTGCTATTAGGACATGTGTAAAGAACAGCCTCACTGACTTTAATGGCACCTCTATGCTGTATCAGGCACCCTGTTAAAGGCTGTACTTACATTGTCCTATTTACTACTCACAAAGGTCCTATTATAAGATTGATGTTCTCATCCCAATTTTCTAAAAGAGAAAGCAGAAATAGAGATTAGTAACTTGCTTTAATACCACAAGGCTGGTAATGTCTACTGAAACTCAAACTTCTCTGACTCCAACCCCCAGGTTCTTTCTTCAAAGCCAGTGCTTTTTCACCCTGGCTACACATTAGAATCAATCCAAGAAGCTTACCTAAAGTACTGATATCTGGATCCTATCCCCAAAGATTCTGATTTAAATGTTTTTTAAAAATAATCATTGTAATGATAGCAATCTCCCCTCATCCCTTCTAAGACATAAAACAAACACAATCTAATTTGATTCCCCATTGTTCTCCCTTATGAAACTGGGCCCTAAAACTTTGTATTTAAGGAAGATTTGTGTCAATTGATGTGGATGGATCCTAGGTATATATATGCTCTGTGTAATTATAAGTGTGGATACAACTTATCAAAAGGAGTACAAATCTAGAAGCAATAGAACGTCTTGCTATTTGGCTGTGTGAAAAGAGTTCTTAAAGAAAAAAACAAACAAAAAAACCCCAAAAAAACAGCACTTTCATGATTTTTTTTCCTCCAAGATTATTGTTTTCTTTGGGAAACTTTTGCTTACGTTACCCAGTTTTCAGAGACGTGCTTCTTCTTTGTTGATCTTTACCTCTTGGGCTATTTCATCTTTCTCCAGGTCAGGAGGGGCACAGGCTATGTCTGTACAATTTGTTTTCTGTGCTAAATTGAATTTGTCTTCTTTTTTGCTTCCATTTCAGTCTAAGGATTTTGCTGACTGCATTTGTTTCTGTTTTCTTTTGCCTTGGAAAATCTTGCCATCAAAGAAAACTACCATGTGCCATTAATGGTCTCATTTTCAATTGATCCGTGTTTTAATCCCATTGGCATGCTTATTAGAACTGTTGTCTTTGACCAATTTTATTTTCGGGCATCTAATTTTTTTCATTTTGCAATACATTATCAGGGATTAATGAAATCTACCACTCACGATTTCCATGAAAATTCATTTACTAAACAAAATTTGTGTGTTCATTTGTTTAATGTATCTCCTCTACTAACCTGTAAGCCCTTCTCGGTATCAAGTTTTGATTACCACTGTGTGTCTGAGGCCTAGAACTGTGGTAGGAATTTAGTAAGTGCTCAGTAAATACTGGTGAAATGCTGACTATTGAGTGGGGTTGGGAATCAGACTTGCTTAGTTCTGAGTTTCTACTGTACCACTTGTGAGCAGTGTGATGTTGAGAAAGTTGTTTGACTTCTCTGAACCTTCCTCTCTACATTTCTAAAATAATAATAATAATAACATATACCTCATGACTGTTGTGAAGATTGAATATATGCTTAAAAAGAAATCAGTTCAGTACCTTAGCACAGAGAAGATCCTTATAAGTGCTAGTGAAAATGATGTTTCCTAGATGTATTGATTTTCACAGTAATATTGTAGGTAACTAGAAATGTATTCCACAGTTAAGGGCTACTAACTTGAAAAGAGAATAGCAATTTAGGTTCACTGAGACAAGGAAATACATATCTGTCCATTTGCTTTTTTTTCTATGTATTTCCATCCTGTCATGGGTTTTTCCACATGAAGAAAAAAGCTAACAAGTAAGTCCAATTCATGCTCAGGCATGAAAGACTTCAGGAGTTATTCCAGGGGTAATATTTGTATCTTAAAAGATGATCCAAAGTAAGACCCATTGGTTTACTCAAGATCTGTGCATTTCTTTGTATGTAAATAAAACATTTTTAAAAAAAGGAGCCATGAACAAATATTAAGCTCTAGTTAATAATACACATGCTGCAGAATTTGGGGGTGAAGCATAATGATGTCTGAAATTTGCTCTGACATGCATAAAAATATGATGTATTGATGAAGGGATAGATGCTTAGTTACATAATAAATGCAGCAAAAATGCCCATCGTAGAACCTGCGGTTAGAGGTGTCCACTCCACACATCTTTCAACATTCCTGTATGTTTGAAAAATTGTGTAATAAAATGTCAAGAGGAAAAATAAGTGATCCTAGAGAAAGGCAACACCTAAACCCAAGGAGGGTTCATTCACTGGAGATTTCAGGCTTGTGGTACTTGCTGGTGTCTATATTTTAGGAAGACTTCCCTGATTCTCTTTTAATTACAGCCCATAAGAAACCTCGAATATTCCTTAAAGAACTTAAAACAGAATTACCATTTGACCCAGCAATCCCATTACTGAGTATATATCCAAAAGAAAACAAATCATTCTATCAAAAGGACGCATGCCCTCGCATGTTTCTCACAGCACTATTCACAAGTAGCCAAGACGTGGAATCAATCTAGATGCCCATCAATTGTGGACTGGATAAAAAAACATGGTACTTATACACCATGGAATGTTGCAGCCATAAAAAAAGTATGATTCAACCAGAGAATAAATTTAAAATATCCAAGATTTAAAAAAAGAAATGAAAAAGAATGGAATCATGTCCTTTGCAGCAACATGGACGCAGCTACAGGTCATTATTCTAAGTGAATTAATGCAAGAATAGAAAACCAAATACTGCATGTTCTCACTTATAAGTAGGAGTTAAACATCAGGTACTCAAAACATTGGGAACATAAAGATGGCAACAATAGGGGGACTACTAGAGTAGGGAAGGAGGGGGACAAGTATTGAAAACTAACTGTTGAGTACTACACTCAGTACCTGGGTGATAGGATTATTTGTACTCAAACTTCAGCAGCATGCAATATACCCAGGCAACAAACCTGCACATTTGCCCACTGAATCTAAAATAAATGTTGAAAAAACAAAAAAGAAACCTCCAACATCGTCTCTACATACTGCTGACATGGATGAAGAAAAACAACATCTGAGGTGGAAAAATAACAATGAAAACAATGAAGACTGGAAGACAGAAGCAAACTATCTCCAAGCCCTTGAAGAATAATTAAGTTATTAGAGTCTCAGGCATTCAGGGCTGCAGAGGGAACATGAGACCCTGATCTCTGATTTTTATACCTTGTATCAAACCATTATTTATCATGTGGTTAAAACTATTATGAACAACTGACCATTTGGTCAAAAGTGAATGTATGACCAAATGAACAGGAGTCAGGGAGACAGTAATGTTTTTGGAAACATTTGGAAAATTGTGGGATAAAATGCCAAGAGGAAACATAGGTGATCCTAGAGAAAGGCATATGATGCTAACTTGGGTTTTTGTAGTGGTAGTATTTTTCTTGTTGTGGGAAGACATAATAAAGGATTTGATAATTTTAAGAATGTGTGTCATCTTCTCACAAGTTAGAGTGGTATAGAAATTTGGTTATAGGTTAAAGATAGGTTTTAAGTTACTGTAAATGATCAAGAGCATACCATGGTAATCTAAGTAACTATAAGTATCTTCTCTTGGTTATGAGAAGTTGCTGAGAGGGTGCAGGAAGACTTTAGAAAGAAGATGAAAAAGAAGGCCTATGCTATTGTACGTCTTAACAAGAGGGCCATGTTATCATTTGAGTGGCAGTTATGGGTCCTATTTGTTTGACTTTTCATCGTACAAATGGAAACTCCCTGTAGGTTTTTTTTTTTTAAAGGTAAATGTATTAAATATCAACACTGAAAACTGGTTTAACCAGGAAACAATGTGCATTAAACACACAAAATGACAGAATGAACAGGAGTTGGAAAGATAGCAATGTGGCAACTTGTAGGAATGTTGGCCAGGAAAACAATATCTAATCAAGGTTATATGGTCAGGTTCAATCGGTCACATAGAGAAGCATTAGCACCCACTTCTTCAACATGTGATTAAGGAATGGAACCAGCTTCCTACCTGGGCTTCTTTGACAATTCCTTGATGCTCCCATGGCTCCTAACAGCAGAGTCCAGGAGCTGGTTTTAGGGCAGGTTGCAGGTGACAGAACTGTGCCACTCCAGGCCGTGAAGTGCATACCAGAAGGGCCCTGAGCACTTCACAGCCTAGCGTGTGTTATGTGAGTACCCTCTTGGTGAATGAATTACAAAGATGTGTCCCTTCTTTTGAGCTGACACAAGATTTGGGAAGGAGAATGGTGTCTGGACTTCAGCCATCGATGCCCCACCTCAGCTGGGTCCCCTTGTTGAGTGTACATACTTTATAACAAAACACGGGGAGAGATTCTTATCTACCCTGCTCTAGGTGCATCCCCTTTTCACCAATGAGATGATTAAGTATTAGAAGGTGTGATGGTTAATACTGAGTGTCAACTTGATTGGATTGAAGGAAGCAATGTATTGTTCCTAAGGTGTTGCTGAAGGAGATTAGCATTTGAGTCAGTGAGCTGGGAGAGGCAGACCCACTGTCAATATGGGTGGGCACCATCTAATCAGCACATCTAATCTAGCTGCCAGCACAGCTAGAATAAAGCAGCAAAAGAAAGTGAAATGAGCAGACTTGCTAAGTCTTCCGGCCTTCATCTTTCTTCCGTGCTGGATGCTTCCTGCCCTCACACATTAGGCTCCAAGTTCTTCAGCTTGTGAACTCTTGGACCTACACCAGTGATTTGCCAAGGACTCTTGAGCCTTCAGCCACGGACTGAAGGCTACACTGTCGGCTTCCTTACTTTTGAGGTTTTGGACTTGACTGGCTCCTCGGCTTGCAGATGGCCTATTGTGGGACTTCACTCTGTGATCATGTGAGTCAATAATCCTTAATAAACTCCCCTGCATATATACATCTATCCTATTAGTTCTGTCCCTTGAAACCCTGACTAATACAGATTTTGGTACCAGGAGTGATTTTAGAGGAACAGAATTTTTTAAATGGATGTCTTTAATTGGTTTTGAAGCTTCTGGAGTTGCTCATTATGCTTAATATTATATGATTAGACTCCAAAATGCTAAGAACTCTACTTCTAATAGTATGGAGAACATTGAACGTCCTTGGCGTAAACTGTTCACAGAGTTATGCAAAATAAATGCATTTGATATTCCTGATTCACTGCTCTTGAGAGGCAAGGAGTTTAGTGATTCCATACATAATACCTTTGACCGTAAGTGGAGAACCAAGGAATATAATGAAGTTGGTTGTTGCTCCTAAGTTTGCTGGACAAGGTGACAAAAGAAAAGGATGAGCTCAGGGATTCTAACTCCTGGCTTCAGAAGCAGATACTGAGCCTCAAGTTTTCTAAGACCGCTCTGAGTGAGAGTCTTATCTCCTGTAGACAAAGGGCTGAAATTGTGGAAAATCAGACACAAGGTCTTATCATGTGAGTGGCTGACCAGCAACGAAAAATGCATGCTCAATCTTCCCAGGTGTCTATTGTTAAAGTGAAGGCATTGATTGGAAAAGAATAAGATCCTGCAACTTGAAATGGGGGCATGTGGGAGGACCCTGATGAAGATGGAGACACTGAGCTTGTAAACTGTGATGAGCCTTATTTGCCAGAGGAAATAGCTTCTCTACCCTCTACCCCCAGTGGTGGCAACATCCTCTCCCCCACCCAGGCTGCCATCAGCCTTTCCACCTTTTCTGAGGAGATTAACCATGCACTGCCTGAGGCATCAGTGGATGGCCTCCCTTGAGACAGTCGCCAGGCAAGACAATGTTGATTCACTTCATGACTCACCCCCAACAACCCTGTTTGCTTCTAGACCTATAACTACGCTCTAGTCCCAGGGGGCCCCTAGAGGTGAGGTTCAAAGTGTGACCCACAAGGAGGTGCATTACACTCCAAAAGAACTGCTTGAGTTGTCTAATTTATATAAGCAGAAATTTGGAGAAGAGTTATGAGAATGGATATTAAGGATGTGGGATAATGGTGGAAGGAATGTAAAGTTGAATCAGGCTGAATTTATTGACATGGGCCCACTAAACTAACTGCTTTAATGTTGCAGTTCAGGGAGTTAAAAAAGGTTCTAATAGTTTATTTCTTGGTTAGCTGAAATATGGATTAAAAGCTGGCCCAATGTGAGTGAGCTGGAAATGCCTGATCTCCCTTGGTTTAATGTAGAGGAAGGGATCCAAAGGCTTAGGGAGATTGGAATGCTAGCGTGGATTAATCACTTTAAACCTACTCATCCCAGCTGGGAGGGTCCAGAAGATATACCCTTCACCAATACTTTGCAAAATAGATTCGTGAGGGGAGCACCTGCATCCTTGAAGAGGTCTGTGATTGCTCTTTTCTGTATGCCAGATCTTACAGTGGGAACTGCAATCAATCAATTAGAAAATTTAAATGCAATGGAAATAATTGGATCCCAAGGTGGCAGGGACTAAGTGGCGTCACTCAACTGTCAAAGGCAGGGTGGGCATGGTTACTGTAATGGACATGGAGGTAAAGCAGCAATCAGCATACTCTGACTTGTGTAGAAATCTGGCATTGGCTAGTTGATCACAGTGTTTCTAGAAGTGAAATTGATAGGAAGCCTACTGCATTTTTACATAATGTATAAGTAAAAATTGTATAAGTGGAAACCTCCCAGATTGAGTGGACAAAAGACTAATTTGAACTGTAAAAGTAGAGAATCACAGCCCCCCAATCAATTTCCAGACTCAAACAAGTTTGCAGACCCAGAACCCCTTGAATGAAGGGGAGGCTGGGTCCCCTTAAGGAAGGACCTTGCTACACTACTAACAATTTATGCTGTTAATCTTTCTCCCATCCTTCCCCAAGGAGACCTCTGGCCTTTCACCGGGGTAACTGCATTGGAGAAAGGGGAATGACCATACTTTTCAGGGGCTACTGGACTGAGCCGACGTTGATTCCAGAGGACCCAAAACATCACTGTAGTCCTCCAGTTAAAGTAAGGGCTTATGAAGGTCAGGTAATTAATGGAGTTTTAACTCAAGTCTGACTTACAGTGGGTCCATTGTGTCCCTGGATTCATCCTGTGGTCATTTCCCCAGTGCCAGAATGCATAATTGGCATAGATGTACTCAGCAGCTGGTAGAATCACCACAGTGGCTTCCTGACTGGTAGGGTGAGGGTTTCTATGATGGGAAAGGCCAAATGGAAACCTTTAAAGCTGCCCCTATCTAGAAACATAGTAAATCAAAAACAATGTTGCATCCCTGGCAGGATTACAGGGATTGCAGGGGTGGTGATTTTCACCACATCTCTGTCAGCTCTCCTATTTGGCCTGTGCAGATGGATCTTGGAAAATGACAGTGGATTATCATAAGCTTAACCAAGTGATGATTCCAGTTACAGCTGCTGTACCAGATGTGGTTTCATTGCTTGAAAAAATTAACACATCTCCTGGTACCTGGTATGCAGCCATTGATTTGGCAAATGCCTTTCTCTCCATTCTGTTCATAAAGCCCACTAGAAGCAATTCGCCTTCCACTGGCAAGGCCAGCAATATACCCTCACTCTCCTACCTCAGGTGTATATCTCCTCTCTAGCTTTGTTTCATAATCTTGTTCAGAGAAATCTTGATTGCTTTTCCCTTCCACAAGATATCACACTGGTCCATTACGTTGATGACATTATGCTGATTGGATCCAGTGAGCAAGAAGTAGCAAACACACTGGACTTATTGGTGAGACGTTTGTGTGCCAAAGGATGGGAAATAAATTTGACTAAAATTCAGGGACCTTCTAGTTTAGTAAAATTTCTAGGGGTCCAGTGGTGTGGGGCCTCTCAAGATATTCCTTCTAAGGTGAAGAATAAGTTGCTGCATTTGGCCCTTCCTACAACCAAGAAAGAGGCACAATGCCTAGTGGGCCTATTTGGATTTTGGAAGCAACTCATTCCTCATTTGGGTGTGTTACTCCAGCCCATTTATCGAATGACCTGAAAGGCAGCCAGTTTTGAGTTGGGTCCAGAAGAGTGGAAAGCTCTGCAACAGGTCCAGGCTGCTGGGCAAGCTGCTCTGCCACTCAGGCCATATGACCCAGCAGATCCAATGGTGCTTGAGGCGTCAGTGGCAGATAGGGATGCTGTTGGAAGCCTTTGGCAGGCCCCCATAGGTGAATCACAGCGGAGGCCTTTAGGGTTTTGGAGCAAGACCCTGCCATCTTCTGCAGATAACTACTCTCCTTTTGGCCTGTTACTGGGCTTTGTTGGAAACTGAACATTTGACTATGGGTCATCAAGTCACCATGCAACCTGAACTGCCACCCTGCCTATCCTCCCTCAGCCTGCACTGATGACCTCATGAGGAGTTCCCTATGATCAGTTGACAGAGGAAGATAAGACAAGGGCCTGGTTTACAGATGGTTCTGCACAATATGCAGGTACCACCCAAAAGTGGACAGCTGCAGTGCTACAGCCCCTTTCTAGGACATCCTTGAAGGACAGTGGTGAAGGGAAATCTTCCCAGTGGGCAGAACTTCAAGCAGTGAACCTGGTTGTGCACTTTTCATGGAAGGAGAAATGGCCAGATGTGCAATGATATACTGATGCATGGGCTGTAGCCAATAGTTTGGCTGGATGGTCAGGGACTTGAAAGCAGCATGATTGGTAAATTGGTGATAATGAAATTTGGGGAAGAGGCATGTGGATGGACCTCTCTGAGTAGTCAAAAACTGTGAAGATATTTGAATCTCATGTGAATGCTCACTGAAGGGTGACTTCAACAGAGGAACATTTATATTATCAAGTGGATAGGATGACTAGTTCTACAGATATCACTTAGCCTTTTTCATCAGCCACCCCTATTATTCCCCAACGGGCTCATGAACAAAGTGGCCATGGTGGCAGGAATGGAGGTTACACATGGGCTCAGCAACATGGACTTCCACTCACCAAAGCTGACCTGGCTACGGCCACTGCTGAGTGCCCAATTTGCCAGCAGCAGAGAGAGAATGGTGCTCTCGATATGGCACAATTCCCCTGGGGTGACCAGCCAGCTACTTGGTGGCAGGTTGATTATGTTGGACCTCTTCCATCATGGAAAGGGCAGCAATTTGTCCTCACCAGAATAGACACTTACTCTGCATATGGGTTTGCCTATCCTACATGCAATGCTTCTGCCAAGACTACCATCCATAGCCTCACAGCATGCCTTATTCACCGTCACGGTATTCCTCACAGCATTGCCTCTGACCAGGGCTCTCACTTTACAGCTAAAGAAGTGCAGCAGTGGGCTCATGCTCATGGAATTCACTGGTCTTACCATGTTCCCTATTATCCTGAAGCAACTGGATTGATAGAATGGTGAAATGGTCTTTTGAAGTCACAATTACAATGCCAACTAGGTGACAATACTTGGCAAGACTGGGGCAAAGTTTTCCAGAAGATTGTGTATGCTATGAATCAACATCCAATATATGGTATGTTTCCACCATAGCCAGGATTCACAGGTCCAGGAATCAAGGGGGAAAAGTGGAAGTAGCACCACTCTTCATCACCCCTGGTGACCTGCTAGTAAAATTTTTGCTTCCTGTTCCCCTGACATTACGTTCTGCTGGCCTAGAGGTCTTAGTTCCAGAGGGAGGAATGCTGCCACCAGGAGACACAACAGTGATTCCCCCCAACTGGAAGTTAAGATTGCCACCTGGCCACTTTGGGCTTCTCTTATCTCTAAGCCAACAGGCTAAGAATGGAGTTAGTGTTGGCTGGGGTGATTGACCCAGACTATCAATATGAAATCAGTCTACTACTCCACATTGGAGGTAAGAAAGAGTATGCATGGAATACAGGAGATCCATTAGGGCATCTCTTAGCATTACCATGCCCTGTGATTAAGGTCAATGGGAAACTACTACAACCCAATCCAGGCAGGGCTGCTAATGGCCAAGACCCTTCAGGAATGAGGGTTTGGGTCACTCCACCAGGTAAAAATCCTGCTGAGGTGCTTGCTGAAAGCAAAGGAAATACAGAATGAGTAGTAGAAGAAGGTAGTCATTAATACCAGCTACAACCATGTGACCAGTTGTAGAAACGAGGACTGTAATTGTCATAAATATTTCCTCTTTATTTTGTTAAGAATATATTTGTGCATGTATACACTTGTCCTAAGAAAATATCTTCACTTTACTTCCTCTCTTTTTCCTTTTATCATGTGACATAAGATTTGTTCACTTCAAATCAGAATTTAAGGGTTATTAACTTTATGTAATAACATTTAGGTTAAGGATTAGTGCACTTCTGGTTGTAGAAAGGATAGCTGTCTTATGTCAGGTATGATTATAACCCTATTATTGTCTTTATTTGAAGATTATGTATGATTTCAGGAGATGTATATGGGTTCAAGTTGACAAGGGGTGGATTTGTGATGGTTAATATTGAGTGTCAACTTGATTGGATTGAAGCACGCAAAATATTGTTTCTAGGTGTGTCTGTGAGGGTGTTGCCAAAGGAGATTAACATTTGAGTCAGTGGACTGGCAGAGGCAGACCTACCCTCAATCTGGGTGGGCACCATCTAATCAGCTGCTAGTGTGGCCAGAATAAAAGCAGGCAGAAGAAAGTGAAATGAGCAGACTTGCTGAGTCTTTTGGCCTTCATCTTTCTTCCGTGATGGATGCTTCCTGCCCTTGCACATTAGACTCCAAGTTCTTCAGCTTTTGGATTCTTGGACTTACACCAGTGATTTGCCAAGGACTCTTAGGCCTTTGGCCACAGACTGAATATTGCACTGTTGGCTTCCCTACTTTTGAGGTTTTGGGACTTGGATAGGCTTCCTTGCTCCTCAGTTTGCAGACTGTGGGACTTCGCCTGTGATCGTGTGAGTCAATATTCCTTAATAAACTCCCCTTCATATATACATCAATCCTATTAGTTCTGCCCCTCTAAGGAACCCTGACTAATATAGAAGGTTAACCATAGTATTTTAGGCTCCAATCTAAGTAGTAATAGGAGGCAAACCATTCCCGAAGTTGACCTTCATCATCACCATTGCATAGAGCAGCTACTATATGCAAAATTGTTTGCCTGGTACTAGGATGTAGGCTACATAGATGCATAGACATTTCTAATCTAACCTTGGAAGAGACAGGACATGCTCTGTGCTGCTTGAGTGTGGACAGTGAGTGAGCACTATGTGAGTTCACAAGCAGGAACAAACAATCACTCTTTGCTGGTGTAGTTGGAGAAGGTTGTTCTGAGAAGGTGAGACTTGAGTGAAGAAAAACAGAGAGGACCAGAAGGATCACAAGGGGAGGAAGCAATGTATACAAAGGTATAGAAGGAGGCACCACCTCAGTGACTCTGTTCACTCCATGGCTTCATGGTCCCCATTCACAACAGGCCCCTTTTAAGTGCAGTCCTTACTCCAGACCCACAATACTCTCTTCAGCAGAATTTACCCATCTCATGTCTCATGTACCCCAGGACTGCTTTCTAAAGAGGGGTAGTCAGTTATAGAAGAGAATGTGTGGTTAAGTATTAATATATTTACCCATTGATATAATAAGTATTCAATTTAATAAGAAATTTCTAGACATATTGTCATAAAACATTTCTAAAACTTTTGGAATTACAGGTATGGCAGAAACAGTTTATATTTGATATCTATTGCTGTGCAAAAAATTTTCCCAAACTTAGCAGCTTTGAAAAACAAACATTTCCTATTTCACATAGTTTCTCAGAGTCAGGAGTTCAGGAGCCATGTAGCTAGGTAGGTCTGGCTCAAGCTCTCTCATGAGGTTGCAAACAAGATACTGGCCTGAACTGTGTCCTCTGCAGCTTTGCCTGACTGAATAATCTGCTTCCAAGCTAACTCATGTGGCCATAGTGAGTGTCAGTTCCTCGAATCCTGGATCTCTCCATAGGTGAGTGTTCTTGCAACATGATATTTGGCTTCTCCCGGAATGATACAGAAATGAGTAAACAGGATGATCAGTGGCATTTATAGCTTAGTCTCTGACCCACCGTCACTTCTGCTGTATTTTATTGGCCACTCTGATCTTTCTTGATTCAATGTGGAAAGGAATTATACAAGAAAACCACTGGGGGCCATCTCAAAGACTGGCTACCATTGAGTTTATATTTCGGGGAGACTAGAGCTTTTAAAACATACAGGCCAGGCATGGTGGCTCACACCTGTAATCTCAGCACTTTGGTAGGCTGAGGCAGGTGGATCACTTGAGGCCAGGAGTTCAAGACCAGCTTGGCCAACATGGCAAAACCCCATCTTGACTGAAAATACAAAAATAGCCAAGTGTGGTGGCGCATGCCTGCAATCCCAGCTACTTAGGAGGCTGAGGCACGAGAATTGCTTGAACCTGGGAGGTGGAGATTGCAGTGAGCTGAGATCGTGCCACTGCACTCCAGCCTGGATGACAAAGTAAGGCTCTGTCTCAAACAAACAAAAAACATATACCAGAGGTCATACATTGAACTTTATATCCTAAAGACCTATCTTTGAAGCACCGAAAAATGCTGAATAAATATTTTAACAAATCTTTAAAAATGCATCACTACCTTTGCAGGAAAGTAAGAGATCAAACAAACAAACAAACAAACAAACAAACAAACAAATAGGGAAGCATGAATCCAGGGAGATAAGTGAGTGCGTGAACTGAAGACTCCCCCAGAGATGGATATCTACCCTCAAGTGACCCAGAGAGTTGATTTTGACATCTGCATAGCAAACATGAGACAAAGTCTAGGGGAACATGGGAAGTCAGATCAGAGACTCTCTTATAAATCACCTTATATCCCAAAGGATATCTTGTCAGTGACTATTTACACCAGGAATTTCTTCAAGTCCCTTTCCCCACACAAGAATAGAAAGGAAATCTGCCTGCCTCAACCCTGGCTCTAGATAGCAAGAGGAAACATCTGAGAATTTATTTGTTTCTATGTTTTTAAAATTATACTTTAAGTTCTAGGGTACATGTGCACAACATGCAGGTTTGTTACATACGTATACATGTGCCGTGTTGGTTTGCTGCACCCATTAACTTGTCATTTACATTAGGTATTTCTCCTAATGATATCCCTCCCCCCTCCCCCATCCCACAACAGGCCCTAGTGTGTGATGTTCCCCACACTGTGTCCAAGTGTTCTCATTGTTCAATTCCCACCTATGAATGAGAACATGCGGTGTTTGGTTTTCTGTCCTTGTGATAGTTTGCTGAGAATGATGGTTTCCAGCTTGATCCATGTCCCTGCAAAGGACATGAACTCATCCTTTTTTATGGCTGCATAGTATTCCATGGTGTATATGTGCCACATTTTCTTAATCCAGTCTATCATTGATGGACATTTGGCTTGGTTCCAATTCTTTGCTCTTGTGAATAGTGCCGCAATAAACGTATGTGTGCATGTGTCTTTATAGTAGCATGATTTATAATCCTTTGGGTATATACCCAGTAATGGGATTGCTGGGTCAAATGGTATTTCTAGTTCTAGATCCTTGAGGAATCGCCACACTGTCTTCCACAATGGTTGAACTAGTTTACAGTCCCACCAACAGTGTAAAAGCTTTCCTATTTCTCCACATCCTCTCCAGCACCTGTTGTTTCCTGACTTTTTAATGATCGCCATTCTAAATGGTGTGAGATGGTATCTCATTGTGGTTTTGATTTGCATTTCTTTGATGACCAGTGATGATGAGCATTTTTTCATGTGTCTTTTGGCTGCATAAATGTCTTCCTTTGAGAAGTGTCTTTTCATATCCTTTGCCCACTTTTTGTGGTTGTTTGATTTTTTCTTGTAAATTTGTTTAAGTTCTTTGTAGATTCTGGATATTAGCCCTTTGTCAGATGGGTAGAGTGCAAAAATTTTCTCCCATTCTGTAGGTTGCCTGTTCACTCTGATGGTAGGGAAACATCTGAGAATGTATAACTATAGATTAGCTTTATGCAGGCTTGTAACCAAATTTATAATATAAGTACAGTTTGAAAAATCCTAGATGAAAATGTGTTTTAATGTGGCTCAGAGTTGGGAGTACTCTCAAGTCTAGAAACAAGCACAAATCCTCACTGAAGGAACCACTGTTATCACAGGCCTCAGAGATTCCCACATCTTAGACATAATGAATAATATCTGGTATTTGATACCACAATAGGGTGACTATAGTCAATAACAATTTAACTGTACATTTAAAAATAACTAAAAGAGTGTAACTGCATTGTTTGTAACACAAAAGATAAATGCTTGAGAGGATAGAGACCCTATTTTCACTGATGTGATTATTACACATCATTATATGCCTATATCAAAATATCTCATGTACCCCATAAATATATACACTTACTAGGTACTCACAAAAATAAAAAATAAAAGATTTCCAGATATAAAATTCTATTGAACTGCAGCTCGCAATTGAAGGAAAGAATCATAATACACTCGGGAAAACAAGGTACCATGAAAAAGAAGTAGCAAAATACAACAAACAGCAGATGTAGGCTGACAAACACTTTAAATACTTGATTATTAATTATGAAATAAATTTAAGCATGTTAGATATGCTTAACACAGAAGAGATGCTATCAAATGGATGAGCAAAAAATAAGAGACTACTGAAAATGAACAGCCAAATAGAACCTCTGCAAATAAAAATTAAAAATCATTAAAAATAGAAACAAAATCCCTTTTTTTTTTTTTTCTAAGACGGGGTCTCACTCTGTTTCTCAGGCTGGAGTGCAGTGGCACAATCTTGGCTCATTGCAGCCTTGACCTCCTGGGCTCAAGCAATCCTTTTACCTTAGCCTCCCGAGTAGCTGGGACTACAGGTGTGCATCACCATGCCTGGCTAATTTATGTATTTTTAGTAGAGATAGGGTTTCACCACGTTGCCCAGGTTGGTCTCAAACTCCTGAGCTCAAGCAATCCACTTGCTCCGGCCTCCCAGTGTGCTGAGATTACAGGTGTGAGCCACCACGCCGGGCCAAAAATACATTTTAAAGTGTTATATTATTATTTATTTATTTTTGAGATGACGTTTCACTCTTATTGCCCAGGCTGGAGTGTAGTGGTGCAATCTTGGCTCACTGCAACCTCTACCTCCCTGGTTCAAGCGATTCTCCTGCCTCAGCCCCCCGAGTAGCTGGGATTACAGGTGCTTGCCACCATGCCTGGCTGATTTTGTATTTTTAGTAGAGATGGGTTTTCACCATGGTGGCCAGGCTGGTCTTGAACTCTTGACCTCAAGTGATCTGCCTGCCTTGGACTCCCAAAGTACTGGGATTGCAGCTGTGAACCACCATGCCCAGCCTAAAGTGTTATGTTAATACACAAATGGTATCTTTGGCCTTGCCTCTTGGGTCATAAAGCCTAAAATATTAATTATGTGGCCCTTTACAGAAAGCTTCTGCCAACTCTGCTGCAGATGCACCCTGCACAGGAGGTCCTTGGTCAGCCTGAGGTTGAAATGCAGTGGGGAGCCATGCAGGCCGACCACTGCAGAGCACGAGGCCTGAAGGATTGAGTAAGGGAAGCCAGGGAAGCGTCAGTAGGACACAGTCTTGGGCCTGGTAACAGAAAGGAGGCAAGTTTTATTTTCTTATTAAATATAGCCAGATGGACACCTCAAGTGACCCCAGAGGAGCCTTTGAACCCAGAGGGATTGCCTTCTTAACCTTTATATATGGGGTATGGGAAATAAATCTTAGTTGCCCCCAAGACTTGTGACCTCCAGTATGGAGGTCTGGGGCAGAATGATATTGGCCCATGCATATAATTATTAAGCAATTGTGGATGGTGTTCTGCAAATGGAGAAAGGGGAAAGGGGATTTTTTTTTTTTTTTTTTTTGCCTGAATCATATATCTCAGCTAAACATCCCCAGCTACTCTCTGATTGCCAAACGTGAACCAAAGCCAAGTGCTTCTTTGTGAAATTTGGCCATGTCAGTAGCGCCCCCAAACTCTGTTTCTGAGCACAAAGTGTTGACATGTTTGCCCTGGAAGGAGTGAGGGACGAGAGCACACTGTCAGTAAGGTTCAGTGATTGCCCAGAGTGGTATGAGCTGCAGGAAACCAGGAGGAAGTAATTTGGGGAAAAGAAAGCAAGAGGCTAACTAAGCCCATGCATTCTCTTTTGAAGGTGGAAGACACATCTGGTCTGTTCAATGCCTCCCTGAGGGTATGTGCTCATCTCATTTCTCTCCTGTTCTTTAGAATGAATCAGCAAGATCTAGTTGTAGAACAAGGAGATGGACTGTAACTATTTCCTTAGGCTCTATTACATGCCAGGTGTTTCACACATTTATCTATGATCTTCAAAGCAATTTCAGAGCATAGATACCAGCCTCCCTATTTTGCAGATGATGAAACTGAGGCCCAGATAGAAGTACTAAGGAAAGTGTCCAAAGCCACAGAGTGAGTTAGCAATGATTTAGGCAGGGGTTACTCCAAAACCAAACTCTTTCCTCCCCACCAAGCAGATGCAGCCAAGATATCTTAGTGGAAGCAACCCTACCCCTCTAGCAAGTACAGGCAAGTCCTGACTCCCTGTGTGCTCCCAAATGTCTCCAGTGACCTATCATGGCTCCTCCTGTTTGACTTGTTAGCTCTAGCCCCAGTATCACAAATGGATGAAATGACCAAAAAAAGAAAAAATAGTTTAGTTTTGTTATCAGGAAGTTTCTATGGAAATAGTTACGCAATGGGTGTGAAGAAGTGTAGAATGGTCTACTGAGATTTTCTGCTGGATTAGCTGTACCAAGTAGTTAGGCTCAGGGAAGCCAAGAAAACACAACTCTGAATCATGAGGGGTTGATGCCCAGCACAGAATAGAAGGAAGTTTCTAGTGGAGTATAGACCATGAATCAACCTGCCAACTTCCGAGTAAGGAGGACAGGCTGGAGGCAAGTGTGCATAGGCAGATTTTATTCCTAGGCTTCTTTGTTATCTTGAAAGCCAGGCCTAGTTTTCATCTTCTATTGGAGGGAATAAAACGACCATGGGAATTCTAGTGATGGGCAGAGGAAAGAGAGAAAAGCATTCTGATGGTTAGTATTATGTATCAACGTGACTGGGTAAGGGGATGCCCAGGTACTTAATTAAATGTTATTCTGGATGTGTGTCTGTGAGGGTGTTTCTGGATGAGGGTAACATTTGAATCAGTAGACTGAGGGAAGCAGATTGCCTTCCCCAGGATGGGTGGACCTCATCCCACCCATTGGAGGCTTGAATAGAACAAAAAGATGGAGTAAGGAAGACTTTGCTCTCCTTGCCTGTCTTTGAGCTGGGACATTGATCTTCTCTTGCCTTCAGTCTAGACACAGTTATTGGACTAGGACTTGGACTGGAATTTGTACCACTAGCTCTCTTGGTTCTCAAGCCTTTAGACTTGAGCCAAAATAATACCATTGGCTCTCCTGGGTTTACAACTTGTTGACTGTAGATTGTGGGAGTTCTCAGTCTCCATACCCATATGAACCAATGACTTATAGTATAACTCTTTATACATGTACATCCTGTTGGTTCTGTTTCTCTGGAGAACCCTGACTAACAGAAGTATTTTCTTCTCTCTACTACATTCTCTTTACTTTGATACCTCCATATGAAACTTGTGAATAGACACAGCCCTGGGAGAGATCGGGAAGAGAGAAAAGAATAACTCTTAGGCTCCATAAATAGTTTAAATGCTGGAAATTTAAGAGTGGGCTGGGAGTAATGGCCACAGGGCTGGCTTCATGGGAATGCAACCTAAGCATTTACTTAGGTCTTGAACTCAGGGTGGTCCACAGTTGGTTTTACGCTCTGCTGTTGCAGTCTTGAAATTCATGATAAGTTTTGAATAAGAAGTGCCACATTTTCATGTTGCGCTGGTTTGTACAAATGATATAGCCAGTCTTGAATGGACAGATGGTTGTGCCACTTGCAGAAATGTTGGTGACAGGGGCAGGAAGTGACGACAATGACTACTGCCACAGGTAGTGTTCCTCACTGCCTCCATTTCCCCTCCTTGCCATTAACTTAGGAGCCAGGGACTCTGATTTCTGCTTTAAACAGTTACATAAAGGAAAGGGGAAAATTCTGATTATACAAAGCTAAAGAAGCTACCCAATGACAAAATGTACACTGTAGTACCATTCTGGGCCCTCAGGCTAAGTTTCATTACCCTTTGTAACATAAAACCTCTCCAGCACTGACTAAGAAGTTAAGCAATGTGGATAGTCTGGCAAGGCCTCCACCTCCCCCACAGAGATAATTTGAGCTCCCCAGTGCAGAAGACGGTGAGTCAAGTGCATTTTGCTGGAGGTAGTCATCAGAGGGTACTAGGGAGTAGGTTCTGAGGCTGCCCTGATGCCTGCCAGGCTGGGCATGGCCAAATTGTGCATGTCAGTACCAGATCTGTAGACGCTTACAGCTCATGGGCTTCCTTGGGGAAATTTCAAGCTGATTGTAGTCAGTATTCTAGGCACATTTCAGTTTTATGTAACCTCATCTCCCATTCTCCAGGACATCTAGCACTCTCCAAATGACAAAACTTCCTAACTTTCAAAACAGTTTTTTAGATGTTTCATGACAGCTAGTAGCTGGTAAAGTCTGGGAAGTAACACCTTTCTATGGTCTCCTTGTTGCCTTCATTTAGATGCAAATTCTGCTCCTGTGATTCCTTTTGGCCTGCAACATAAAGAGTTTCAGTCAATGGATTTTTCCTCTCTTCATTCACAACACACATACGTGCACACTCACGCACACTAGTGCACTGAGTATTCCTCCCTCTATCTTTTGAAAAGAGTCCCACTTTTCTTGGGGAAACTCTTCTTTCCCTATTCCATGTGATCTGCTTAGAATGAATGATCTTTGTGGCTTTGTGTCATTCCAATGGTAGTGACCAGCAGGGCCTATGGATTAGTCCCAGTTACCAAGATTCCCAAAGCTGTTCCCTTCCCATCCTTCTGAGTGTTCAATACTATATTTTATTCTGTGAGCTATCCAGGACTTATTACTGAACTTCTTTTTTTGCTTAAGTTTATCAAGGTCCATTTCTGTGGTTTGGGATCAAGAAACCTATTGATTTGGAATGAAACACCATTTTGGAGGGCCTTCTCTACCCCAATTTTTCTGAAAGTGATAACATCATAATCATGTTGCTTAGCAGTCAAGTCTTTCCTAAGGAAGGATGATATATTGTATGGGATATTAAAAGCTTACTGCAGTTAGTACTAGCCTTATTCTTTTTACTGTAGGAATTCAGGTTGTATAAGCAGCAAAACTTCTTAACTTGCTATGTGATTTTTTAGGTGATTGGTAAAATTAAGCCAACTAGTAGAATAGATGGAGCAGTTTCCAGCCTGAGTACTCTTTAGAGGTTCGTGAAGCAAAAAGAGAGCATCCAGGCCCTCTGGTCCTTGCCAGCTGCAGCAGAGTGGGTGGCAAGAATCACTAGTATTAGGGCTAGCCAGATGCACAGACAGCTCAGAGGGAGGCATGCTGGGGGTGCAAGGATGGGGAGAAGGGAAGTTCAAACTCAAATGGTATTTCTTTGAGGTTGACTTGGAGACAATTCTGTTCTCTATCATTATGAATAAGTGGAGAAAAGTAAAAATGGCATTAACTAAATTTGATAATGGTACTAAATAAGGTAATATGCTTAGTAGTCCGGAAGACCAGAGAAAAATTAAAAATGATCTTAATGGTCTTATAGAAACAAGGTGGTATTACACAGGACCTGGACTCTCCCCTTAAAAAACTTAAAAGTATTTTAAGGGAATTGATCACTGACTGTTTAAAGAGGAAGGAAGGTAGCACAATATAATAGAAAGAGGGACTTTGGGGTGGCTGAGTGGGGTGGCTCATGCCTATAATCTCAGCACTTTGAGAAGCTAGGCGGGCGGATTGCTTGAGCTCAGGAGTTTGAGTCCAACCTAGAAAACATGGTGAAATTTTGTTTCTACTTAAAAAAAAAAAAAGGGTACCTGTAGTCCCAGCTACTCAGGAAGGTGAGATGGGAGGGTTTCTTGAGACAGGGGATGGAATTTGCAGTAAGCCAAGATTGTGCCACTGCACTCCAGCCTGGGCAACAGAGTGAGACCCTTTCTCAAATAATAAAAAATTAAGGAAAAAAGAAAGAGGGACTTTGGAGCCAAATAGATTTACATTCAAGCCCAACTCTACTAATAACATGATGATGTCAGCCAATGGCATTGATTAGGAATATCTTTGGGTTGCAAGTCACAGAAACCACAACCAGCAGTTGCTTTAGCCATAAATGAACATTTAATTATCTCATCTAACATGAAGCCTGGAGCTAGTTGGTACCAAATTACATGAAACAACTCATTGATATCGGAATACAAGCTTGGCATCTTTGCAATTTTCTTCATTGCCTCCTCTTAAACACAACATGGCATCAATGACTCTAGGCATTAGGTCCTCATATGACAGATTTTGTAACCCCAAAATCAGTATAGGTGGCTTTCATGGTCATTTGCAGACATGCACAGAGCAAGAAAACATTTGAGTCATCTGATAGATGTGTTCCCAGCTGGGGTCAAACAGGGTGATGCTGTGCCTTCTTGTTTCAGTTCTTCTACTGTTAACAAGTTTCCTTTTTGTGGTCTATTTAAGGCCATGTTTTCAAATATTTGTGCTTTATGTTGGTGATTTCACTGTTTAAAATGGCCTCACTGCATACTGCTGAAGTTCTGTTTGATTTCCTAAAGAACAGGAAGGCTGCAATGTGTCTTATGGAGAAAAGACATAAAAGACATACGTTAGATAAGCTTTTTTTTTTGAGACGGAGTTTCACTCTGTCACCCAAGCTGGAGTGCAGTGGTGCCATCTCGGCTCACTGCAAGTTCCACCTCCTGGGTTCACACCATTCTCCTGCCTCAGCCTCCCTAGTAGTTGGGACTATAGGCATCTGCCACCACACCCAGCTAATTTTTTTTTTTTTTTGTATTTTTAGTAGAGACGGGGTTTCACCGTGTTAGCCAGGATGGTCTTGATCTCCTGACCTGGTGATCTGCCCGCCTCGGCCTCCCAAAGTGCTGGGATTACAATGTGCCTGGCCAGATAAGCTTTATCCAGGCCTGAATTATAGTGCCGTTGGTGATTGAGTTCAATGTTAATGAATCAGTATTATATTTTAAATACAGTGTTTGAAACAGAAAAACATAATACAAGGTTATGCATTGATTGAGTGATGAAAACGTTGTGATCATAGGCTTGCGGGAACATAATCTTGTATTTCCCCTAGGAGCAATGGGTCAGTATTCACTAATTCAGTCTTCATGGCAACATTATAGATCATAACTACTGTAAGTAATAAGCATTAATTCTATATTTCTTAATACATGATATACATTATATAGACACATCTAAGTAGGTAGAAACTTCCTAATCAGAGGTAGAATTTCTGTAGACAAAATGGGTACATTTTTCCACACCTGGGGGACAGGGGAATTAAACATATTAAATATTGACTTTGATAGCAAATCAGGGAAAACATTGATATGAGTGAAGATTTCTGTTCAAGGATGTTGACAGCAGTGTGGTATGGCATGTTGAAAAATGGAATACAGCCTGATTGTGCAACCCTAAAAGATTGGTTTGATAAATTACTGTACTTCCAAATGATTATTATTCAGGCATTAAATGTGCTATGGAATAATATTTAATGATCTGGAAAATTTACAATGTATATGAATAGTATGTATGATATGATCTCAGTTTTCTATATTATGTGTGTGCAAAAAATAATAGAAGGACTGCCAGGAAATATGCAAAAAACACTAAAAGAGATCATTTTGGGATGGTGAAATTTTGAATGACTTTTAGTTTCTTCCTTCTGCTTTTCTGTATATTCCAAAGTTTCTAGCTATGTTAATAAAAATAAAAACAGTAGATGACATTCAAAATTATTTTAAAAAGCAATATTTCTGAAAACTTAGGTGATCACCTGTTGTCCTAGAACAGAGGGTGGGGTTGGGTGAAGGTTAAAGAGAATGGAGAAGGCATCTTGGCTGGTACTGAGGTTCAGAGACTAAGTTGGGAGATTTAGCAACTTCATTTATGACTGGCCTCTGTTTATCTTCACCTGGTTGAGGGCAGATAGAAGCTGAGAAGGGAGAATTTTTATCTGCATCTAGAAGTGGTGGGAAGATCTGCTTTTTATTATGGTAGGACAATGTTTAGATCCCATAGGGGGTTTGCTCTATCCTCTAGCTCACTCTGTATTAGTACTTTGGAAATGGAGAGTAAAGAGGGTGTCTGAGACTCTGTGTGAAGCAGAAGGTTAAAATGGATTCTCTGCTAAGAATAGCAACTGAAAGAAATTTGCCAAGTCCTGAATATCATAAAATGGGATGATGGATTATCTAATTTACTGTTTTTTTTTTTCTGGTTAATTTGATGGGGACCAATAGGCTAAGTCAAATGGTAAACCATATATATTTTAATCATTCTGAAAGAAATATGTGATTATAATGGAAATACAGAAGAATATAAGGGTAAAAATACCTATAATTCTTTGCACCAGAGAAAACCTCCAACCATGGTTAAAAACCAAGCTAAAATAATAACAGTTTTTGGCCAAGGGACCAGAATTAACCTTTGGTTAATTTAGTTTTATTCTTATCTTATTACACTACATTTCCACATTATTTTTAACCCTTAAGATAGCAAGCATTTTTTCATGTTATGATAAACTGCTTGACATAAACCAAATGTTTTCCTTACTTCCTTCCTATTTTTAGCCATTTAGCTTATTTCCTACTCCCCCCGCCCCTACCACCTTATAGTACAGGAAGTAGAAAGAAAACACCTTGGTTGGAAAGGATTTTCCATCCAGCTGACAGCTCTCTGACCTTGGGCAAGTCTATTCATTTCTATGATCTGAGTTTCCCTACCTGTAAAATGAGCTGGTTAAATTAGACAGGTTCTGAGGTCACTTTCGGTTCTGAAATTCAATGACTCTAAGGCATGCATGGTCTAGTGTTGACCCCTCTTCCACTTGTTATCTGATTCAGATCTTGCACTCTTTTTATTCATCCACCTATCTTTTCTATCCTCTTCTTGACCTAGACCAGTTCATGCCCATAGTTCCCGACTGAGTAAACCAAGTCTCCAGGTGCTTTTGTGAGACACATGTCCCATTCCAAGCCCTTTGCCAGAAGCCTGTAAACAATGTATCTGGGCAGCCCAGGACACAATCCTCTCCCAGACCTTGGAAGTTGATTTGTTTTGATGGCCTCTGCCTGGTGGAGATAAAAATGAAATACTATGCTCAATGGCTCACAAGATTAGTATGGTAACCACTTCATTAAATCCCAGCTACACTTTCCAAGGCCTTCCTGGCTTAGAGGGAATAGATGGTGAAGCCAGAGCCAATAGCATGTGCTTTAAATTCCAAAATAGCAATGCTTAATGCATGTTTGATTCTGACCCAGAAGGAAAGTTTCTAGCAGTTCTCTGAAAGTTATAGACAAGGAATCAATAATAAAATCAATGGCAGAACCTGCCTTCGATGACTGGGACAGATGCACTAGGTGGGAGATATATTCTGGATACTTTGGAAAGAGGAAGAACAGGAAGATCAGCATGGGCTATTTTGAGCATTGGTTGGTAAGTTTCAAGGTGACGATGTGACTGAATGGGGAAGTAGAAATGAGTAAGAGGCAACAGGCAGAGACAATTAATGAATTCAGAGCTCCAAAGGGAGTTCTAAAGGAGATACAGGCAGGGCTCCAATGGATGAAGTTCAGACCTTTGTTAGGTATTGTAATGACTGAGGGCAGGCAACACTTGGGTAAAACTATTCTCCCAAAGGAAGGGAGTTGTGACTTACTTGAATAATGGGTGATTTGACCAGACCCAGAACTCATTGTGGGGTAACTCCCAAGGGAAAATCTGCAAAACAAAGGAAAGCAAATATTTGGGCCCAAAAATCAAAATGAAAGAAATAGAAAGGAGCATACAAATATAATATTTATCCAAGAAACCAACAACATCTAAATTATGTAACAGACCATAGTCACGATTCCTATAAGAGTTCTGAAGGAAATATGATAATAATAAACATTTATATAGCACTTACTCTGTGCTAGACACTGCTATAAGCACTTTAAATTTATTACCTTATTTGGTCCTCATAACTGTTGTCATGTCAAGAGAAGCCTAGCTTGGGCCATTCACTTGGGAATTGATGTCAATCTAAATGATGGCAGAGAAGAACATGGTAGGCCAGGAATCAAAATCCATGAATATGGAAAAATCACCAGGAAACTTGTCAGGGACAAAGGATAGAAAATATCTTTGACTAAATTGCTGGGTGATTACTCATTCATTTGTTCATTCAACATTTATGGAGATTTGCTATAGTATATACCAATGTTCAACTTTAAAAATAATGCCAAATTATTTTAAATGGTGCTTATACTTACATTCCTACCAGCAATGTGTATACAAGATCCCATTTCTACTTATCATTCCAACACTTAATCTTGGTAGACTTTTTAATTTTTGATATTTCAACTAATTTTATAACAAATGATATCTAATTGTCCCTTCATTTGTGTTTCTCTTATTATTTTATAGATGTATGCTAGTAGACATATGCAAGAATGTTTACAGCAACACAATTCATAATAGCAAAAAGCTGGAGACAATTGGGATATTAATGCAAAACAATATTATATAGCGAAGAAAATTAAAGAATTACTGCTATGGATAAGAACATGAATGAATAAGATTGAATAATGAAAAAAGCAAGTTCCAGGAAAATATAGACAGTACAACCTTTTTATAAAGTTTGGAAGCCAGAACAATAAATTGGTTAGGCATTTATATATATATATATAAACTGATTTTTTTTAAAGCAATGAAATGAGAAAAAGAAAAGTCAAGATTGAAAAAAAAGTGAATTCAAATTCTCAGTGCAGGGAGGATGGGGTAAAGAAAGAGCACACAGGGATGAAGTTATTGACAATGTTCTCATTCTTGGGCTGGATGGTAGGCTCACAGATGCTCATTATAAAAATAATTAAATTCAAAAGAATAAATAAAATGAAAGAGGGTCATGCATGGATTACTTTGATGCTGTTTCATGAACCAAGGATTATGAATGTTCCAATTCTGTGAGCCTGATTCAAGAGAACAAAATAAAACATTTATTGAGCTCCTAGTGAGAGCTGGGCCCTATGCTCTAGATTTATTCTGCAATAACAAGCAACTATAAACTCTCAGTGAGTTGCCACCACAAAGGCTTTTTCCTTCCTCAAACTGTATGCCAACTATGAGTCAACAGAGGGCCTTGGCTTAGGGAATCAGGCTGATAGAACAACCAACATCCTGGGTGCTGCTGGTTACTGTATGTTGATCTCTGCCATTCAATAGATTCTCAGACTTTTCTCTAACTTCTAAGCCTAGGTTCAGTGAAGGGAAAGAAAGGAGTTGAAAAGGGGCAGTTGAGAGGAATATCAAATAAGACCAAATAAAACATTAGGGTTAAACACTTGGTTGAAATACTACTAAATGTGGAAGTTTCAATTCTCAACAGTATTTTATTCAAATATACACACATCCTCTCCTATGCATTGAGGTCACAATTTCCATAGTCCATTCAGTATCTAGCTCTGTTCATACTTATTAAAAGGGTTTTTCATTGGTGGTTCCCATCAAATGCAATCAAAATGATTCTTTGTTCTTTTACACAATAGCTAAGCTTACTCAGGTGTCTCTGCTAATTTGTTTAACTTTTCTTTCGTAATCCTTTCAAATCAATTAGTAACCAGTATATAGTTGAGCCTTACCAAATTCCAAGCCAATTTAGAGATTTCTCAATGTGGGTAATTGAGTGATTATTATTGTCCGTTTTTTCTTCAGCTAGGTTTATTCTCTGGTAAATGTGTGCAAGTTAGGGTTCTTTAACTTAGTAGGACTCATTTTCACTCGCTCCCTAATTAATCCATGTGCATAGGTTCTGTCGTCAGTTTCTGGTTACCTAATGAGAATTATTATAGTTTAATCACTTTTTATTTTAGTGTTTTATTTATTGTTCAGTCACTTTTTCAATAAACATTTGCACTCATACTTTTCTATAAATTACATGTATAAAACACTAAATATACACTTAGCATGGTGTATAGCTCTCCATAACCATTAATGTAATTATCAATAATTAAATACAATTGAGACTGTACTTAGAAACTATCACCGCTGACCACTGTGACAATGGATTTTACAAGCTTCCCTACTCCAGCATTGTAACTATTTGTTCTTAAGTAACAGCAATTTTGAAACAAAACAAGGGGACTCACACAGAGTTTAGCGTGAGGTTGGGGAAACTGTATAGGAAAAGGAAAAAGTTCCTTGAGAATTTGTTGAAAATTAAGACCATCTTCTTCCTCATTCTCTTCCCCAAAAGTTGCCCACCTGTTGGACACAGGTGTTGCTCTAGGAAAATAATCATCCATGGATGTGGGTGGAGAAGTCTCTGAAAAAGTCTTTGCAGCCAGCCACGGTGGCTCACGCCTATAATCCCTGCACTTTGGGAAGCCAAGGCAGATGGATCATCTGAGCTCAGGAGTTCGAGACCAGCCTGGGGAACGTGACAAAACCTTGTCTCTACCAAAAATGCAAAAAATTAGCCAAGTGTGGTGATGCACACCTGTAATCCAAGCCACTCAGGAGGCAGACGTGGGAGGATCACTTGAGCCCAGAAGGCAGAGGTTGCAGTTAGCCAAGATTGCACAACTGCACTCCAGCCTGGGTGACAGAGTGAGACCCTGTCTCAGAAAAAAGAAAAAAAAAAAAAGTCTTTGCAGAAGTTTGTGGGCATGTTCTTTTGGCTGTCATAACCATTCCTTCCCTTTTGAAATATTGCCCTATCACCCTGCATGGTAGTGAGCCTAAGAAACAATGGGAAAATGCTACTATAGCTTTGCAAAATAAATTTTCAGCTTGTGGCAAAAGGAGAAAAATGTCTATTTTTTCTTTCCTACTTTAAAGGTGTGATATCAGGCCTGATATGCTTGCTTTGCCCAATTCCCTCACTCTGATCTAATTTACAAAGCCCTGCAGCTCTCTTCTGCACCCTTTCCCATATGAGGTTATTTATCGTCCTTAACAGTCAACTCAATTTATTTGAGGAGAATGCTCCCCCAAGCTCTGTTGATAATCTATTCCAGTACTGAATTACTATTGTAATCACAAATTTCCTGAAATAGCTTACATTTCTCATACAGCTGCAACCACCTCTCCCTCTGCCTAAAACCTTCCATATCTTCCCATTGCTCTTGTCCCTGGAGGACCCACATGATCCAGCTTCTGCCTGTCTTTCCAGACTCACTTTGGGCCCCTGAACTATCCCCACACAGCCCCTTTGCTCTCATGGCTCTAGTCTATTTCCTTCTCCTGGAGCTACCTCCTCTTCTTTTTTTTTCTTTTGAGACAGAATCAAATATCTCAGCTCACTGCAATCTCTACCTCCTGGGCTCACACTATGCTCCTGCCTCAGCCTCCCGAGTAGCTGGGACTACAGGCATGCACCACCATGCCCGGCTAATTTTTGTGTTTTTAGTAGAGACAGGGTTTCACCATGTTGGCCAGGATAGTCTCGATCTCTTGACCTCGTGAGCCTCCTGCCTTGGCTTCCCAAAGTGCTGGGATTACAGGCATGAGCCACTGCACCTGGCCCCTCCTCTTCTACCTCTAAGTAATTGTACTTCCATTGGTTTCATCTTAAACCCCATTTCCTTAGGGAAGCCTTCCCTAGCCCCATATATATGGTCAAGCTTTCCATTGTACCCAGACCAGTAATTACACAGTAATTTTGAGTTTATTACTTATGTAATTATCTGTTTAATGTCTGGCTTTCTCTTTATGCTGTAAGTTCCATTAGGGCAAAAATCACATCTGTCCTATTTATTATTGTATTCTTTGCCTCTTCCACAGTGCCTGGCACATAATAGGTAATTACTATATATTTGTTGAATGAATTAATATACAATTGGCTAAATGACTCTTTCCTCAATGAACCTCTCCACTGGTCGAATTGGAGGGTGATGATCACTTTCCTGATTGATGATCTATTAATGCAATCCTAAAGCCACCTCTGATAACATCTTAACTTCATTTTGAGATAATGATAGATTCACATGCAACTGTAAGAAATAATACATATACTCTTTGCCCAGTTTCTCCCAGTTGGCAACAGCTTGCATAATTGTAGTACAATAGCACAACCAGGAAATTGACATTGATAGAATCCACCAATATTATTCAGATTTCACCAGTTTTACATGTACTCATTGTGTGTGTGTGTGTGTGCACGCGCGTGTGTATTTAGTTTCATGTAATTTTGTCATATGTGTGGATTCATGAGATCGCCACCACAGTTAAACATATAACAGTTCCATCAGAAGGGTCCCTCATGTTTCCCTTTCAGAGCTACAGCCACCTCGCTCCTTCTGCTTCCCTCTCCCAGTGTCTGGCCACCAATAATCTGATCTCTATATCTATAATTTTATCATTTTAGGACTGTTGTATAAATTAAATCAAACAGTATATACAGTTCTGAGATTGGCTCTTCTCATTCAGCATGATTCCTTTTTGAACCACTTAAGTTATTGCATAGATCAGCAGTTTTTTTCTCTTTGTATTGCAGAGTACTATTCCATGGTATGGATGTATCACAGTTTGTTTAGCCATTCAGTTAGGACATTTGGGTTGTTTCCAGTTCTTGGTCATACAAATAAATCTGCTATGAACATTCATGCTCAGTTTCTTGTGTGAAAATAAGTTTTCATTTCTCTGGGATAAATGCCTATGAGTGCATTTGCTGGGTCATATGGTAAGCATATGTTTAGTTTTTAAATAAATTGCCAAACTGGTTTTAGAGTGGCTGAACCAAGACATTTTCACTAGCAATATATGGATGATTCAGTTTCCTCACGTCCTTACCAGCATTTGGTGTTATCACTATTTGGTTTTAAATTTAGCTATTCTGACAGTTGTGTAGTGATATCTCACTGTAGTTTTATTTTGCATTTCTATCATGACTAATGACGTTGAACTTTGACGTTTTGTGTACTTATTTTGCCATCTGTATATCCTCTTTGGTGAGATGTCTGCTTGCCTTTTGCCCCTTTTCTAATTTTTGAATTTTTAATTTAATTGTTGAGTTTTGAGAAATCTTTATGTATTCTAGACACAAGCAATGACTGGTCCATCACCTTCATTTCTGGAAGAGGAAACTGAGGGTCAGAGAGGTAAATCAACTTTACCAGTCATTCAGTAGTTGAGAAAGGAAAGGCCCCAGTCTCTGTCTCCTGAGCCTCCATGCAGTGCTCTCCCCACATCTAGCCTTGACCTCTGTCAGACTCAGTGACCTGCACTCTATTTAGCTCACGCAATTTCTCTGAACCAAACACTCCTTTTGTGGGCACACAGCCTTCCAGGGTCAGCTGTCTAAAGTTGGTGCTCTTATGGAATATTCCCAAAACAAGAAATTATAAGTGTTTGAGATGATGGATATGCTAATTACCCTGATCTGATCACTATATATTATATAGAGAGATATCACAATGTACCCCATGCATATCTACAAGTATTATATGTCAATTAAAAAAAAAACTAAAAGAAAAATAAAGTTAGTCCTCTACGGTTTCTTGCCTGTGTTAATTATCCCACATCCTTATACTATAAAGAGAGCAGCTGTAGAGGGTGCTGAGATGGGCCACCTAGGTGCCCAGCTAGCACCAAAAGACTCTATTCCCCCAGCTGCAGAGAGTATTGTCCACAGAGCCTTCACCTATCAATTCTCTTCAGAATTATTTAAAGAGGGTCACCTCACCCAAATTCAAGACCCCCTTCCTGGGTCAGCCTGTATCCAGTGACTAGTGGTAAAAAGCTGAAAAGGCCGGCCAGATTCTGCACAATTGTGTTTGGCCATCTCACATTCAGAGCTTTTCAAGGAGTCCCCTGAAGCTTTGTTGAACCTGCAATACAGCCCAACTTCTTTCTCTACCCAGCCCTGCTTCCTCTCCTCTTCCACAGGTATGAACTGCAAGAGCAATCTGTAACACATTTCCTGAGTATGACTCTCTATCACTAAGTTTGCTTCCTAGGAACCCAGCCTGTGATAGTCAGTGCCAGGAATAGTTTGAGAAACCAGATGCTAAGATGGGATTTTTGGAGCTGGCTCACTCACTGCTCATTGGCAATGACGACCTTACCAACCGTCAGATAGCACCTGGCACAAGGTAGCATTGCACTTATTAACACTCGTACTGGAGGTGAACTGGAAATGTATTCCAGAACGAAGAGAATGCTCCAGCAGTTGCCATGCATCAGGGATTTGTAGGGGGAAAAGTAACTCTAAGTGGAAGTGGCTGGCTATTGCTAAGCACAATGGACAGTTTAGGAACTAAATAATGAAAAGCTGTGAGGGATTAAGCAGCAACTAAAGGCTAAGTGTGAAAGCCAGACAACTTCCTTGGTAGTTTATATAGAAGCTCTCCGCTGGTCACAGTGGCTCACTCCTGTAATCCCAGCACTTTGGGAGGCTGAGACAAGCGGATCACTTGAAGTCAGGAGTTCGACAGCAGTCTGGCCAATATGGTGAAACCCCATCTCTACTAAAAATACAAAAAAAATTTAGCCAGGCCTGGTGGTGCATGCCTGTAGTCCCAGCTACTCGGGAGGCTGAGGTGGGAGAATTGCTTCAACTTGGGAGGCGGAGGTTGCAGTGAGACGACATTGTGCCATTGCACTCCAGCCTGGGCCACAGAGCGAGACTCTGTCTCATCTTCTATAGCCTAAGGGCCGAGAACTTGAGGCCCCTGATTTAATCACAAGATTAACAGGGTGAGGAGGCAGTGGCTCACGCCTGTAATCCTAGCACTTTGGGAGGCCAAGGCAGGAGGATCACTTGAGGTCAGGAGTTTGAGACCAGCCTGGTCAACATGGAGAAACCACGTCTCTACTAAAAATACACAAATTAGCCGGGCATGGTGGCAGGTGCCTGTAGTCCCAGCTACTCAGGAGGCTGTGGCAGGAGATTTGCTTGAGCCTGGGAGGTGGAGGTTGCAGTGAGCCGAGATCACACCACTGCACTCCAGCCTGGACAACAGAGTAAGACTCTATCTCAAAAAAAGACAAGACAAGACAAGACAGAAAATAAAAGAAAAGAAGAAAAGAAAAGAAAAGAAAATTAGCAGAACTCCCAAGAAGGCTGAAATCTCAATTTGGGCAAATCTGCAATGTTAAAATCCTCACCTTGGTTGGAAAGGAATAAGACCCTGACACACGAGATGTTGCAGGATTTTGCAGTTAAAAAAGCTTAAATTCTAGGATTTCTCTATAGGCCCTGAGCTCCCAGAAGGGGTTGATTCCTTCCCATTAAGCACCAGTGCTCTTCCCACCTTTGAAGATCATGCAGTGTTCTCTCCCCTGTAGGAAAACATGTGTCGGTCTCAGAATCTGTCCCTGACTTTCCTGGTCACCAGGACAATAACTAGGGTTAAGTCACAGTCTGACTTGGCTGAGGACTGAGCTGGGCCAGATAAAGGGGGAAAGGTTCCAGAGCTTTAGGAGCTATTAGGACTCAGCCAGCAAGTGCCTGTGGGAGCCAGGAGACTATAAATGAGACTGGATCGGTGGTGTCAGAATATAAAACTGAATGATGGAGGATTTATCAATTTGAGAGAATTATGGAATACAGGATTTCACATTTTGTCTAGGACATCTGCAGATGACATGAACATGCTACTAAATGGCTCCCACAGGCACGGAAAAAACACACATTAGGCCGGGCGTGGTGGCTCATGCCTGTAATCCCAGCACTTTGGGAGGCCGAGGTGGGCGGATCACGAGGGCAGGAGATGGGGACCATCCTGGCTAACACTGTGAAACCCCGTGTCTACTAAAACAAACAAACAAACAAAATTAGCCGGGTGTGGTGGAGGGCGCCTGCAGTCCCAGCTACTCGGGAGGCTGAGGCAGGAGAATGGTGTGAACCTGGGAGGCGGAGCTTGCAGTGAGCCGAGATGCGCCACCGCACTTCAGCCTGGGAGATAGAGTGAGACTCCATCAAAAAAAAAAAAAAAAAACACATTAAGTGAAGTAGAAACACATTATTGTCATAGCTATGGTAGAAGGGCTGAAAAGACTCAAAAGCGGGCACTCTGATAGATACATTACTTAAGGCTGGAAAACCCACCAGATGTCTATGCTCCACGGAGGTCCCATATGATACACCATTGGTCAAAGCACTAAGAAATGTGGATAAAAGTGGCACCAACATCATTAAGAAGGTCGGAGGTAGCTACTGTCTGCAGGTCGGGGCTGATCGTAGGAGATGAAGTTGCAGAGCTGTACTCTCTGATAACAACGGTGACGGGAGGTTGTCATGACAGTAGCTGCAGGTGGTGCCACTGAACCTGTAGAAGCCAGGTGGGCAAAACTTACCATAAAGAGGGTCAAGGACAGAGGAATAGCCAGGGAATCTGACCCACAGAGAATGATGGAGATGGTTAGCACAACTCTTTATCACTACGGGCAGGCAACAAAGTCACTACTCGATCGACATGACAAATTAAATCAAGAGCAGATGATCAGAATGCTAACGGCAGTTGCTCCAACAAAAAGTCATAACCTGTCTCCCAGTTCTAGATCTGAGCCAGTTTTCAAACCCAGAACCCACTGAAGGAGAGGTTGGGTCCCAAAGAGAAAGAATTCTGCAATACCACATGAGTTAACAGCTAATGATTCCCTCAGTACTTCCCAAAGGAATCTGCATTTATTCAGGAAATTGTATGCTGTGAAAAAGGGAATATCCAAAGATTTCAAGACCGGGCACAGGGTCTGAGTTCACTGATACACAGAGATTCAGAGCATCAACATGAGCCGTCTGTTAGAGGAGGGGCATATGACACCTGGTACTAAATGGATCTCTGTCCACATCTGAATTGCAATGTGCCATCGGGTTCACAGACTCAGTCAGAAGTCCTTTTTCCAGTGCCTGAATGTATAGTTGGAGAAGACACATTTGGTAGCAGCACAATCTTCACACTGGTTCCTTGGCCTGTGGATTAAAGCTATTGTAGTGAGGAAGGCTAGATGGCAACCTCTGAACTTACACCTCTGTAACAATCAGCGAATGAATGAGGCAAAAGTCTGAACTTGATTAAAGAATGAGTTGGCTTAAAACAGTAATTCAAGTCACAATTCTAGCAGAGGTAATTAACCCTGAATATCTGGAGGAAGTGTCACTTCTGTTGCACAATGGGCAGGGAGAAAAATGTTTGTCACGCAAGGAATTCATTCTTCATACTCCCTTGTTTGTTATTGATGATAAATGGTTAAATGCAGCAGCAGGGGACCAGGGACTGAGATTCCTTGGGAATGAGGATCTGGATATGCCTTGGGTAAGCCACCACAATCAGCAGAGGTGCTAGACAAGAGAAAGGGGAGTCAATACAATTGTTGAAGAGGAATGAGATCATGGATATCAGTTGTAACCCTGAAACCAGCTGCAGTGGCCAGGGCTGCAAGGGCCAAGGCTGCAGCTTGTCCTACAAACCATTTCCTCTTATGTTTCCCTTAGGAGAATCTTTACCATCCTCCAACCTCACAGCTGGAATCCTAGAGGAGATGCTTCTAGAACTTAAAGTAGTGGATCCAGGCAGTATAAAGGAGAGACCAGAGTGGATGCTGTAATGTACTGCCTGCATCCCTCATCAGCACTGGAGGACTTACTCCTCTACCTGCTGGTAGTGCTATGTGCAGATACCCTCAGCTGTCAGCCCTCTGCAATATTTGTGCTGACGGAAGAGAGTTGCCTTGCCCCAGGTTACATGTCTCCCTTCTGTAGCAGCCCATATCCAAAGATGAAAGAAAAGTGTTGTTGGAGAATACCGGCTTCTTAGTGATTGCTGTGTCTTCTAAACACAGGAAGTACTTTGTACATGGTAGTTTATTAATACTTTTCTGTTTATTTGAGCTGGAAGCTAGTAAGGAATAAATGTCTGAAGACTTCAGGGTTAATACCAAAGTGAAGGGCCAACTGACCTTGCAGAGAAGCCTCCAGGCTTGGGGGTGGCTGCTATGGTGAAATGGTAGGTTGGAGCTAAGGAATTTACTAAGCAGGATTGTCTACAAACACTGTTCAAATTAATTCCCTTATTTTCTGAAACCTTACAACACTTGCAGCATATGCCATAAAATGTCATAATTGAGTATCATTTGATTTTGCTCACTCTTGTTTTATTTGTGATCATCTTTTTCCTCTAAAGTACATATGCTGTTCCAGAGTAAGGCTCAGTTTTCAAATACGCCTTTTTAAAAATTATTTTATAGAGACGGAGTCTTGCTATGTTGCCCAGGCTGGTCTTGAACTCCTGGACTCAAGCTATCTTCCTGCTTCAGCCTCCCAAATTACTGGAATTATGGGCATGAGCCACCATGCCTGGCCAAACATGTCTATTTTCTACAGCACCTGGAATGATGCTGTGGTCTTAGAAAATGCATATTTGCCAGTCAGCTGAACTCTAACCCAGCTAATGGGTATGGTTTATATCCACAAATTCCCAGGTGTGGTGCAAGGCAGATTTTCACTTTAATTTGCTGGGTTTCTCTCCCCTCCCCTCCCCTCCGCTCCCCTCCCCTCCCTTCCTCTCCTCTTGTCTTGAGACAGGGTCTTGCTCTGTTGCCCAGGCTGGAGTGCAGTGACATAATGACGGCTCACTGCAGCTTTGACCTGGCCTCAATTGATTGTCCTACCTCAGCGTCCTGAGTAGCTGGGACCACAGGCACACACCACCACACCTGGCTAATTTTTTATATTTTTTTGTAGACACAAGGTTTTGCCATGTTGCTCAGGCTGGTCTTGAACTCCTGGGCTCAAGCAATCCATCCGCCTCGGCCTCCCAGAGTGCTGGGATTACAGGCATGAGTCATCGGGCCTGGCCTTGGCATCTGTCATATGGAAGAACATTGGGAGAGGAAGGTGCTGCAGATGAAGGGGAATACCAACAACGCTATGATCCTAAAGGTGACAAATTGGGAGAGGAATATCTCTCTCGTCTCTCCTTCCATTTCAGTTTCTCTCATTACCTTTGTTTGAATTCATCCCAAGGAGTAAAAGGTTTCTATTGCCTTTCTGGATCTGGAGTGAGTCAACATTACTATTTTTGTTTGTTTGTTCATTTGTTTAGCAAAGCCATCTTCCACATTCCTAGAATCATGAGATCTTGGACAGAACACACTCAATTGAAGGTTAGGGCCAGGGGGAAGAAGGCGTCCTCCTCTTTGTTTTTCAGACTTTTGAAATTGATTCAATGCATAACATTTGGTTTCCGTTGTTGTTTTTTTTTAATTTTTAGATTATGCAAATTGAAATGACACTCAAGGAATTTTTTGGGCTGAACTCTAAAATTTCCTGTTTTCTGGCTTCAGGATTTTTATTTACAGTCCATTAAAAAACTTGCCTCAAGGCCAGACATGGTGGCTTATACCTGTAATCTCAGCACTTTGGGAGGCCAAGGTGGGTAGATTACTTGAGGACAGGAGTTCAAGATCAGCCTGGGTCAACACAGGCTGACATAATCCCTACAAAAAATTAAAAAAAAACAATTAGCCGAGAGTAGTGGTGTTTGCCTGTAGTCACAGAAACTTAGGAGGCTGAGATGGGAGGATTGCTTGAGCCCAGGAGTTTGAGGCTGCAGTGAGCTATGATCATGCCACTGTACTCTAGCCTGGGTAGCAGAGCAAGACCCTGTCTAAAAAATAAATAAATAAAAAATAAATAAATTTTAAAAAGAAGAAGAGAAATAATAAAATAAAATAAAACTTGCCCCAAAGAGTATGGTCTGACAGTATGAGAATGAGACCTTGTCCATTCTGCTCTACATTTTAAGGCCATCCTGGGCTGATTCTTGTTTTTGTGATGCATTTTTCTAGTTGTGTCACTGTAACAAATATTAAAATAAATGAGGTGTGGTGAATCTCCAGGCTTGTCAACTAAGTAAATAATTTTTGTGAGTGATGCAATAAAATCAACTAGTTTAAGGAAGAAACAACTGGCATCTACAGTTCTCTAAATATCTCTAAAGTAAAAACAAGCTCCCTGGATTTTAAAATATAAAATCTTAGTTTATCCACATTTTGATGTGCTGTGGACACTCTGAGAAAGCAGGTATTGTTCATAGGTTTGTTTTACTGTGGTAGGAACTTTGGTATTAAAAATCCTGGACTCTAATAATAATTCTATTAGATGCTACCTATATAACTGATTACTTGTTCTCTCATTGGCTTAAATTTCTTATTTATAAAACTGAAACAAAAGAGATGATATTTTAGGTTCTTGTAAAGATTAAGTGAAAACCTAAATCATCTGTGCACAGCACTGCACATAGCAGGTACTCAGGAGATGTTAGTTGCCTTTTTTCCACTCCTATTTTCATGAATGCTATGGAGAATGAACCAATAATGTGGATGATGGAATGACATCTAGGTGACAGACAGTAACTTAAAATACTACAGCTTTCTCTGTTGACATTTCCAGTTGGTCTCAATTCTAGTCCCTGCCCCATGCTCACCAGTAGAGAAGAGTTCAGAGACAGAATCCTAAACTCCAAAGGACCCTGAGGAGTTGTTGAACTTTAGAGAGTACAGATCCCCTAAATTTCCCTAGAGCTAAAAAAGAGGAAGGAAAACGAAGGGAGGTTGAAGAGATGACACCTAGTACACCTTTCATAAGTTAAACAACCTTTCTCTGCAAGGGCAGACCCAATGACTTGTGGCTGGTGACACTAGGATTAGAACACAGGCTGTACATTAGGCGGTTAGCAGCTGTTGCCAAGTCCACTTGGAATGCCAGTATGGACAGACCTTCTTATCTGCAGCCCCAAGATGGGGCTTGGGGCAGCTGTGGTCCTCCTCCATTATGAGGTTGATTGCCCCAGGGCTGATAGGAAGAGGTTAGAGGAGGTAGACCCAGAAAGAGTTTGGGGGTAATGAGAGCTTTATCTGAGCTTCTTTGGGGGCAAGAAGACTTGAATGAGTTGGGGAGGCTACCTGCAAGTGTGCATGAAGGGAAGGGGTGGATGGCAGCAAGCCACAGGTGCTAACATAGAAATGATGCTCTTTAGCACCCCACCAGCAGGGAAGATAGAGACTGGGAACCTGGCAACAATATTTTCCTCTTTCCTTCCAAGGATTTTTATAGGCTGTATGCTGATTATAATATGTACATACCAAAATATTATC
Source organism: Homo sapiens (assembly GCF_000001405.40). Taxonomy (NCBI): domain Eukaryota; kingdom Metazoa; phylum Chordata; class Mammalia; order Primates; family Hominidae; genus Homo; species Homo sapiens. The sequence goes on along the minus strand of NC_000006.12, from coordinate 47,149,391 downwards.
CATAACATTTTCATTTTAATCTGATTTTACTGGTATGAAAATGATAAAGAAGAGACGAAAATTTAAAAAGCTAGCTGTGATACAACGTAGGTATTAGATAGAGTCCAAGCAGCTGAACATTTACACAGAGAGATAAGACTTAAGTACCCAAACCAATAAAAAAAAATTGCATGAGTTAAGGACAGAATGCTGTAAGCAGAAAAGTCAAAGAAACTAAATTCCAAGTTCACTGTCAAGATAGGTAGTGTGGTGTGGTTGAAAGTCCTTGGAACTGGAAAAAAAGGATATGGTATCTCAGCTTTCCTATGCATTAGGCTAAGTGACTGCTCAGTCTCTGTCTTCCAGGCTGGGCGCAGTGAGTGGCTCACGCCTGTAATCCCAGCACTTCGGGAGGCTGAGGCGGGCGGATCACCTGAAGTCAGGGTTTTGAGACCAGCCTGGCCAATGTGGTGAAACCCTGTCTCTACTAAAAATACAAAAATTAGCCTGGCGTGGTGGCAGGTACCTGTAATCCCAGCTATTTGGGAGGCTGAGGCAGGAGAATCGCTTGAACCAGGGAGGCAGAGGTTGCAATGAACCAAGATTGCACCATTGCACTCCAGCCTGGATGAAAAGAGCAAAAGTCCATCTCCAATACAAAAACAAACAAACAACAAACAAAAAACCCATCTGTGGAATGAGGTTAGCTCTGCTAAATAGGGTTGTTCTGGGGATTGAATGAGTTGATACATGCTGTACAAGTTAGGATTCTTGGTTGCAAGCAACAGAATTCAGTTTGGATCAGCTTAGGCTAAAAAAGAATTGACTTGAAAATGGGTAACTTACAGTGTTACCCATTGAAAATGAACAATTTACAGTGTCCATCAAGACTGGTGAGGTGGGATTAGAGGCTATGTAGTCAGAAACACCTAAAATTGGATAGGAGATCTGGTCTGGGGGGTAAGGATGGGCACAGAACTTGCCCTTCTCTCAGTCCCAGGACACTAGACACTGCTGCTAGAACTCCCCCTCACTGCTGCCTCAGGAAACTGGACCCGGCTGCTAACATCCTTGCTGAAATGGAATCAGTGTGGTATCTGCTTCTTCATGCCACTGGCTTCCAAAGGAGGTGGCTCTGATGACAATATCTAAGTCACACATGGCAGGCCCTTCCTTCAAGGGAGTCCATGAGAGTATGTCTGGTGTGTATAGTGAAGAATTTCCCAATCATAAGAATGGTGTTGAAAAGTGCTGGGAGATTGAAACAAAGTGGCAAATGTTTATATACATGTATGAGTCTGCAGTTCATATTTGAGAGCAAGGTCTTTAGTTTGGCAATGAGGAGGGCATAGACACAGCGGGAAGGGGCCGCTTTTGTGGCTGTGGGCTGGTGAAACGGCTAAACATAGAGCAGTGCCTCTGGTCTCACTGATTGGGGAAAGTCGAGTTTGATTCATGTTGATGGGATTCGTTTAAACTCAGTGTTAATTTTCTTCTTCTGCAAGAGGCTGGCGACCTAGTTTTTAAGGGCAAGCAGAGGCAGCTGTATGATTAAGTCCACTAAATAATTCAGCTTGCTTTTTAACATCAGCCTAAATCCCCACTTCCATTCTTCAGGTAATCATAGCAGTATAATTCACAAATAGTGCATTGTTATACCAGCCTTGTTATAGAAAAATACTCATTTAGAATCCAGGCTGTTTCTCGTAACCAGCATCTGTTCAAAAAGAAAAAAAAAAAATCCCAAAAAACTGTTCTCCAAGAAAAGAAAGAGAAACAACCAACACCCACCTGTGATGTTTGCTTAGTGAAAAGCAAATATATTTTTCTTCTCACTCTTCCTTTTGTTAGCAAATAAATAAAGAGGGGACTGAGATTTCACATGCTGGCCTGACTCTGCAGTGACTAGAGAAGTGAGGACAATTCCCATGGGTATAATCGAATTTTTTCCTCTTTTTTTCATCGTGGTTGACCAAAGTGATTGATGGCTTTTGGTTCCTGCTTAACCTAACGCTTTCCTCTACCGACTCTCTAAACTTAACACTGTTTGAACATTCAAAGGTCAGCATAATTCTGCTTGAGGATTTGGATCCAAAGTAAAGTTTGTGTGGTTAGTTTTGCCAGCATACCCTCAGATCTGGGCTCTGTCTTGGCAGCAAGTTGAAATTTGACACATGTCTAGAGCAAATTACAAAATGGCAGTGTGACCTGCACTGTAATTCCCCAATTCCAGGCTCTCTCAGGGCACAGTAAAGTGGGTCATTTGTCTTGAGTTGGATGCTTTAGGGAAAACTTGAACTTGTCTGGGGCCCTGGCAGGTGAGGGTAATAGTTGAAGGGGAGCAGTGAATAGAAGGGAGGAAGCTTTATCAGCTGTGAAAAAAGGTGGTGTCTTGTGGTTCTTTAACAAGTCCCTACAGCCCACAGACCCTGATGGGCTGACCGGCAACACCATCTCCTACTCCCTCTAGGCACCCCATGGACTGCATCTCTTTTTCATGATTTTCCCTGCCCACCACACTGCTTCCCTGCTCTTTTAAACAAAGTTTCAGATGTTAATATTGTTAAAAAATGCAAGAGTGAGTGATGGATTCATGCTTCCCTAGGGGTAATCTGTTCTGTCAGGGGCCTCTTTTGCTGGATTTCCTTTATTAAGGATGGTGAGAATCCTCTCTTGAGCTCTGAAGCCACTCCCCACTTCTTCTACATTTTTATAAGTACAAAGGGACAGGAAGTTTCTTTGTAGCCCTCCTGGGCTCTCTATTCTCCAGGGGAGTGTAGAATGTACATGCTGTTACTCACAGGCCCTTGGGGCAGGGTTCTGTTGGACTCCTTATATCAGTGCAATAACATCTGGGAACATAAGAGCAGCTACTGTGCTGCTGCTGACAACGGATTTGTGGAAGCAACAGGAGGGCCTTCCTTCCTTCCTAGGAAGCACCTCTATGATTGCTTTTTATGTTTGAAGGAGAAGAGATGCTAGGAAAGTATTAAATGGAGGTTTACGAGCCCTTCATCATCAAATACCCTTGAGTACAAATGGCCTCATGCACTGGTTCTCAACCTTTAGTGGACATCAGACTCACCAGGGGGCTTGTTAAGACACAGAGTGCTGGGTCTTCCTCTCTGAATTTCTGATTCTGGGGTCGGTCTGGGTAGGGTCTGAGAATTTGAATTTCTAACAAGTTCCTAGGTGATGCTGATGTTGCTGGCTTGAGGACCACACTTGGAGAACTACTGTCCTGGTGCTTTGTTTCCCCAAGCCAGTTATGTGGTATAATAGAAAGACCATGGGGTTTGGGACCAGAGAGGCTTGTGTCTTATTACCTGTATGACCTTGAGCAAGTTACTTCACCTTGCTCGGGCTCAGTTCCCTCATTTGTGTTAATACACCAACCTACAAGGTAATTTACATTAAGCTCCTAAACACAGTGCTTGGCAAATGGTAGGTGTTGAAAAAAATAGTGATCTCTCGCCCCAATCACTCCTTTTCTCTCATTGCCCTGCTACCACTTAAAAAGTTACATTAAAGGGAAACATTTGTTTCCACGGCATAACCTAATCTATCCTAATAAATACACATGTTTACAGATAAAAACACTAAAGACAAACAATAATTGAGACAGGATTTGGATCCAGGAATTTTTACTCTAAAGTCCATTACATCTTAACTATATGTTAACCCTTACCCAGCTTAATCAAGAAGACAAAGGAAAAAAAATTACCAATTGTGTATATAATTATAAATAAGAAATTAGAAATAACCACACATTCTGAGACTAAAGTACTATTAAACATCACCTTTCAAAATGATATGCAAATGAACTTGGAGATTTGTATGAGAGAGGAATTTTCTAGGAAAATATAAATTTACAAAATCAACCTCAGAAGATGTAAAGACATAGAACAGAGCAACAACCACAGAACAAGTTGAAAAGATTATTGAAGATCTATCCACCCACTTCTCTGACTCCTACATCTACTGGTGTCAGGCTAAAAATGTCAGGCCTAGATTGCTTCATAGGTGAATTATTTCAAACATTTAAGTTTGGGGCAACAGATAATTCCAGTGCTATTTAAACTGTTCCAGAGCACTGAGAAGTATACAAAGCTTTCAAATTATTTTTAGAAAGGCAAAGTAACATTGTACCAAAACCTTACTAACATAGTACTAAAAAAGACTAACATCCAATCTCACTTAAGATAGAGATGACAAATCCTAAATAAGTATTCAGAATACAAAATTCAGCAAAACATTAAAATATACCAAATGAAATTTATTTTCAAAAATGAACTACAGCTCAGCACTTGACATATATATTGTGATATTGTACTATATTAAAAATAGATCAAAAGAAAAAGTATACTCATCTCAATCAATGGCAAAGACATTTTAATAAAGTTCTATAACTAGTTCTCATTTGAAAACACAGATAAACACACAAACAATAAAACTCTAATAGATACTGTCTTCACCAAATAACAATAAAAAGATATTTCAAGCTCAAAGTCAGCATTAGGCTTACAGTGAAAACACCAGAAGCTTTAAAAGACAAAGTTTCCCACACATGACACTATTTTGAGACATTATTGGCTAAGCACAGTCTATTACAGTTAGGTTAAAGTATAAATAAGAGACATAAATGTTATATCAAGAAAATTAAAGGAAATAAGTTGAAAAACTATTAATACAACAAGAAATCTTAGAAATGTATATTTTGAATAACAAAATTAATAAGGGGACACACACACATACACACACACACACACACAAAACTTGTGGTTTTTTCCTAAGATGGGATAAGAGAGAATTTATCTTCCTTTACGAAACAACTAAAAAAACTGATGAAATATATGAAACATCTGTTTTTGAGACAATGGACATTAGTCAACGAAGGACAGTGAATCCTGAGACATGGAAAACAAATGAGGTAAGTCCTACGATTGCCCAAGCTTACTGCCTTTAGAGAATTTCGAGGCTGGGGAGCTGAGAAGGGAAACCAAGCAGAGCTCAGCTGACTCCCTGAGTTGAGGAGATTGTTTTGTAAATAAAGCTAATTTGGGAATAAAAGACACATTTAAAAATCTATAATTAAAAATCTTCAAAGAGTCAAGGAAAGTTATAGCATCCATAGAATTAAACTAACGTCATAGTGAAAGGAGCAAAGACAAGAACAAATTCTTAGAAGTTTAAAATATGACAGAAGAAAAATAAAAGAGGGTTGGAAGGTAAAGTTAGAAAAATCTTCTTGGATACGGAAAAAAAAGACAAAAAAATACCTTACAAAGTAGAGAGAAAAGAAAATTTGAGGAGGGTCAATTTATTCCAGAAGTAGAAAACAAAATACCAAGGGGAGAAGAGTATTAAAATGACACCAGTAAACATACCACAACAGAATAATCTGAGTTTCCTGATAATAAGAACCCACTGAGGACCAGTACAATGGAAAAAAAAAAAAAGACTCATACCAATGTGCTTTATTGTGAAATTTCCATAAACTGGAATAAAGAGAAAAATTCTAAAAGCTTCCGGAAGGAAAAATAGAGGATTCCTAGAAGAAAAAGACTAAAAACGGCATTTGTCTTCTCAATATGAAAATGGGAAATAAGGCCAGGTGCAGTGGCTCACGCCTGTAATCCCAGCACTTTGGGAAGCCAAGGTGGGTGGATCACCTGAGGTCAGGAGTTCAAGAGCAGCCTGGCCAATGTGGTGAAACCCCATCTGTACTATAAATACAAAAATTTGCCAGGCATGGTGGTGGGCACCTGTAATCCCAGCTACTTGGGAGGCTGAGGCAGGAGACTGGCTTGAACTCAGGAGACGGAGGTTGCAGTGAGCCAAGACATCATGTCATTGCGCTCCAGCTTGGGCGACAAGAGTGAAACTTCATCTCAAAAAAAAAAAAAAAATTTGTGGCTGGGCATGGTGGCTCACATATGTAATGCCAACACTTTCGGAGGCTGAGGTGGGTGGATCACCTGAGTTCAGGGGTTTGAGATCAGCCTGGCCAACATGGTGAAACCCCATCTCTACTAAAAATACAAAATTAGCCAGGCATGGTGGAACATGCCTGTAATCCCAGCTGCTCAGGAGGCTGAGGCAGGGGAATCGCTTGAACCTGGGAGGTGGAGGTTGCAGTGAGGCCAGATTGTGCCACTGCACTCCAGCCTGGTTGACAGAGCAAGACACTGAAAAAAAAAAAGAAAGAAAGGAAAGAGAGAGAGAAAGAAAGAAAGAGAGAGAGAGAGAAAGAAAGAAGAAAGAAAGAAAGAAAGAAAGAAAGAAAGAAAGAAAGAAAGAAAGAAAGAAAGAAAAAAAAAGGAAGTAGAAAAAGAAAGAAAGAAAGAAAGGAAGGAAGAAAGAAAGAAAGAAAAGGAAGGAAGGAGATGGGAAACAAACAAGACAATGAAGAAACACAGTTACCATTCTAAGCTGAGTGTGGCATCACACACCTGTAACCCAAGCTACTGCGGAAGCTGAAATGAGAGGATCACTTGAGCCCAGGAGTTTGAGGTCAGCCTGGGCAACATAGAAAGATTCTGTCTCTTAAAAATAAACAAATAAAACAATTTTTTTAAAAAGTAAAGAAACACATTTACCATTTTAAAGAAATCATTTGGAGGAAGGAGTTGGGAGTGAGGTTTGTTGAATTCCATACCTAGCCAAACTAACAAATCATGAGTAAAAGTGGGATAAGGATATATTTTAAGACTGGCAATGTCTCTAAAATCTATTCCCTGTGAACACTTTCTCAAAAGATACCATAGGATATGCATCTCAAAAATACGGGGTTAAACAAAGAAAGAGGAAAACATAAGACCAGAAATATAGAGATGGAAAGGAAAGTCCCAGGACCACAGTTGTGCAAATAATTCTGAGTGGAAGAGGAGTAAGGAAGGCCCAGCTGAGATTTCTTCAGGAAAAGATAATTAAACTGATAGATTTTCTGAGGGAAATGATCACATGGAAATAGAGCTCACAGGGGTTTCACAATTCTTTTGGAGGGCTTGATAAGAATTATCATTGTTAACATTGTCTACTTAAACATATTAGATAAGTCTTGCTCTAATTTTTTTCATTCTTTTAAGTACAGAATTAGTTTGCAATAATTATAGTTCCCTATTGCTAAAGGAAACCTTTTAAATGGTAAAATTCTGACTCACATACAATATAAAATGAATACATGTCAACGATTTTATTTAAGCTATTAGTTAATGAGGAACTAGTAAGATGTTATTACCATCAATTAATGAGGAAACTAGTAAAACAAAGGGGAATCTGTAAAACTGACATAAATAGGAAATAAATGATCATGAAGTGAATTTCCTGATAAATGCAAAACTGGCCACTTTCACCACGGAGAAATCAATTGAATCTCTACTGGACACAGTTCTCTTACATCTTTATGGGCAAGATTTATTTCCATTACTATCAGTTTTCTACAATTTTTAAAGTTGTAAAATGGCTCAGTTCTTAGAGAATCAGATAACTGGGAAAGGTGCACTAGGCACTATGTAATATTCCACTGGAAGAATATTAGATAACTTTTTTGCTCATTTCAGAGTTCTTCACATTTTTTCCTGACATACTCTTTAAATATTAAATTCTGTTTCTATTTAAAAGTATAATGGAGGAAAACATGTGTGTGCTGTTAACCAAACGAAAGGAATACATAGCTGTTTAATAACTGGGCAGAGCTGAGCTAGTAAATCTTGGAGAAGCTTATCTAAAACGCAGGTAGAGTTTTAAGAAGGTTGAGATAAACTTTAAGATTTCTTTTTTCTTTTTTTGAGACAGAGTCTTACTCTGTCGTCCAGGCTGGAGTGCAGTGGCACAATCTCAGCTCACTGCAACCTCCACCTCCTGGGTTCAAGTGATTTTCGTGCCTCAGCCTCCTGAGTAGCTGGGATTACAGGTGCACGCCACCACATTTGTATTTTTGTAGAGACAGGGTTTGTATTTGTATTTTAGTAGAGACAGGGTTTCATCATGTTGCCCAGGCTGGTCTCCAACTCCTGGGATCCAGTGATCCGCCCACCTCTGCCTCCCAAAGTGCTCAGATTACAGAAGTGAGCCACCATGCCCAGCCTACTTTAAGATTTCTAAGCCTTAATAGTGACAAGAAGCCTCATTGTAATTAATTCTTATTACATTTTCTAAATATATCAACTAGAACCCTAAAGGCAAACATTTTAGTTTGTATGGTTAAATAAAATTTATGAGAGGCCATTGTTCTAGACTGAGCTCCTACAATAGGCCCCAAGAGACCAGACTAGACCAGAAAGGAGTCACTGGGGTTAGGCCAGTTTAAAACATCACCAACAAAAACCCAGGAGATTCACAACAGCCAATAGAAAAGGAGACCTGAGCCGGCATGATTAGGAAGTCCCTTCTGCTTTAACCCATACAGGGAAATGACAAATCTGCTTCTTGTTCCTTGTCTCCACTTTCTTGAGGCTTTTCTGCCTATAAGGCCCAGCCTCTCTGCTCAGCAGAGTGTCTTTCTATTTCATTGCTGGGAGGTTTCCCACTGCATGGATAACTAATAAAAGTCAATTCAATCTTCAAAACTCAATGTGTTGAAATTTTGTTCTTTGACAGTATTGACAGATATCTTTTCCAGAGCAATTGAATCGTGATGGTAGTGGTAATATAGGGAGGGAAAAAACAGGTGCCAAAAACCTCAGGGATGTAGAAACTAGTTCTTAATTTACAAATCTTGTATGTAAGACATAAAAGCTAACTGCAAAAAAACAAACAAAAACCCACAAAGCTGAATACATATAAGGTAGTACCTAGGTAAAATTTTGACTTTTACTGTGAAATTTTCTTCTTCTATCACCTTCTTCCTTCTACATGGCCTTTAGGATGAAGACAAGAATGCAGAGTTGGTGGAGAATCCTAACTGTATGGAGGAGTTGCCTCTTAAAAGCATCAGCATTTTTGAGTAATAATGATAAAAAATGAGGGAAAATTGTTGTAAGGCTTGGAGGAAGAGTTACTGTAATTCACCTCTGAGAAATCACCAAAGCTGATTGCAATTATTAGAATATTGGGAGCAAGGAAAGGGGTTTGACACCAGCTGTGCAAAACTTATTTTACAAACAAAATTCCTACTTGGAAAGTGCTAACTTTAACAAGGGATTTAATAATGCCCTCCATTCAGGGTGCATATAAAATATTTGTTTTCTATATTATTCCTAATAGTGGTTTTTCTTGAAGGACAGATCCTAGGAGATGTTATATCCCCAAATATTCAGAGTAGACTTTTATACTTCCACTATTTCCTTTTCCCAAAGACCGTTTATAGAAGCAATTTATGGGGATGGATGCAGTGGCTCACTCCTGTAATCCCAGCACTTTGGGAGACTGAGGCGGATCACTTGAGCCCAGGAGTTTGAGACCAGCATAGGCAACATAGCAAGACCTTGTCCCTATTAAAAAAGAAAAAGAAGTGATTTATGGATCAACCTAACCAAAAAAGTATGGTGAATGTTCTTTCTTTTTCAAGTTTATTGAGTGTGATGGGGAGCAGGATGAAAAGATCTGGAGGTCAGAGGAAGGGACTGAACTTGTGTGAAGGTCCCACTATGTGTCAGACCCATTGCTGTGTAACTTATCCTTTGCTATCCTTTGAGATAAGGGTTTTTATCCCAGTTTTACAAATGAGGACACCAAGGCGCTACACTGGGCCCAACACAAGATAGCTGTTTATCTGACTCCAAGATTGTACGCTGTCTTTCTGTTAGACAAAATTGCATTGCTAAAAGTATTGCTGTTGGTCTGTTCAAGTCTGGTTCCCATCTTTGAATTCCCCCTAGGAGCTCTCTTTCTTATTCCATGGGTTGTTTTCCTGTGTTGTGTGTCCTCATCCCCCAGCTAGCCTTTTCCTGAGCCCCTCCTTGGCCCCACGCCCGCCTTCCCTTTTTGCATTGTCTGTGCTGTTAGCAGTAATGTACTTAAGCCCCTCTCTTGGGATAGCTGTGAACCTCCTTGAAGGTCTTCTCTCCCCTTTGACTTCTGGCACTTAGAACCCCTTCTGCTTTTCATTTGGGATTTATATCCTGCCTTCTGTTGAGTGTTTCCTTCCATACAGTTCAGGTTTTATTGAGATCTCTAAGGAGATGTAAGACCCTGAGGACAGTGATGGTGCCTTAAGGCTCTTTGAAAGTCTCTACTTCAAGTATAAGACCTTGCAGAGTGGGTGCTTGTAAACACTTGTTAAATACATGACTACAACCCTTTACAAGTTTGTCCCATGTTCTTCTCTCCACCATTGAAATGAAAATAATGGGCCAGGGGCAGTGGGTCACACCTGTAATCCCAGCACTTTGGGAGGCCAAAGTGGGTGGATCACCTGAGGTCAGGAGTTCGAGACTAGCCTGGCCAACATGATGAAACCCCATCTCTATTAAAAATACAAAAATTAGCCAGGCATGGTGGCATGCCCCTGTGATCCCAGCTACTAGGAAGGCTGAGGTGGGAGAATTGCTTTAACCTAGGAGGTGGAGGCTGCTGTGAGCTGAGATCGTGCCACTGCACACCAGCCTGGGAGACAGAGCAAGACCCCATCTCAAAAGTAAATAAATAAATAATGAATTAATTAATTAAATAAAATGGATTATAAAAAATACTTCTTTTTTTCAGAATTCCTGCAAAAGAGATAACTTCTGGTAAATAAAAATTTTCCAAGACATGAATGAGTCATCAAGGTTTAATTTATTTCAACATTCATTCCTAAAAACAGTTTATTTGCTTTTCCGCAGGAAAATTTGCATTCTCCCTGTTGTGGAAATAGGTGGGGATTTCGGGGCAGGCTGAAGAGGGAGCTATTTTTTTCAGAGATCTGCGCATTCCCCCTGTGAGGGAGGCTGACAAGGACCATGGAACTCAACCATTGTACGCAGTAAGACCACCACGCAAATGCAGCCACACTTTCTATGCTGCTCTTCCCCTTCGCTCTCTTCCTTGAGACTTCTCAGTACCACTCTGTTCTTCCTACCTACACCCCTTACTTCTCTCTATTTCTGCAAAGTGAGGTCTTATGGAGCTGGCCTGGTTTCAGCATCCTTGCTACCCCTTTCTAGAATGTTCCCAGAAGAGGAGAGTCACAACCAATCTTGCCTTTTCTTCTGCATGTCTCCAGTGACGTCTGGCTGGGCTCAGTCACTTCCTGGGTATTTTCCCACAACAGAAATCCTCGCGGTAACTCTGTAAAACCCAGCTCAGCTCCTATAACCGAGATGATACACTTTTTAAATTACGTTCTCATCATTTCCAATAAATTTCTTTCTAAAATACCACTTTGAAGACACGTAGCTTCCTATCATTATAATTTTTTTTTCATCTATTTGGTTCCAGGAATTGAATTTACTCACAGGCATCATTGCCCAACTTCATGTCTGAAGGATTTAAGACAAAGCTTTTCAATCTGAAATGACAGGCTGGAAAACCAAGTGCCAGTTTTCCACGCAAAAAATCAGAGATCCATGCAACAGCTTCTTTGGCTCTGGCAGAATGGGAAAATTAGTGATTGAACACTTCTCTGGGCTCAGCCCCCTCGCCCACCAATTTGTAAATTAGGCTGAGTTATTTGCATTTTTACAGTCTCAAACCGTTTGTAGAAACATGCCATTTTGCCTTTTTAAACCCAAATAATAACGTTGCAAGAATTTGGCAGTTAAATGACATCTAGCTCTCTGATTAAAGAGAGGAAAGGAAAGCCATTAGTCTCATATCCATCCTTAGTGGGGAAATACATCTTTAAGAAATTATGGCACAGAATAGTTCCATTTACAATCATTCAAGTTTTTTTTTTTCTGAGAAGTCGTGCTTGATATCAATTATCCATTTTTCCCTTCTCTTTGTGCTGTCCTCAGAATTCTTCCTGAGAAGTTAACTTTAATCTTCTGCTTTGTTTCAAAGCCTGTATTAGATTAACCTCTCTTTTTCTTTTTATTTGGGAATGACTAATTAGCAAGCAGAAATTAAATTTAAAAATTTAACTTCTCTGCACAGTAGATTTCTCAAGATCCTCAGACCCTGTAGGCAGTATGAATGGATTCTCCTGTAAAGCCTTTATTTCATGTTGTGTTGTGGTTTCCAGGAAGACAAAATGCACTTTGGACCACATCAACTTGAATAACATACTGGGTGCTCTAAATTGACTCTTCTGTCCCTTCAGGATGAGATTTCAGTGATTTTAAAGTCCAGAGTATTGGAAAGAGAAGAAGAAATTTTCATAGCCTGGTGGACAAAGGAATTTGATAGAAAATACTGTAGATAATTGTAGAATTCAGGACTAGAAAGCCCAGATATGTACAGGAACTTCTTTCTTTTAAAGATTAAGACAATGAGATGCAAACCTAATTATAGTCGAAGCCCGAAGGTTTATACAGGTCTGGTTCCATTTCCCTATTAGTACTTTCTCGAATGCACTATCCTCTGGATACAGGCACAGGAATGTATGATCCAGTTATATCAGCCTGGTCTAAATTTCAATTAATTGCGCCTTCTTACCAACTGTCACCCCAAGTATCCCTCAATACCACAGTTCATTCCTTTCTGATTTCCATTTTCTTCTTTTATCTTCCTTTCCCTCCCATCTTTTATTTTATTTTGCTCTGATTGTTTTCACTTAGTAAAAGCACCACCGTTTGTTGCTTCCTGGGGAATGGGCACTTCTCTCAATTGTGGCTCCCAGCCTCTGGTCTTTTCTGTCTCTTCTCAGGATCTACCCACATCTTTATCTCAAGCTTTCATTTCTCTCAGTCACTAGTCCAAAAGAACAAGGCTCCCTAACGCTTGCTACCAACAGGTGCCAGTAAAAGATGCCTCCCTTTGTTCTATATGAATTTAGATAAAATGTTTGTTTTACATATGAATTGGTATCAAAAAGCAAGTTGGTTCTGTCTAAGAAAGCAAAGGCCTGAATAAGAGCAAGGTAATAGATTTAAGGATGGAGATGATCATGATGATGCCATTGATAATTACAATACCTTGCATTTCTATTGTTCTTTCCAGCATGCAAAGCTCTTTCAATTTCATCATCTCATCCCACCATCACAACGCTGGGAGATCAGTTAGGTTCGTATTAGTTTTGCCATTTTATATGAAAGCCAAGTCTTAGGTAAGTAAACTGATGTGTCTCAGGACCTCACTCCAGGAAAGATAAAATCAGGTTGAAACCCATGTTTTAGGACTCTGAGCCCCAGAATGTTCTGCTTCTCTGGAATACAGTCTGATGAGATTGTGAATCAAAAAGATACCTCACTGCCCGGTAGTATAGGTAATTATATTATCACAAAGGTTTTGGGTAAACATAATGGAGAAAACAATGTTGACAGGCCGATAAAACGGGAATAGCTCACTAAAGGAGATTGTGTAATCTTTCCTTCATGGAGGATTTATCTGAAACAACAGGTTTCTAGTATTCCCTACAGCATTCCAAACCCTGTTTCCAGAAGGCAATTTGCCAATAGGTATCAAAAACATTAAAGGCATGACTAATGGTAACCTCAGACAAATGACTCAGCATCTCCAAAGTCAGTTTCCTCATCTGTAAATAGTAGGGTTTGGGGGAGGATTAAATAATGTTTTGTAAAGTACCTGGCACAGAGGGTGTATTTGATAAATATTGTCAATGTTTTAAGAGTAATGATGACAATATTTTCACTTGTAAGAGGAAATAAGCACAAAGATTTTGTGATAAAGACATTCTTTGCTGTGTTTTTACAAGTACTAGTGAAAAGTTGGAAACAACCTGATTCCAGCAGTAGAGAATTGGTAGAATAGGGTCTGCTGGTATATCTAGCAGCCTAGATTATTATTAGGCAGTCATTTAAAAGGACACAAAATATGTTATTACATGGCAAGATGATCTTGATTTATTGTATTTTAAAAAACAAGTTTAGAATGTTAAATACAGTGTGCTTTTTTGTTATACGTAGATATGGGTAAAAATCTGGATGGGTTTACATCACTATCTTAACAGGTATTGATCCTGGAGAGAGAATTATGAATACCTTTTACTTTATTATTTTTGCTTCTCTGTATTTAAGTTTTTTCAACAATAACATGTACATCATTTAAAATAAAATTATATTTATTTTTAAATTTCAGGCTTTCTTACTTACCCTTCTCTCCCTCAGTTTATCAGATCTGTGCTGCAGGGCACTAGAAACAGACAACATTCACTAAAAGCCATTTACTAAACATTCACTAAAATAACAAGTATTAATACTTTTTGAGTATCTACTATTGCCCAGGCACTGTTCTAACCAGATGGACAAAACTGCCATCAGAGAGCTTAGCTTTAGTGGAGGGAAGACCCAAAATAGACACATGAAGAAGGGAGAGTAGACCCCACATCCAGAAAAGATGAAAATTTCTATTCCTCCTAGCAACGCTTGCTTCCCACTCCTACAAGCACCCTGCAGTCTGAGATCCAACGTCATTTCTTTGGATAAAGGCCACTTATCTTGTAAAGCGAACAGTCTGCTTAAGTGTAACATGCTGTGTCAATACTGGTAATTTATACCTTGGTGTGAGTCATTTCCTGAGAATAGATTATCTGACCGTAAAGGGAAAAGGGCTGGGAGTGAAAGTACACTGAAGAAAAGGCAAGGGAGGGGATGGGAGAAGGAATCTGGCTTCAAAGCTTCCCAATTTTAGAAAAGTAGAGGATGTGAAAATGGAGTGGGCTGGGGTGGAGTGTTGGTGTGCCACCGACACAAGTGGGGAAGGAATGTGCAAGTGGGGTCAAACTTCACACATTTCTCTAGGTTTTTAGGAACTGATCTTGGTTGTAGCAGCTTTTCTATAGATCTGAACACAAATGTCACTTCCTCTTCTCTTTCCCTTTTCTTTTCTCTTCCTCTGACTTCCCGTTTTATTGTTCACCAGCAAATCCATCTTTTTTTTTTTTTTTTTTTTTGAGATGGAGTCTCGCTCTGTCGCCCAGGCTGGAGTATAGTGGTGCTATCTCGGCTCACTGCAACATCTCTCTCTCGGGTTCAAGCGATTCTCCTGCCTCAGCCTCCCTAGTAGCTGGGACTACAGGTGCCCGTCACCACACTCGGCTAATTTTTGTATTTATCGTAGAGATGGGGTTTCGCCACATTGGCCAGGCTTGTCTCGAACTTCAGGTGATCCACCTGCCTTGGCCTCCCAAAGTGTTGGGATTGCAGGTGTGAACCACCGTGACTGGCCAAATCCACCTTTTACATGTTGTTGTTTTTTAATGTTTGATTTTTTAATTTTTGAGATGGAGTCTCGCTTTGTCACCCAGGCTGGAGTGCAGTGGTGCCATCTCAGCTCACTGCAACTTCTGCCTCCTGGGTTCAAGTGATTCTCCTGCCTCAGCCTCCTGAGTAGCTAGGACTACAGGCATGTGCAACCACACTGGGGCAATTTTTGTATTTTCAGTAGAATATGGGGTTTCACCACCATGTTGGCCAGATTGGTCTCGAACTCCTGACCTCAAATGATCCACCTGCCTCAGCTTGGCAAAGGGCTGAGATTACAGGCGTGAGCCACCGTGCCTAGCCAAAGTGTAGTTTTAATGTTATCTGTGCAGTAAGGCTTGATCCTCCCACACTCTACCTCTTTTCTCACCCCTAGTTGGGCAGAAATTCTCTGGATTCTCTGACACCACTTTATCAGATAACAAGACTCCAAGTTAATCCTATGCAACAATTACTTTCTACATTGAGTTGTAGTTGTAAAAGTAAACACTGTCTCGCTTACAGGAGAAGATGATCGTTAAGGGTAGGGTCTATGTCTATGAATCTTTGTATGGTTCAATGACAACATTAAGGAAACACCAGATTAAAGTCATTACCCTCATGGTGGCACAATTTGCGGTACATATTACAGGTTTAATAAGTATTTGTTGGATGAATTGAATGAATGAACGAATGAACCCAACATTTGCTTCTTACAGGTGCCACTCAGCCACCCGCGCTGGGATTTGACTCAACCGTAAGTTGCCAGGGAAACAGCCAGATTAGATCCTACGACATTTCTTTGTTCCATTCCCATTCTCACTTCTAGACCACATCACCTGGAAGGAGATAAAACCCTGGATCTGGAAGAATTTGGGATGCTGGGCAATATTTAACCCAAATAGAGGGGCTAGCTGCCAGTCTGACTGTCTCGGCGGAGTAATACTGCAGTAATTATGTGATAGTCTTGTGTATATCAAAAGAATATTTGATGTCCTGAGGGCAGTGGAGAGCATGAGAAAGAAAAATACGCCTGGATGGAGACATTTAAAATACTAGCTAGGTGTTTAACAACTGCGTTGAATTTAATATGTTTCAGTTGCATGCCTGCTGGGACTCTTTTCCCTCCAACCAGACTCAATTGTCTTTTAAGGCACTTGAGCTCTAGCAAGGAGAGAGGTTTGAACCTCTGGTATGTATATTTATAGACTGTTGGAGACATGAGAGCAATCACAGTAATTCCTGGAGTGAATTTCCTCCCCTCCTGTAACCTAAATAAATTTCACTCAGCAGTGTGGGTACTCTAATCCCTTCCTCACCCTTGCCATATCTGACACCCTTTATTGTTTCCCTAGCAACTGCCCAGCATGGGGAGGCTATAAAAGGAGCAACAATAAACAAAATGAATTACAACAAAGGTGACTAGCTGGCAGAATTAGCACAGTGGAGGGTGGAGGGGTTTGATCTCACATAGACTTTTCTAGTATTTCTCCTTTTCTCCTCTCCGAAGACCCTTGGCTCTGTTATTTCTCATAGCACTATAGAGCTAGCATTGATAACTCCCAGCTTTTAGAAAGCTAGCTCAAAAAGAGATCAGAGAGTTAAGAGTGACTTTTCCTAAGTCCAGGCGCGGTGGCTTATGCCTGTAAACCTAGCACTTCGGGAGGCCGAGGCAGTGGCTCACTTGAGGTCAGAGACCAGCCTGGCCAACATGGTAAAACCCTTTCTCTACTAAAAATACAAAAAAAATTAGCCTGTATGTGCCTGTAATCCCAGCGACTGGAAGGCTGAGGCACAAGAATCACTTGAGCCCAGGAGGTGGAGGCTGCAGTGAATTGAGATCGCGACATTGAGCTCTAGCCTGGGTGATAGAGTGAGACTTTCTCCCCCACAAAAAAGAATGACTTTTCCTAAATCATGAGGCTTGACCCTAATTATTTTTTCAGATATTTTGCATTTAATTCTGTTATTGTTATTTATTTCCAGTATTCCAGTGGTACCACCAACACCGGACAGCACTCACAGAGAAGGTGGTGTTTATTACATTTTAAAAGGTCTAGTCTTAATACATGTTAGAGTTGAGGCATCTGGTCCTGCTTTGTATGATTTCCTCATTCTATTCTACATGATGTGCTTTGTTCTTTGTTGGGATCTTTTGTTGTTGTTGTTTAGTTCCTTATCAAGAGTGACTAAATTATAGCAACACATACCTATGGGATATGATGTAATCATTTTCCTTCGTCATCCAACATTTATTGTGTTCCAGGCACTGATCTAGGTCTTTGGAATACCGAACAAACAGATGAAAATCTGTGCATACCTCTTAGCTGGGAGAAGAACAGTAAATACTAACTCTAGTAAATTAAGTAAATTACATAGTATACTAGAAGGTCACTCCACTTTATTTAAGAAAATAAAGTGTATTTAAGGGGGAGGGAGAGTGGGACACAACACTTTAAATTTAAAATAGGGTTTGCCGGGTGGGCCACACTGAAAAGGTGACATTTGACCAAAGGGTTGAAGGAAGTGAGGGACCGGGTGATCTGGGTCTTTGTGGAAGAGTTTTTAGACAGAGGGGCCCAGCTGTGGCAAAGGTCCATGGTTGGTGGCAGCCTGCCTGGTGTGTTTGCGGAGGAGTGTGAGCAGGAGCTCAGGCTGTGGCATGGAATGAATGGGAGAAGGAGTAGGAGATGCAGCTGAGGGGCAGCAATGGGGTGGGCTTGTCAGGTAAAAAGAGGACTTTGACTTTGAGGCAAATGAGACTGTTCAGAGGATGTAGGCAGGGAAGGGACATGCATTTTTTGTTTTAAAAAATCTTAGAACAGGAAGAACATTTAGGAGGCTACCATAATAATCTAGGCTAGAGATGGTGAGGCTTCGACCTGGTGGTGGCCCTGGATCGGGGGACAGTTCAGATTCTGGGTGTATTTTGAAAGTATAGCTAAAAGATTTCCTGATGGATTAGATGTAGAGTAAAAAAAAAAAAAAAACTCAATGTGGTACATATGTATGTTTGCTTGGTTATAATGAAGCATGGTAGATAGAATACATACCAAACCATTAATAACAGTTATCTGGAGGGCAGGGAAGGATAGAAGGGGAGGAGACTTGGCCTTATAGGTAAGCGTACATTTCAATATTGTTTGGCCTGTTGCAAATCACATTGTTGTTTTGTGGTTTTAAAGCACAACCCAACAACTTATTTGTAAAAAGACTATCCCTGATGCTCATGTGACTTAACCTTCTCACCTGTGTTTAAATCTTGGTGGGGCTCACTCAGTAATTTGTCCCTGGCCCATTCACCAGTCCTGAAAGCAGAGTTTTGGCTGTCCATGCTGGGTTTTTCCATCATCTGCCAAGTGCTTGGCACTGTAGAGAATAATATGTACCTTTTGGCCCCATATATATTAAATACAAATAAAGAGAGAAAAAATCTTCTCTGAACACTTTTGCTGTCTGTGGTGGCACTGAGGGCTATAGAGAAACGCCTCAAGCAATTTTGCCAACCGAATGCCTATGGCTACACGCAGTTGCCTCTTAATACCTAGCATCATTAATACAGAACAAAAAATAAGGCATCATCCTCCCCAGTCTCTAAGCTATGAGATGGAGACTCAGAGATGGGCTTGCTGACATTTCCTCTCCATTGAAATTTCTTTCTTACATTTTCTTTTCTTTCTCTTTCTTTTTAGCTATTGCAGGTCTGATGAAGCAGAGATGAGACTCACAGAAGACAGCTGCTGCTTTGCCCTGTGACCGAGGTCCTCCGCAATCATTGCTGCTCTGCTTACAGAATTATTATCATGGTGAAAGGAAAGAGTGCTTTCCAAAGTGTGAAGAGTTATGTAGTGATTGTTTATCCCTTCCATGTGGGCTGGGAGTAGTCAGGGAGGGTCAATTTGCTGTCCACATTCAGCATAAAAATAGCTCCAATGTGCTAAAAATATTTGTCATCCACACAGAGAAATCTGCAAGTCCTCACCACGGAGCCTTGAAAAGGAGGTCACAGAAATATCTGGAGCAAAGGACTTCCTCTCACTTGTCTCACCTAATAGCAATCTTAGAATAAGGGTTTCTCACTGCTAGGCCAAGATCTGGGTTTTTGCATTTTTGCACCAGATTTTGTTCTGTGTTCTGCTTACTCTGCTTAAATGCATGTGCAAATGAGGCACTCAACATCACTCCCCATGAACCCAAGATTCTTCTGGGCACGTTGGCACATCATCATACCCAGGGGGACAGTTCGGACTCCTCTTGTCAGGTGTTGCTTATTCGTCATCAAATTTGCCAGAGCCTCCCAGGTGCCATTCCCACCCAATGCTACCGTTCTGCACAGAGGTCCTGTTTGGTGCTGTGCCACTCTTGACCTTTTTCTCTCCTAGTAGTGGTTTAGTTTGTGATGGGTTAAACAATTCCTTTTTAATAATTGTAAATGACTTCTATTTATATTTGCTTTTTTGAAAGACATTTTAGTTACTGAGGCAAGCCTTTTATAAGTCCTCAGCACTGTGTCTTGAGTTTACAAAGCACACTGGTAAGAGACAACTTAGGTCTAGAGCAATGCGCTTCTTTACCTTTTCTCTTTTTTTTCCTTTCAATGTGTACAAATTCAGTTGTTGCCAATTCCCTAAAAGTAATTTCCCCAGAACTTCTCTTATTTGTGACAAAACTCCTAATTTCTTCTTTCAGCTCTGTTTTGGATTTTTTTTTCACTTTTTACTTTTACATTTTTATTTATTTTCCCATTGATTGTACATATTAAAAGAAACCAAAGGGCTAGTTCCTGCTCCCATCTATTCTGACTGAGGCTGTATTACTCTGCTACTAAAAGAAAATGAAACTATATTCCTAAAGAGTATGCTGGCTCTGAGAGCTTGGGCACCTTCTCACACTGTCTTAGTTCACCCACTTGGAACTGTAACTCTGGGGCAAAATTGAGTTTGACTCTAATGCTTACTCACTAAATAGACTTCTTAACTTCATCATTATTATTTTTCTTTTTTGAGACAGTCTTGCCCTGTCACCCGGGCTGGAGTGCAGTGGAGTGATCTCAGCTCACTGCAGCCTCTACCTCCTAGGTTCAAGCAATTCTCCTGCCTTAGCCTCCTGAGTAGCTGGAACTACAGGAGTGCGCTACCATGCCCAGCTAATTTTTTTGTATTGTTTTAGTATAGACAGGGTTTCACCAAGTTGGCCAGGCTGGTCTTGAACTCCGACCTCAGGTGATCCGCCCACCTCGGCCTCCCGAAGTGCTGGGATTGTAGGCTTGAGCCACTGCACCCGGCCTTCATTATGTTTTTGATCTCAGCTCTGTACTTAATCATTTTAGTACCATGGTTAGTAAGATAACTATTCAATTTTTCAGTGGGATGTGGTCTTAGTCAGTTTGGGCTGCTATAGCAAAATTCCTTAGACTGCTTAATTTATAAACAATAGCAATTCATTGTTTACTGATGGGTGTGGTGGCTCATTCCTACAATCCCAGCACTTTGGGAGGCTGAGGCAGACCTTCAGAGCAGAAGGTCTGCTAAGGTAAAAGTATTACCATGGTTGTTATAATTAATAATAACTGACACCTCAGCAACATGAACATATGTGGACTCTCCCCTGCCAGTCTTTTAACTTCTGCTTGTAATGTTTTTGGCATAGGTTTTCTGTGCACCAACCAAATGCATACTCTGGTGGAAAGACCCCTGAAGGATCTAACTTGAGTTTTGGCCTTGCCATTAACATGTATGAAGTCAGCCAAATCAATTGATCTTATCTTGAAGCCTGTAGAATCCATAATCCACAAAAAATAACAATAATTTTTACCAGAAAAGAGTTTTCATCTTTTGAGGGAAGATATTTGGGGAAAACTTATCCATATAATTTCCATGATATCAGGTGATTGTCAACTCTTTACTACCTTTTCTGCAATATTGATAAGGATAATATTAAGGAATTATAAGTTAATTATTTATAATTGTTTCTGGAAAAAAAACAAAGGAAGTTAAGTAAACGGGATTATTTCCCCAATTTTAGAGACCATTAGGGGTCTAAAATCAAATATTAAAAGTCTGTCTTACCTAAAACTTTCATAAATTTCTAGCAAATGAAAGTCATAAATATGGTGGTTAAAACATAGGTTCTAAAGCCAGAGTGTCTGGGTTCCAAGGTTGACTGTGCCACATGGGTGACTTTGGGGAGTTGTTTAACATCTATTTTCTCATCTGTAAAACGGGAATGATAACAATAAGCAATTCACAAGGCATCTGAGAAGATTTAATAATGGTCATTGTTTCTTGAGCATGTCCTTCTTACTGAACACTTTCTCTTTCTAAGCACTTAATTTTCACAACAACTTCAGGGGTGTTATTGGTATAAATAAGTGAAGTCATGCATGTAAGGCCCTTAAAACTGTGCCTGGCTATTCTAAGATTCAATCAAGACTACTTAGTATTTTGCATCCATAAAAAGGGGGCAAAGTAAAGTCAGTATGCCTTGGAGTGAAATAAAGAATTTAATAGGGTGGCGGGGGGTGGGGGAAGATATTTCAGTGTAAGCCAACATCCATGATCTTACTTATGAAAGGATTTCATCTGAATTGGTCATCAAGCTTCTGCTAAATGAAATGAGCTGGAGAGCTATAACTTAAGGTTATAATTAAAGGGAGAATTAAAACACAGAGGCCTCACAGAATGCTATGCATACTGGCTTTTACTTTCCTTCTTTCTAAATGCACCTTGAGTGTATATTGGATTAAAATGGTGAAAAAGCAGTGACCCAGGAGTTTGTGACCAGTGTGAAGCAGGCTGGATAAAATTCAAAGTGATGAAGGGGGTTTCAAAAATGCTAGGGCAGACTTCCAGTTTCTGGTCCAGCACATAAGGAGCTTGGAAGTCACCACTCTGTCTTAACAAGTAAAATGCTGAACAGACTGAAAAATCAATAACAGAAGTGAGGTCACAGGGCAAACTGCTGTCCCCCAGTTGGAGGGACAGACAGGCAAATACAGAGAATCACAACTTACTAGAGCAGAAACCCAGGAGCAGAGACTTCCGTGGGAATCAGTGCTGGGGTAGAAAGACAAAACTGTGATGGACCAAAGCTGGAGGCTCAATGTGGACAACCTGATGAGTTAAAACCCTCAGGGGGATCCAGCCATGATTGGGGTGGGGTGTACACTTTTCTCAGTTTTACCTCTAGTAATGTAACCAGATTCTCACAGTGAGTATTGGAGAAAAATTCCCTCATGCTTCTGGCAGGGGGAGGGGAAAAACAGCCGTTTGGAAAGATGCCAGAGCATTTTGTTCTTAACAAGGCCTGTCCTCAGGGAAACTATTTAACCAGAGCCTAACCTGCTGGAATTTTACCAGAGCCTGACTGACCCGGGGGAAGGGAACTACCTACCTCTAGCCTTTTCTAGCCACCCTGTCCCACCTGAGAGTGGGGAACACCGACAAGCATTTGTAAAGTTCATAGTCTAGAGGCACAGGGTTATTAAAAGACTATGACCTAATTGTAAGGCTATAGAATGTTTCTCCTTCCTCCACGCTTACCACCACATTACTAAGGGCCCATTTGCGCCCGTTCTTTTTTCCCCGTACCTCATGACTGACTATCAAAAATTTACAAGGTATACGGAAAGGCAAACAACCACAGTTTGAAAAGACAGCAAGCATCAGAACCAGACTTAGATACACCAGGGGTGTTGAAATTATCAGACTGAAAATTTAAAATAACTATGATTAAAATGTCAGGAATCTAATGAATAAAGTAGATAGGATGCAAAAATGGTTAGGCAATGCAAGCAGAGAGATGAAACTCCTAAGAAAAAATTTAAAAGAAGTACTAGAGATCAAAACACCATAACAGAAATACGGATTGCTTTTGATAGGCTTACTAGTAGACTGAATGAGGCTGAGAAAGAATCTCTGAACTTGAGGATTTTTTCAATAGAAACTTCCAAAACTGAAAAGCAAAGAAAAATACTGAAAAAAAAACAAACAAACCCAGAATACAATACCCACCAACTGTGAGACAACTAAAAAGGTATACCACGCAGAATAGGAACAGCAGAAGAAGAAAGAGAGAAAGAAACAGAAGAAATATTGGAAACAATAATAACTGAGAATTGGCCTGGCTCACACCTGTAATCCCAGCACTTTGGGAGGCCCAGGAAGTCAGATCACGTGGGGTCAGGAGTTCAAGACCAGCCTGGCCAACATGGTGAAACTCCATCTCTACTGAAAGTACAAAAAAACTAGTCAGGAGTGGTGGTGGGCACCTGTAATCCCAGCTACTTGGGAAGCTGAGGCAGGAGAATTGCTTGAACCCGAAAGGCAGAGGTTGCAGTGAGCTGAGATCGCACCACTGCACTGCAGCCTGGGCAACAGAGCAAAACTCTGTCTCCAAAAAAAAAACAAAACAAAAAAACTTGAGAATTTCCCCCAGTTTAATGTCAGACACTAAACTCAACCTGATAAAAGATATGTATGGAAACCCTACAGCTAACATCATATTCAATTACAAGAAACCAGATTTCCCAACAAGATCAAGAACTAGGCAAGGATATACCTTTTCACCACTCCTTTTCAAGGTCATACTGGAAGTTCTACCTAATGCAATAGGATAACAAAGGAAACAAAAGGTATCCTGATGAGGATAAAATAAATAAAACTATCTTTGTTCACAGATGATATGATTGTCTGTGTAGAAAATATGAAAAAAATAAACCAAACAAAAACAAAAATCCTTCCTGGAATTGATAAGCAATTATAGCAAGGTTGCAAGATATGAGGTTAATATAAAAAATTAATTGCTTTCCCTTATACCAGCAATGAGCAAGTAGAATTTGAAATAAAAACTATAATATCATACTGTTTAGATTAGCACCCTCAAAATAAAATACTTAGGTGTAAATTATAACAAAATATGTAAAAAATCTATATGAAGAGAACTACAAACTGCTTTAAAAAATTAAAGAGGCCGGGCGCGGTGGGTCATGCCTGTAATCCCAGCACTTTGGAAGGCCGAGGCGGGCGGATCACGAGGTCAGGAGATCGAGGCCATCCTGGCTAACATGGTGAAACCCTGTGTCTACTAAAAAATACAAAAAATTAGCCAGGCATGGTGGTGGGTGCCTGTAATCCCAGCTACTCAGGAGGCTGAGGCAGGAGAATGGCGTGAACCTGGGAGGCAGAGCTTGCAGTGAGCTGAGATCGCACCACTGCACTCCAGCCTGGGTGACAGAGAGAGACTCTGTCTCAAAATAAAATAAAATTAAATTAAATTAAATTAAATTAAATTAAATTAAATTAAAATTGAAGAAGAACTAAATAAATGAAGAGTTATTCCATATTCATGGATAAGAAGACACAAGAGTGTCAAGATGTCAGTTCTTCTCAACTTGATCGGTAGATTCATTGCAATTCCAATCAAAATCTCGGCAAGTTATTTTGTGAATTTTGACAAATTAACCCTAAAGTTTAAATGAAAAGGCAAAAATCCCAGAATAATCAACACAATATTGAAGAAGCAGAACCAGGTTGGAGGACTGCCATTACCTGATCTCAAGATTTACTGTAAAGCTACAGTTATCAAGACAATGTGGTACTGGTGAAAGAAAAGACAAACAGATAAATGTAACAGAAAAGAGAGCTTAGAAACAGACCCACCTAAATATAATCAACTGGTCTTTGACAAGGGAGCAAAATTAATACAATGGAGAAAAAGTAGACCTAAGTATAAAATGCAAAACTATGAAATTCCTAGAAGATAACTAAAAAAAAATCTAGGTGACCTTGGGTTTGGTAATTACTTTTTAGATACAACCAAAGGCATAATACTTGAAAAAAACAATTGATAAGCTGGACTTCATTAAAAATAAAAATTGCTCTGCAAAAGACAGTGTCTAGAGAACGAGAAGACAAGCTGTAGACTGGGAGAAAATTTGCAAAAGACATATCTGATAAAAGACTGTTACCCAAAATATACAAAGTACTGTTATAATTGAAGTTTAAATGAATGGCTTTGTTTAAATGAATGGTCTTTAACAAGGGAGCAAAATTAATACAATGGAGAAAAAGTAGACCTAAGTATAAAATGCAAAACTATGAAATTCCTAGAAGATAACTAAAAAAAAATCTAGGTGACCTTGGGTTTGGTAATTACTTTTTAGATACAACCAAAGGCATAATACTTGAAAAAAACAATTGATAAGCTGGACTTCATTAAAAATAAAAATTGCTCTGCAAAAGACAGTGTCAAGAGAATGAGAAGACAAGCCATAGACTGGGAGAAAATTTGCAAAAGACATATCTGATAAAAGACTGTTACCCAAAATATACGAAGTACTGTTATAACTCAGTCAATCAGAAAATGAACCACCCAATTAAAAAATGGCTAAAGATCTTAACAGGTACCTCACCAAAAAGATATGCACATAACAAATAAGCACATGAAAAGATGCTCCACATTTTATATCATTAGAAAAATGCACATTAAAACAACAATAAGATACTACTATTAGGTTGGTGCAAACACAGTTGCAGTTTTTGCATTGTTGAAATTTGCTGTTCATATTGGAATACATTCTTAAATAAATGTAGTTATGTTATACACCATTTTAATGTGCATTCTTGCTTTATGTTTCTTTTGTTAATGACTTACTAATTGCTCTTAATTTTATATTTATTTTAGACTATAGAAATGATGTTAGTCAAAAAGCAAATGATGATGATTATTATTTTATTTTATTTTTCCATAAGTTATTGGGGTACAGGTGGTATCTGGTTACATGAGTAAGTTTTTCAGTGGTAATTTGTGAGATCCTGGTGCACCCATCACCCAAGCAGCATACACTGCACCATATTTATTGTCTTTTATCCTTCACCTCCCTTCTACTCTTCTCCCCAAGTCCCCAAAATCCATTGTATCATTCTTACGTCTTTGCATCCTCACAGCTTAGCTTCTACATATCAGTGAGCTCGCAGCTTAGCTTCTACATATCATATGATGTTTGATTTTCCATTTTTGAGTTATTTCACTTAAAAAGAAAATTTGAGTGATTTTCTTATTCGCGTTCAAAATGGGGTGTAAAGTAGTGGAGACAACTCACAACATTAACGGTGCATTTGGCCCAGGAACTGTTAACCAACTTAACAGGACAGTGGTGGCTCAAGAAGTTTAGCAAAGGAGACAAGAGCCTTGAAGATGAGGATCATAGTGGCCGGCCATTGAAAGTTGACAACAACCAGTTGAGAGCAACCATCGAAGCTGATCCTCTTACAACTGCAGGAGAAGTTGCCAAATAACTTCTGCAGTTCTGTCGGCCATTCTGTGGTCATTTGGCATTTGAAGCAAAATTGGAAAGGTGAAAAAGCTCGATAAGTGGGTGCCTTATCAGCTGAGTGAAAATAAAAAAAAATCGTCATTTTGAAGTGTCTTCTGTTATCCTATGCAACAACAACAAACCATTTTTTGATCGGATTGTGATGTGCAATGTGAAGTGGATTTTATACCACAACCGATGATGACCAGCTCAGTGGTTGGACCGAGAAGAAGCTCCAAAGCATTCCTCAGAGACAAACTTGTACCAAAAAAGGGTCATGGTCACTCTTTGGTGGTCTGCTGCCAGTCTGATCCACTACAGCTTTCTGAATCCCAGCGAAACCATTACGTCTAAGAAGTATGCTCAGGAAATTGATGAGATGCACTGAAAACTGCAATGCCTGCAGCCGGCACTGGTCAACAGACAGGGCCCAATTCTTCTCCATATCAATGCCCAACCGCATGTCATACAACCAATGCTTCAAAAATTGAATGCATTGGGCTACAAAGTTTTACCTCATCCACCATATTTACCTGACCTCTAGCCAACCGACTACCACTTCTTCAAGCATATTGACAACTTTTTGCAGGGAAAACACTTGCACAACCAGCAGGATGCAGAAAACGCTTTCCAAGATTTTGTTGAACCCTGAAGCACAGACTTCCATGCTACAGGAATAGACAAACGTTTCTCCTTGGCAAAAATGTGTTGATTGTAATGGTTCCTATTTTGATTAATAAAGATATGTTTGAGCCTAGTTATAATGATTTAAAATTCACAGTCAAAACCACAGTTACTTTTGCACCAATCTAATATACACCTCTTAGAGTGTCCAAAATCCAGAATATTGACAATACCAAATGCTGGCAAAGGTGTGGAGCAGCAAGGACTCTCATTCATTGCTGGTGAAAATGCAAAATTGTATGGCCACTTTGGAAGACAATTTGGTGGTTTTTTGTAAAACTAAACATACTCTTATCGTATAATCTAGCATTCGTGCTCCTTGATATCTACCCAAAGGAGCGGAAAATTTATGTCCACCCAAATGCCTATATGTGGATGTTTATAGTAGCTTTATTCTTAATTGCCAAAACTTGGAAGTAGCCAAGATGTCTTTTGGTATTTAGATGACAAACTGTGGTACATCCAGACAATGAAATATTATTTAGTGCACACAAAAATGAACTATCAAGTCACGAAAAAACACAGAGGAGGCTGAAATGCATATTCCTTATACATACTGTATAATTTCAATTACTATATGACATTCTGGAATAGGCAAAACTATGGAGATGGTAAAAAGATCAGTGGTTGCCAGGGCTTAGGTAGAGAAAGGCAGAACACAGAGGATTTTTAGGGAGTAAAGCTATTCTGTACGATAATCTAATGGTGAGTACATGTCATTAAATGACTGTCCAAATCTACAGAATGCACGACATCAAGAGTGAATACTTATATAAACTGTGGATTTGGGGTGATAATAACATGTAAATGTAGGTTCTCCAAACATAATCAGTGAACTACTCTGGTGGGGAATAGTAAGTGCAGGGGAATCTATGCATGTGTGGGGGAAGGGGCTGCACAGGAAATCTCTGTACTTCTTGCTCAATTTTGCTGTGAACCTAAAACTGCTCTAAAAAATAAAGTCTATTAAAAATAAAAACAAGAGGGGCAATTCTCAAAATTTTCAGTTTCAAGACTCTTTTACACTCTTAAAAATTATTGGAGACCCCAAAGAGGTTTATGTGGACTATCTTACTTACCTTAGTGGATATTAAAGCTGACAAAATTTAAAAATGTTTATTAATCCATTTAAAAATAATAAAAACTCATTTTTGGTAGCATAAATAATACAATTTTTTATGAAAAATAACTATTTTTCAAAACAAAGTGAGAAGACTTTTACATTTATTGCTTTACATTTTTGCAAACCTCTTTGATGTTTGGGTTATTAGTAGATAACTAGATTGTCATATGTGCTTCTTCATTTGATCTGTTGTGATGTAGCATTTTGATTGAAAATCTAGCCTGTCACACATTTGTTTACTTGAAAAAGAGAAAAGTATTTTAATAACCTTTCAGGTAATTCTGGATATTCTTCTTTAATAATATACTTAAACTTGACAGGTGGCTGTTTCTTAAAGATTAGCCACAATGTGAAATCTCAAACTATGTTAATGAACTTCTTTTTTTTTTTTGAGACGGAGTCTCACTCTGTCGCCCAGGCTGGAGTGCAGTGGCGTGATCTCCGCTCGCTGCAACCTCTGCCTCCCGGGTTCAACTGATTCTCCAGCCTCAGCCTCCCAAGTAGCTGGGACTACAGGCGCCGGCCACCACGCCAGGCTAATTTTTTGTATTTTTAGTAGAGACAAGATTTCACCGTGTTAGCCAGGATGGTCTCCATCTCCTGACCTTGTGATCCACCCGCCTCGGCATCCCAAAGTGCTGGGATTACAGGCATGAGCCACCGCGCCTGGCCATGAACTTCTTTTTTTTTTTTTTGGCTGGGGGGAGGTGGGCGCGGACAGAGTCTCGCTCTGTCGCCCAGGCTGGAGTACATGGAGTGCAGTGGTGCGATCTCAGCTCACTGCAACCTCCGCCTCCCGGGTTCAAGTGATTCTCCTGCCTCAGCCTCCCGAGTAGCTGGGATTACAGGCGCCTGCCACCATGCCCAGCTAAGTTTTCTGTATTTTTAATAGATACGGGGTTTCACCAGGTTAGCCAGGCTGGTCTCGAACTCCTGACCTCAGGTGATCCACCCGCCTCAGCCTCGCAAAGTGCTGGGATTACAGGCGTGAGCCACCATGCCCGGCTGATGAATTTCTTATACTCTGTACAAATGTAAGAGAATGAGAGTGAAAAGGACAAATTATGTCTCTCCTTCTCCTTTTACTCTCCCTCCTCCTCCCCCTCCTCCTTTTTCTATTATTATTATTAAAATAGTTTTTTACCTCAAAGATACCCTAAACAAATATGAGGGTTCATAGGGGTTCCCAGCACTGTCTTAGATAAATAAGCTCCCCCCAACTCTTTTTTTTTTCTTTCTCTTTTGACTCTCAGGGTTACATAGAAAAAACGACTTGCTCCATCTCCATCTCCTGAGCTTTATTTTATTTTATGAATACAAATGACCTGAACTTAACCTGTGCAATTCTTCCTGGCCCACGTTCATGGGCTACATGCTCTCTTTCCCATGAAACTTTACCATCTTTATTCATTTTTCTCCCTTCTCATACTTTCTGCTTGCTATTAACTTCAAACTTATCCAAGTCTTCTCTAGCTTCTACCTCAACATCAAGACGTTAGCTCCTGTAGATAACTGGATATTCTGCTGATGTTTTCAACTTCAAATGTATAATGGGGTAACTCTAATTGGTCAGCTTATATTTTTGCAGCTGTAGCAACTGGCATATCCAGTGGTGACACTATAGATTGGCTGCCCTTGGTCTAGGTGCCCCCCCAACCCCCACCACCCAGTGAGCCCATCATCTATGAGCAGTGGAGTGGATAAACTGATACAAATTGTATTTCTTCTGTGTTCTTTTTAAGGCAGCTGAAAATATATCCCTATTTTGGTTAGACTTCAACTTCTTTGAAACTTTGAAGCATTATCACTATTCCTTAGGGTCTTCCCTAAAGACTCTCCAACCTGGTATGAAGTATAAGGCAGCAGTTAGACAGACTATGGAGGGCCTTGACTGGATTTAAATCCTATCTCGGTGACTTGCTATCTGTGTGATATTGGATAAATTATTTAATTTCTCAGTCCTCAAATGGAAAGTAGGGATGACAGTACTTAGCTCTAGGGTCCTTGTAGGATTAAGTGAGGTGATGCATGCAAAGCACTCAGCATATATAAAGTACCCACATAAAGTTAGTGCTCATCAGGGAAGTTTTCCTTCCACATGAAGAAGTGAAGGCCATGATGCCAGAGAGGCTGGAGAGCAGTCCCTGGGCCAGCTCTCTAACATGCCTCTTTTTCACTTGCCTGTGTCCTTAACTAATTCAGGCCACTCTTCCTCAATTGCCAGATTTGCTTATTTGGAAATATTACTATCCTAGGTCACTTAACCACTAGAAAGCTTAAACAGTATTTTTTTTTTTAATTTTCTTGTCAGCCTTATTTTTCTCCAGCTTTCATACTTCCTCTTTCTCCTTTTCTTTTCTCCTACCTACTTCATTTCCTCTTTCAACTTTATTCCTCTTTTCCCTTTATCTTTTTCTTACTTAGGGTATAAGGAAGCTGTCATAATAAGGAGACACTCAAATATCATGGCTTTAAAAAGAGACACGTGTTTGTTTGCATTACTTTATTAGGATGGTCCAGAAGCAGTGGCCCAGTGTTGGTGGGGTCTGCTCACTGCTAGGCACTTGCAGATCCAGGTTTCTTTCTTCATGCTGTTCTGCTGTCTCCTGAAATATTGTACTCATCAGCATTGTGGAACCTGGCTCACTCCAAATCCACATATTCCAGCCCATAGGAAGAGGGAGAGAGGAAGTGGAGGGCAAGCACATTCCTTAAAAAAAAAAAAAAGGGAAAAAAAAAGGATCCTGGAAGTTGGCATGTTAGCCAAAACTTAGTCACAAGGTCATGCTTAGTTTCAAGGAAATCTCAGGGGCTAAGCACTTGGCTAAAACCCAGCAGAGAACAGGGTCTTCTTACCAAAAGAAAGAAGGGGAGAATAGAAGACAATTTTTTTTTTTTTTTGAGACAGAGTCTGGGCTCTGTCGCCCAGGCTGGAGTGCAGTGGCGCGATCTCAGCTCACTGCAAGCTCCTCCTCCCAGGTTCATGCCATTCTCCTGCCTCAGCCTCCCGAGTACTGGGACTACAGGCGCCCACCACTACTCCCGGCTAATTTTTTTTGTATTTTTAGTAGAGACAGGGTTTCACTGTGTTAGCCAGGATGGTCTCGATCTCCTGACCTCGTGATCTGCCCGCGTCAGCCTCCCAAAGTGCTGGGAATACAGGCGTGAGCCACCTCGCCCGGCCGGAGACAATTCTTTTTCTTCCGCAACTTTAGGTCTATCGGTGGAACTCACAGGGCATGGAATTTAATGTTTTAGTGACATGTTTCTCATACTTTACAGCTATCGAAATGCTGTTGTTTCCCTCTGCCTGAAATGCCCTATCAGCCTCCTCCCTATCTTTGTCCTACCAATTCCTTCTCCTTCAGATGTCACTCTAGATATCACTTTCTTAATTGGGAAGACAGAATTGTGTCACCCTCTAAGATATCCCATGACAGACTCCTTAACTCTTGTTCTACTTCTTACTTTACTAGCACAATTGCCAATTTGTCTATCTTGCCCACTATACTGTGGCCGTGGCAGAGCTGGAACTTAGTCTTATTCATGAGTGTATTTTTAGTATCTAGCACGGTGCTTGAAGCTGAGAAAGAATGATCATACAAAGCGCGCCACAAGCAATGATCAAAGGTCAAACAGAGATCTGCTGGATTGCTAAAGAGAGACATGATAGCAGATGCTTATGGACTATGTGACCAGTAATGTACTAAGCTCTTTATCATAACTCATTTAATTCTCACAGCAAACTTACGAGTTAGGCCTTACTCTCATTCCCATTTTACAAGTGAGAACATGAAAGCACAGAGAGGATAAGAAAAATTCTCCAGGTCACACGGCATTTGGATTCAGGCAGTTGAGACCAGAGTCTCTGTTCCTGTCCACAATGTTATATGGCCCATGACAAA
Source organism: Homo sapiens (assembly GCF_000001405.40). Classification (NCBI taxonomy): domain Eukaryota; kingdom Metazoa; phylum Chordata; class Mammalia; order Primates; family Hominidae; genus Homo; species Homo sapiens. The sequence continues at coordinate 47,117,162 of NC_000006.12, read as the reverse complement.
CCACCCACCCTTCACATCTTGGATTATGGCCCATGATAAACCACCAACCCTGCACATCCTCAGGAATTCATAGGAAGGAGTCAAATTCAGTACCTTGAGCTTTGACAGGTAACATTAAGAACAGGTCTCCACCCCCTACCCCCACCACCCCCCATTAGTTTTGGTTTCAGGGAGAATTAAGGGAAGAGATTTGTGGACTCGGATAAGCCCTTACAATCCTCCTGTTCAGTTGTGTGTATGAGGTAACCAACTCATCACAGTGTGACTGGAGCTTTCTCAGTTTTGGTATTAAAAGTTCATTGTGCTGGGCAACATCTCAGTTCCTGGCAACCTCTTAGTCCTGGACAAACTGGGAAGGTTGCTCACTCTAGTGTGAGGCTTCTTTGAATGAGTCGGAAGTATTCTTGCCACACCCAGGCCAGCCAGGTGGACCCGAGGAGGGACGAGAAACGTCATTACCCTGCAATAGTTTCCCTACCCAGCCCTATGCCCCACTTTCTGTGCGTGTGTCCAACTTTCTCCCTGCTCTTCTTAGAGCAGGTGGTCTCTGATCCCCTGGAAGGGAAAAGACCTTCCCATAAACTCACTGGTCAAAGAGGCTCAGGTTATAGCTGGGGTGAGATACATATCCATCTCAGCAAGTCAAATCTCATTATTTTCTTTGGTGGAGATGAGAGAAGGTGAGGATACGGGTTAGGCTGGAGATTATTTAACTGATAAACTGTGATTATTCTTCAGGAATCCATAGCCAGGGATAGACTCAATTTAATTTATTAAAAATATTTGTTAGATGAATATCAACATATTTGCACGTTTCCCCTCTGCCCCTTTTATAATCATGCCAAAATGAGTCACTCAATTACCCCAATTCCTTAGCTTATACTCAATGGGAAACATGATTTTAAAAGGTTAATGCTATTTTAGATGGCTCCCTTTTATTGCTCTATTTATGTTAAGCCCCAGAGTGATTTAGGTGCCTATGCAATCATAAAAAATCCAGGAATATCATTAAGTAATTGTGATGTCAACATACTGCTGAGGTTTGAGTAGCTACATCCTAGCCTATGGTATACATCCATTTTATGGATTCTCAACTCTCCCTTTGGCCTTCATCTTTGATCTAGTGCTAGAAAATTATTATGTCATTAACCCAAATGTGAGCCTCAAGTAAAATACTTCATTATTCTTTAATTCAATTTAAAAACATAGACACATTTTTCTTAATGAAGTAATTACTTCTACGTTTCGTCAAACCATTGAAGTTTATCAAAAACGCATTGTGAAAAAAGTTATTAAGTTTTTCAATGACTTATATAATGGAATGGCATATTTTCTAAGTTAATGAAGTGAACACTAACAATATGATCCTGAAGAAGAACCCAGTTGAGAAGGAGGAAAATAATAGCGTATGCCACAGTGGTCTTGGCTTGTTTCTCTCCCCACAGCTGAATATTTTTATTGAACATTTGAGAGAAGTCGTAACTGGCCTGATTACCAATTTGGGAATGACATATAGCTGGGAAGGATGGTTAATGAGAAGTCAGTATCCAGATTCAAAATGGTCTTAATAAGCTCATTGGCAGGCAGCTAAAATCTACATAATATAATTTAACAAGGGTTAATTTTTGCCTTTAGTCAGACAAAAAACAAAACAAAATAATTGCATAAGTATAAACTAGTAATTTATTTGAAAAAGACAAACTGGAATTAATTGACTGCAAAGGCAATACAAGCCAATTGTGACTGCCTCATTGCAGCAAATAATCCAATGTGGCATTAAGTTGCATTGAGGGGAAAAATGTGGCCAGCACAAGGGAGATGATAGATCTGTTGAATTTTTACCAGATCAGATGGCATTTAGAGATTTTTCTGCTAGTCTAGATGCTATATTTTTAGAAGAATATTGATGAACTAAAACATATCCAGAAGAGAGTGAGTGTTGAGGGTTTTGGAAACCATCACTTGATGGAACTGAGACTATTCTACTAAAAAATAGAAGGTTTTGGGGGGACTTGAGAACTGTTCTCAAATACTGAAATGTGTTCAGAACTCAGAGTTGACTTAGGGAGAGGAAGCCTTGTTAGTTCCCCTACAATCACCCCTACAATTTCCCTTTTCCTTGAAGACTATGCCAGAAATGGAAGAATTATTAAATCTATATATAAGTATCAAATAATTTTTCATATTATCTTGCAGGATCTCCTTCCTATGCTTCCAGTTACCTCCTGTGACAAATAATAGTTTCTGCAGCACAGCAATCTTCCCTGCCTCAAGTCTTTAGAAACAATCTCATTTATCTAATGAGATTCATATTTTCTGAATCCAGAATGAAGGTGTAAAGCCCTCTAAAATGATTTTACTCAGTCAGGAGGATCACCTGAGCCCCAGTTTGAGACAAGCCAGGGCAACATAGTGAGACCCCATCTGTACAATAAAATAAAAACTAGCCAGGCGTGGTGGTGCATGCCTATAGTCTCAGCTACCTGGGAGTGTGGGAAAAGGGGCTGAGGTGTGAGGATCGCTTGAGCTAGGAGGTTAAGGCTGCAGTGAGCCGTGATCACACATGATCACTGTACTCCAGCCTGGGAGACAAGGCAAGACCTTCTCTCTAAATAAGTAAATACATGATTCCACTCCCATTGATGAACTAAAATGTGCGCACAAATCTGTTCTCTTGCTATCTTAACTTTTATAATGTTTTTCTGCTTCTTGACTTGCTTATTCTATCAGAGACCACGCCTCAATCATCCTGGCTCAAAACCACATTTACCTTTAACACTTCCTCCCCATCATCCCTTATATCTCAGGAAGTTCCAGGACCTGAAATGTAACCAGATTTTGTACATTGCACAAAGGACTGAACCAACCCAGGAGTATTCACTGGAAACCTGTGGTTTCTGTAATACATGGCTGTGGTGTACATGTTACAAAGCCTCCTGTTAAGTGCAAATCAGAAACTCTGCACATGGGAAGAAAGGGAAAATTTAGGGAACAACTCCTTCCTTCTTACTCTACATCAGAATGTGCAACCCTGACATCTATAAAAGTTTCAACCTGGAAAGAGATTAAAAGATATTTAAGGGAAGTCAAATTTACAAAGATGTGAGTGTATCTCACGAGTTGGGTGTAGTTGCTGAGAGGCAGGAGGATGACCCAGTTGAACCCTAGAGTCTTCCTCTGTCTGAGAGAGGTTACTATGAGCCTTGTAAAGCCGTGGTGTAGAAAACAGCTGCAGATTTGACAGGAAATTGCAGGAGATGGGAATGAAGCATGAGGCAAAATGTCTTGTTTTGCTCTTCTCAGCCTCCTGGGTCTCCAGGGCTCTGGGCCCAAATTTGGAGACTGAGAAATGCAGGGGAATGTTATGCTGTGTCTGCAGCTCCATTTCTTGAGATTGAGGTTTAGATAATCAGTTTCTTTTTTTTGAGACGGAGTCTCGCTCTGTTGCCCAGGCTGGAGTGCAGTGGCGTGATCTCAGCTCACTGCAAGCTCCGCCTCCCGGGTTCACGCCATTCTCCTGCCTCAGCCTCCCCAGAAGCTGGGACTACAGGCACCCGCCATCACACCCGGCTAATTTTTTGTGTTTTTAGTAGAGACAGGGTTTCACCGTATTAGCCAGGATGGTCTCGATCTCCTGACCTCATGATCCGCCCGCCTCGGCCTCCCAAAGTGCTGGAATTACAGGCGTGAGCCACCGCGCCTGGCCTAGATAATCAGTTTCTAACATTTATATCATGAAAACCTTTCTTAGACTAATCTTCTGGGTTGAGAGAGTAGCCAGAGTTCACCATTTACTTCACCAGTGTCTCTAAAGGCTTAGGTATGGTAAAGGGCATTCAAAAGAACAGTGAGCTGGCCTTAGGGAATCTGAAAGTCTCTCCCTCTCCAGTTTAGTGGTTTACTTTGAACATTCCCAGCCAGGAAGTTATCTTTTCAATAAATCTGGAAAATTTGGAGATGGCCTTGGCACCTCCATAAGGGTCTGCAAAGATTTCCCAGTCAAGAGGCCTGGCAGGAAACTCTGGGATCTGGGGATATGTGTGAACCCCATTCTGAGTTCATGTGTTCCCAGCTCATGGTTCTAGGACATAGGGTTAAAGCTGTGGGGTCTGGGGAAATCTGGGTAATGTTGTCAACATGAGTTGCAGACCCAGGCTTCCTTTTACCTCACGTTATCCGCTCCTCATACCCATGTTGTGGGTGCACCTCCCCGCTGGGGCATCTTCAGGGGGGCTTCACTCACCTTCACTCTGTCACTGACAGCATGCTTTTTGGGGACTGTTAGTAAGGGCAGGGTAAACGTTTGTCCCTGGGGAGCCTGTTTGGAGCAGCAGTCCAGTCTTATTCAGTGGGTTTGATGGTCTGTCATGGGATACTCACTAGATTACATCTTCATCTTAGAGGTCTTTCCCACAGTTTCCAGTCACAAGACTGGCTGTTCATTGGGGAGAAATCTCTGGGAAGGCTAGGAGTAAAGCTTTGCCTCTGTTATGCTGCTGGAGTCCTCTTTCTATCCAGGATTAGGGGCTCTGGCTTTGGAAGAGGAATCCCAAGGCAAAAGTAACAATAAAAATAATGAAAATGTTTACAAGTGTGCTTGATCAGGGGACATGAGTGTGCTGCATGCATGCTGTGATGATCTGATGTAATCCTTCTCAACACCACCATGAATAATAAACTATTATTAGTTTCATTTTCCTGATATGAAAACTGAGGCTTAGCGCTACCAAATGACAAAGGGATACAGGATATGAACCTGAAGGACCTAAGCTGCTTAGAAAGAAAGCCTATCTTAAAAAATTGCTACTATACATAAAAGTGTCATATTCTTCTGACCTTGCCTTTGATACTCAGCTAAGAACAAACCAGTTAAGAGCTTTGCGCAAGCTCCTTGATATTTTAAGAGGAAGAAGAGTATAATTTTTCCTCAAGCAATTAAAGAAAATCTCCCTCACCTCATAATTCATTGAAGAAAATGTAGGAAAATCAGCAAATTGGAAGAGAGAAAAAAAAAAAGAAAAAGGGAGAGAAGGGGTCACCATTCTACCACTAATATTTTGAGATTTTGGGGGGTAGAATGTATCTAAGGCATCATGTTTGAAGGATAAAGATTAAAGTAAAAAAATTAAAAACGCTGTGGTTGAAACTCAAATTACTTCCCTAACCCTGCTGAGCATGTGTAGCTTGCTCAGAAATTCCAGTGGGGGCAAAGGTCAGCAGGTTATACACACTAACATTAGAAAATATGTGTGTGAAACAGAAAGGAAAGGAAGTCTCAGGATGTGGAATTCTGCAAGTTGGTCTCATCTGGCTCAGGACAGTTCCATCCTGGCTCAGGAATGCAGGTAGAGTTCTGGAGCTGGCATTTATTTGCATTGGAGTCATTTCCTAGGATTTTCACAGCTTTACATGTTTGTAGGTCATCTAAGCAAAAACTGTGGATATTGGTTGTGTTTCTGTCAATGAAAGAGGGAATCATACTTTACAAAATTTGAATGTGTGTAGTCAGGGGGAGAAGAGTCAAGAAGATTGATTCTTCTTGGGTCGAGATACAACAGAAAATCTTAAATTACTTGATACTAAGTCCTTGGAATACAGCCCACTAGCAATCACCATTAGCAATCCTGGTGAGGTGGGTAGGTGGAGATAGGAACCAGTAGGACTGAATATTTTTTTCCTCATATATTTTGCTCAATGTCTTGTCTCTGAGCAACTTTCACATCCTGATTCAGACCTCAACAGGCAGATAATTTTTGCTTCGGATTATCTTCTATATTTTGTGTCATGAAATTTCCTGTGGAAGACAGAACAATCTACTCCCTTAAATTTTCTGCAAATATAAACTCACTTCCCTCTGAAAACAATTTTCGAGAGTTCTTTTGTTTCCTCCATTGTGATAGAAAATTGTGAGTTTCCAAGTAAGAATAAAAACATATTTTTTTGAGACAGGGTCTCACTCTGTTGCCCAAGCTGGAATGCAGTGGCACGATCGTGGCTCACTGTAGCCTTGGCCTCACGAGCTCAGGTGATCCTCTCACCTCAGCCTCCTAAGTAGATGGCACTACAGGCATGCACCACCATGCCCAGTTAATTTTTTTTTTTAATTTTGTGTAGAAACAGGATTTTGCCATGTTGCCCAGGTTGGTCTCAAACTCCTGGGCTCAAGTCAAGCCACTCTCCTTGGCATTCGAAAGTGCTGAGGATTACAGGCATAAGCCACCTTGCCTGACCTAAAACTTTGTTTTTATTTCAAAAGATATAATTAAGGATCCAGGACATAGAAACATAAAATAAAGGACAATGAAAGGTGTTATAGGTCTCAAAATGGCAAAGAATGGTTGTGTTAGAAGTAAGAGACAATCATGTGGACAGGATGCTCAATTGGATGGCCCCATGCTGTATGTTTTTGAAACTGTGGGTCTTAACCTTTTAGTGGGTTGTAAAATTAATTGATTAGATTATGACCACCATTTAAAAAATATAATAGAAAATATCAAAGTGCATTGCATGTAGGAAGGTTATGTACTATTTCATGGGCATTTTTTTTTCAGCTATAACCGCAGGCACACACACAAGCATATGTGATGAGTTTCATTATAAAATATATTTCTTCTCATGGATTCAACCAAAGAAGTTTGAAAGATGCTCCATTAGCCAAAGTAATCTATAAAATACATCTTTTTTTTTTTTTTTTTTTTTTAGACAGAGTCTCACTTGGTCATGAAGGCTGGAGGGCAGTGGTGCAATCTTGGCTCATTGCAACCTCTGCCTTGTAGTCCCAGCTACTCAGGAGGCTGAGGCAGGAGAATTGCTTGAACTCAGACTACAGGCACGCGCCACCATGCCTGGGTAATTTTTGTATTTTAGTAGAGACGGGGTTTCACCATGTTGCCCAGGCTGGTCTCGAACTCCTGAGCTCTGGTGATCTGCCTGCCCTTGGCCTCCCAAAGTGCAGGATTACAGGCATGAACCACCACGCCCAGCCAAAATAGATCTTTATTGGTATCATTTATTAAATGCCTAAAAATTGTCAGGCCCATTAATAATAATACTTTAAAAATCTTTTTAGGAAATTACAATTATAGCACTCCTAGTACATGAATCAGCCAGAAAACTGTCTTCAAAATAACAGCAAGCATTTATTGAATTCCGTTAACGTGTTGGGCACGGTGCTAAATCTTTTTCATGCATTTTCAAATCTACCTCTCATACCGACCCTATGAGGAGGCTACTATTATTCTAGTTTTTCAGAAGATAAAGCTGAGGTTTCCAGGGGTCACACAGCTAGTAGAACTCAAATCTATGTCTGTCTGGCTTGAGAGCCAAAGCATTTTACCACCATACTACATTAGTTTTCACGAAATAAATTTCTTATGGGTCTTTGCAATTTGTAAAATCTTCTTTGCTTTCTGACTTTTTGGAAATGTTCCTAATTTAGCTCTAGGACAATTTAATCCACTTTTACCCCCATAGGATGTTGATAAGGGATATTTCTGTGGTTTGCGGTGTGGAGGGTAGGGTGATAGTAGAGAAAGTTTATTAATGATCTAATCCTAAAGAACCTGTTCCCTCCTCTTCTTACAGAGTAAGGCTCAAAGTCTCATATTCCAAGGGAAGCCCTCCTACCCTTAGACTGTTCACTAAGTCTCAAATTCTTAGACTCCAAGGGAAACCCTCCTACCCCCCCGGGAATAGTAGGGATTCCCCTCATTCCTCCCTTCCACCAAGAATGAAGTTTCCTCCCTAGCAGCAGAAACCAACCAACCACACAACAAGAAAAATACAAATAGGAATTCCAAATTTTGGAGTCCCTGGCACTAGAACAAATTTCTCTAGGTCAGAGATCAGCAAATCTTTTCTGTAAAGGACCAGTAATATTTAATATTGAATATAGGAAGTATTTTGGGTTTTGTGAACCATATGGTCTCTGTCACATCTCTGTCACAACTATTCAATTTTGCTATTGTAGTGCGAGAGCAGCCGCAGACATACTGAAGTGAATGAGTGTGGCTGGATTTGATCTGTGGGCTGTGGATCGCCAAACCCTCTTCTAGAGCTTAAAACAGAATCCTCCCTAATGACCAGTTCAGAGGAAGAAGAACATAATTTTGCTCTTTTTTAGTTTTATATCCTCCTTGAATACTTTTGCACTATGTGTGCCTATCTTCCAATAGCTAGGGGAAACCATCATCCATCTCCTCTTCAGAATCTTCAGGAACATATTTTGTCTAAAGCATTGTAGGGCTGAGTCTTTATTTTTTGGATATGTAAAAAACAAATGAACACAGTGTGAGGACAGATGTCTCCACCAAGAGATAGCCAATATACGCTTCATTACCTTTCTCTGTCTCCTCTCTCTCTTACACAATTGCATTACATATATTATTTACGGAAACATTATACATGCATTACATATATTTACAGAAATATTTTCCTTATATAGATATGTAATTTATGATAAAAACATACCAAAAACCTTAACAGTTAATTCTCTCTCTGCTTTTGTTTTTTTTTTTTTTTTTGAGACAGGATTGCATTCTGTTGCCCAAGCCAGAGTACAGTGGCATGATCATAGCTCTTTGCAGCTATCTTGTGGGTAGCTGGGACTACTGGTGCATGCCACCATGGCTGGTTAATTATTTTTTATTTTTTTGTAGAGACAGGGTCTCACTATGATGCCCAGTCTGGTCTCGAACTCCTGGCCGTAAGTGAACTTCCCAACTCAGCCCCCAAATTCTTCATGGCAGAATTACCAAGGGCTCTTTTTATTACCTTTAAAAACTATTTTCTAAACTTTGTGTAAGGAGCATATATTAATTTTATCCTCAGGAAAAAGAAAGCAAATAGCCCTTTATCATTTGTTTTCATCTTAGTATTTATGTAGAGGAAGGAGAAAGGGAGAAAAAATGTTGACATGCTAGAAGGAAAAACTGGGGCTCCAAAATCTTTTCATACTCCATTTTCACAAAGGGGTGGTTGGTTGAAAACACTGGGGAAACATAAAGCCAGCACTACATTTCCTTTCTGAAATCCTGGAAGGAAAGGCATGGAGGGGGTAGAAGTCGGGGCTGATGAGCCATTTGCCCACGTCCTACATTCGCAGACAGAAAAGAGACTGCTTTTGATATTTGAAGGTGGGGACATGGATATTTAAAATAAGTGCTTTCTGCATGTTTGCTTGTTTTGCCTTATTTAAAAGTGCTACTGGCCAGGTGTGGTGGCTCACGCCTGTAATCCCAGCACTTTGGGAGGCCAAGGTGGGAGGATCACTTGAGGCCAGGAGTTTGATACCAGCCTGGCCAACGTGGTGAAATCCTGCCTTTACAAAAAATACAAAAATGAGCCGGACTTGGTGGCGCAGGCCTGTAATCCCAGCTACTCAGGAGGCTGAGGCAGGAGAATCGCTTGAATGCAGGAGGCAGAGATTTCAGTGAGCTGAGATCATACCACTGCACTCCAGCCTGGGCTACAGAGCGAGATTCTGTTTTTTTTTAAACAAACAAACAAAAAAAAGGGACTACTGACATTCTTCTGCTTCCCCCAGCCTATGCTGATTTCAGACAGTCTAATTCTCTAGACCTCGAGACAGCATTTGTCCACGAGTCTCGTTTCAGGTGTTTTGTTGAGGAGAGGTGAAGGGTTAAATATGGAGAGGACAGGGTAGAAGGAGAAAATGGACAGAGGACCTGGGCTCCTTTATCCAGCTCAACCAACATTTGTTAAGTGCTCACTCATGGCCAGCCACTGTTCAGGGTGATAAGAGATCAAAGAATAAGGCTGAAACCCTGTCCTTTGGAAGCACTGTCTAATACAGCTGTCCTTATCCTCAATTGCACATTAGAAATACATGATAGCCTTTGATACTGTTGCCAGAGCGCCACCCCAGACCACCTGATCAGAATCTCAGGGGTAGGATCTGACCAAAAAAAATCAGGCTAGTTGACTCTAATGAGTATGCAGGGAAGGTTGGTCTAAAGGCAAAGGCAATCTACGGCCATACCATCCTGGACGCACCTGATCTTATCTACAGGCAAAGGCAGTACTGGCCAGTCACAGCAATTCCACATGCTTGTGCTATGAGAGGAATGTGTAAGTCCTGGTTGGTCATGGTGGAGGAGGAAGAGATCAATTTTGCTTTGGGAAGGGAAGTTCTGTGAAAGAGTCACAGAAGAAAAGATGCTTAAGCTAAATCTCAAAGGACAAGCAGCAGTTTGTCAAGCCAGACAAAGGGGTGGGGTGGGGTGCATTCCATGCAAAGAAATCAGCCAGTGCCAAGGCATGGAGGTATGGGGGGGGGGCGGGGAGGGGGGTGGCATACCCTGTAGCTGCATGGGGGAGGGACAGGCACTGTTTTTATCTACTCAGGTTGCCATAACAAAATACCACAAGCTGGGTAGCTTAGACAACAAAATGTATTGTTTCACTGTTTTGGTGGTTGGAAGTCTTAGATCAAGGTATCAGTAGAGTTGGTTCCTTCTGAGGACTGTAAGGGGGAATCTGTTCCATGCCTCTCTCCGAGTTTCTGGTGGATTTCTGGCAATGTTTGTTGTTCCTTAACTTGCAGACCTATCACCCAACCTCTGCCTTTATATTCACATGGCATTATCCCTGTGTGTGTCTGTTCCAAATCTCCCTTTTTCACGAGGACACCAGTCATATTGGATTAAGGGCCTATCCAACTCCAGTATGACCTCACCTTAGCTAATTACATCTGCAATGGCCTTATTTCCAAATAAGGTCACATTCTGAAGTACTGGTGGTTAGGATTTCAACGTATGAATTTTGGAAGACACAATTTGACCCCTAACAGACAAATAGCAGAGAAGGAGGCTTGAGAATAAGGCATAATGTTGGACAGAGAGATCCTGCAAAAGAATTTGAATTTTGCCCTGAGGGACCTGAGAACCACTGAAAACTTTTAATATTGAGACTAACAAGAGAAACGTACTAGCTAACATTTATATGTGCCAGGCACTCCTCTAGCTTAACTTTATGTGCTTTCACTCCTTTAATCCTCAAAAGTAAAGTCCTATTACTATCTCCATTTTACAGATGAGAAAACTGGGGCAGAGAGGGGTTAAGTACTTTGTCTAAAATCATATGCCAAGTAAATAGTGCTGCCAGAATTTGAATCCATGAGTAATCTAGCTCCAAAGCCTCATTGTTGCTGCTGCCTCTGGGCCATGAACACCTCAGAGTCTCAACTGATCCCCTGCTGTGGACGACTTCCCCTCTGGGTCTCCAGCCCTTACTCCTCTCTCAAGCTGCAGTTATGCATCTCTAGTGGTCTGTTGAAATTTCCATTTCAATGTCCTTTAGCATCTCATTCTAACCAACTCTGAAACGGAACTCCTTCTTTCTCCTGAAATATGAGCTTCATTTCTGTTTTAAAACGCGGCTTTTAATGGCGAATCCTTTCCTGTCCTGTCAGTGCACGGCGGGTAATTACGGAGACCAAAGATACCTGGTGTCTTGGCTTCTTCTCTTGAGCCGTTGGGGATGGCTGTGACAACTCGAGGCATGGGCTGTCTCAAAGGGGACTGTGTGAAAGTGTTTGGAGCCAGTACACCAGGGCTGGCAGGGGTGTTGGTGTGGGAGGATGGGGAGTCTGAATTGCCATCAAAAGCATGGGCATTTAGTTCCCCCCCAAGATACATTTCAACATTTTGCTGGGCCTGGCAAAGAAGACAAGTATGCCCTCACATGGTAGTGGGGACCCCATGGGTACAAAATGATTCTGAAGCTTCCATGGAAGGTTCTTATAAAAACTGGTATTCCAGGGCTCCCTCCTTTCAATAAGTGGATCTAGTTCAAAGCCTGGTTCCCATCATTTAAGGCATTAGCCAAAAATGGCCCTTGAATGAATTGTGAAAAAGGGCACTGCACTGTGAGCTGAAAGACCCTCGTTCTAACCTTTACTCAGTTTCTTGAATATTCAGCAAGCCACTTTAGAAACACTGAGAAATAAACAGACCCTAAGTCTGTTTCTTCATCTGTAGAAAGGAGTTAGACTCATGATCTCTGAAGTTTCTTGAAGCTCCAAAATTCTATAATTGTTATGTCCTAATTGGATATCAGACCACAGATATTCAATGTCAGCTACACCTGAAATTGGCAGATCAGTCTTAAACTAGTATATTTGTGAAAATGGAGGAGTGAGTTGGGTTTTTTTTTAATGCTTATAAAAAATTCTTTTTTTGCCTCCCTTAACCCTAAAGTTGGCTTTCTTCATTGCTGTCTCCTGTCACCTGATGTTTACTGAGAGAAATATAATCAACAAAAATTGCTAAATGCAAGCAGTTTTGGCTAGATTGACTCTTGGGTAATTAAACCAAACAGTTTCTCCAAGGATATATTTGTCTTCTCTCAGCCAGTGGGGCACCAAATACAAACTTCTCCCATGGCAATGGGCCCCATTTGCCAATTCGTGCAGGTAGCAAGCTGTCTTTCTCCCTGGCAGTAAAGATTGCCCTGTTGTGGCATGAAAGAAAGGCATTGTCAGTTTTATTATTATTTTTGAAAGAAAATGTTTTGAATCATTTGTTTGATGCCTCCTCCTCAAGGGTTGGGTGGAGTGATGACTAAGTTAAGAGAGGGCCTTAACACAGGGGAAAGTAGGGGCTCCTGGGAATTATGGGAGGACCCTTTTTCTTTAACAGCAGTTACCTTGCCTGACCAATTCTAGGCAGCCAAAGGACGGTCATTTCATATTTCACTGCTTGAATGCTGGCTTTTGAGATAGAAACATAAAATCAAGGAATAATAGTCCCATGTTTCATAAAGGGAAGTATGACATTGAGAAGTGAAAAAAATGCACTTGGATTTATTGGTAAAGGAGATGAGATTTAAACCTCAGCTTCCCAAACTTAACCCAAGATGCCTATGCTTCTTCATGTGTAAGTATGTCCACTTGAGATCTGTTGGAAGATATTAGGTACTTTCCTAAACCCTGGCTTTCAGCTCGTTTGCTTCCTGATGTTTCATATTTCCTTATTGCATAATGCAAAGGAGTGCCTCAGATGCTGCCGGGACTGGTGCTGTGATAACTGAGTCTGGTCGTTTCAGGGCACAAGGACTTCCAAAGGCCAGAACTCACACTATGTATTAAAAACCCCAAATTTCCGTTTCTCCTAGACAGTAGACAGTTTCACTTCTCTGTAACACTCCTAAAAGAACGAAGCTTTGAAGGACATTAGATCTAATTGGGAACCGATGGGTAACATAGCTCAAGCATGTTTAAAGTAGGAAGAGGAGTATGGGAAAATAGAATCATAAAATTAGAAGGAAATTTGAGAATCCATAGCGTCCATCCCCCTGTCCTTAGGCAGGAGTGCATGTAAATTTAGTAAGTCATCCTAATTTTAGAGATTGCAAGTCCTGGTGATTCTATAACTCCCTCACAAGGGCATTTCAAGCAACCTTCATAGTCATTCTTTCTTTCTTCATCCATTCTAACTCTCCTTTTCTCTCATCTGAGCTGCATATTCTCCCAAAAGCACTTTTTTTTTTTTAATCCTGAGGAAAGTTTAATGAAGAGGGCAGGATTGAGGGCATCAGCAAGCAAGGGTGAAGCCCCGAGGGACCAGCAGCTGTAGGAAGCCATCACTGTCTCCAGGGTTGAAGGGACAAGGGGAGACAGCATGTTATTGGAGCCTCTTGAGAGCAAGATCCATGCTCTGGAGAGGAGTAATAGTGACAGAGGGACGCAGCTAAACTGTGAAGAAGCCACAGGAAGATAGCAGAATGAAGGGCTGGACTTCTCTCTACTCCCACCCTCCAATCTCTTGATGGTCCCTCACACTGGCTAATCCAACTAGGGTCAAAGAGCAAAGAAACCCAGGAGATCTGCACTTAGAGGTCAGTCTACCTGGGACTGGAGGAGGATGGAGATAAGCAATGAATAGATGGGGAAGGGGAATGGCAAGTGGAAGAGATGGGGAGGGCCTGAAAACCCCGCTTCTCTCTGTGGAGACCTTCAGCCAATCTACACGTGCTCAGCCCCATCTGAGCCCTATTCCCTGAGGTGCCAGATTCCTCCTTGTTGAGAGTCTGAGCAGCCCATGAGCCCTTTTAGCCATGCCCTGCTGCATAGATGGCATTTCTGCTCCCCTCCCATTTGCTTCCTTTCCTCCTGCACTCAGGGGACATGTCTCATCAATGAGTATTGCTTCTCTCTTATTCTAAAAGCATTAAATATTTGAAAAGCAATATCTAGTCATTCCTCAGACTTATTTTCTAAGTTAAATAGCATAAATTTCTTAATCCTTTATTCAAGTCTTTAAAAATATTTTTAGACAACTGATGAATTATCAGTTTATTGTGAATTCCTAGAACTCACACGTTCTTTCACCTTTCTCAAATTGTGACGATTCCTCTCACATCAGCTCCTGCATAACTCAGGGAAGATATATATGTTTGTATCAAAGCCCTAAGTGAGCCCTTACCTACACAGAAAACTCTTATTTGGCAGCTTTACCTTTAGGAGTAACCTTGACAATTGCAAGCCGTGACTACCAATGGAGGTAACAGAAAAGCTAGAAAGAGCAGAGAGAAGAATCAGATTGGGGCCAATTATGAAAAGAGAAAGCAGTCCTATATGCCTTATTGGCCCTTAGGCAGTCAGTGGGTTTAAAATACCATAAAATGAATCACTGATTTTTTTTTTTTTTTTGAGACAAAGTCTCACTCTGTCACCCAGGCTGGAGGCAGTGGCGTGATCTCGGCTCACTGCAACTTCTGCCTACCAGGTTCAAGCGATTTCCCTGCCTCAGCCTCCCGAATAGCTGGGATTACAGATGCCTGCCACCATGCCCAGCTTATTTTTGTATTTTTAGTAGAGACGGGTTTTTGCCCTGTTGGCCAGGCTGGTCTCAAACTCCTGACCTCAGGTGATCCACCCGCCTCAGCCTTCCAAAGTGCTAGGATTACAGACATGAGCCACTGTGCTCAGCCTAATCATTGACTTTTAAACGATCTCTAGAAAAGATGTTGATGGGCCGGGCGCGGTGGCTCACGCCTGTAATCCCAGCACTTTGGGAGGCCGAGGCGGGTGGATCATGAGGTCAGGAGATCGAGACCATCCTGGCTAACAAGGTGAAACCCCGTCTCTACTAAAAATACAAAAAATTAGCCGGGCGCGGTGGCGGGCGCCTGTAGTCCCAGCTACTCGGGAGGCTGAGGCAGGAGAATGGCGTGAACCCGGGAAGCGGAGCTTGCAGTGAGCCGAGATTGCGCCACTGCAGTCCGCAGTCCGGCCTGGGCGACAGAGAGAGACTCCGTCTCAAAAAAAAAAAAAAAAAAAAAGAAAAGATGTTGATGAAGGGTAGGATCAGTATGACCTATGTAAGAGTCAGAGAAGTTTGTTTCTACCCTAGAATGCTTTCCAACCAAATTTATTCAAGTAAATTGAGTCTTAGCAGGAAAAGGGGTCAATTAGCTAGATATTTTACTGCTGTTGGTTGTCAGAAAAATGTAAGCCAAGAAATGATTTTGTTAACAACTCATTTAAAAGATGAGGAAAGTGGAAAACAAAGAGAAGGGACAAGTTCCTGCAGGCAATTAGAGATAGTTGGGGATAGGAGGGGATCGGAAGGATCTGCCTGACTATGGGTTTTATTTTCCAGGAGAACACTCAATTTGAAAACGTGCAGCAACCTCTGGGTTACTAGTGGCACCATAAGTACTCAAAATGTTTATAATAGTACAGACCAGGGGAAAGATACAATTGGGGTTTCGGCTAGAAAGTTTGACTGACAGCTACAATAGCTCCCTGGCTTTTAGCATGAGCCACCCTTTCTACTGCCATGTACACCAGGCTTTGAAGGACAGATGGGGGAAAATTCCAGGAAAGCTACTAGTTTGAAATTATGCCCATTATCAGCTTCAGTGATGAATTCAACTTTCTCTATTGTTTGGATCTCAATCAAATATTGAGCTTAGGTTATACCCTCCTTGAAGTCATAAATTTGAACTAATCCAAACCTTAAAGTCCTGTAAATGTTCTTAATAAATTATTCATCCAGCTTTCACTTAACAAATATTCTCTGAGTAGCAACTATGTGCCAGGCAGTGTTGTAGGCCTGAAAAAAGCAACTCAAAATGCCTACTCTTCTGGAGGTGACCTTCACAAGGACATCTATAGTGTTTGTATATGCTGTATTTTTTTGTCTGTAACCATAATGAGATCATGAAATGTGAAATGTGAACCAAGAACAAAAGGCACTGATGGAGAAGGAGGACCCACTAGGGGCCTCAGCAGGGAATGCTTCCCAGATCTGGCCGTGCATGAGAAATAGCAGGGGAGGCATAAGAAGTAGATTTTGGGGCCTCACCCAAGACCCATGAAATCAGTACTCTAGCCGTGAGATCCAGAAATCTGCATTTTTCAAAAGCTCCCTAAGTGGTCGTGATGTGGCCATTTCAGAACTGGTTCCCAGATCTGTGTTTAGAAATCACTGAGCTAAATGTTCTCTTGATGCCTGTGTCAGTCAGGGTTCCAGCAGGACAAAAAAGGTACTTCCTGTTGGATAATTTGAGGAGAGTTCGCAAAGGGATGATTTACAAATGGGTGGTTGGACTGTTGAGAAACCTCATAGAAGGGTGCAGAACCCTGAGGCTGGTAACCCACCGCAACAATTAGCATCCCTAAATGTGAAGACAGGAGGCAAATGGGGTTCCCAGAACCAGGAGACAGACGACTGAGGGTAGAAGGCCTCTTGACAGGACCTCTGCTCTTCAGTTGAGAGACACAGCCAGCTGATTTAAGCCAAATCCAACCAGAATCCAGAAGGCAAGAATGCCTATTCTTGGAGACCACATAGGCCAGCCTACCAGGCACAGAGAACAAAGGAAGATGGAGGGTGAATCTGGAGGAGCAAATGAAGACATTCAGCCCAAGGTCCTTTTCTGCCATGGGAACATATGAAAATAAAATGGGACTGGAAATAGGTCTAAATATGTATTACTAATATTTCATAACAAAATTGTTTTCCTGAACTGTGTAACTCTTTTTTTTTTTTTTTTTGAGATGGAATTTCTCTCTTGTTGTCCAGGCTGGAGTGCAATGGTGTGATCTCAGCTCACCGCAACCTCTGCCTCCTGGGTTCAAGCGATTCTCCTGCCTCAGCCTCCCAAGTAGCTGAGATTACAGGCATGCACCACCACGCTTGGCTAATTTTGTATTTTTAGTAGAGACGGGATTTCTCCACGTTGGTCAGGCTGGTCTCGAACTCCTGACCTCAGGTGATCCGCCCACCTCAGCCTCCCAAAGTGCTGGGATTACAGGCATGAGCCACTGTGCGCAGCTGCTCTGAGCTAAGGCTCCTTATTGTCTCTACTTGGTACCCCCAGGGACAACAAAATGCCAGGTTTTGTTTTTGCTTTTGTTTTTTGATAGTAGTTAATATTTCTTGAGTACTCATTATATTCCATACATTGTGATAATTTTATTTGAATTTGTAGAACAACATTTCAAAGTAGGTGTTATTATTTTAAAGAAAAGCAAATTAATGTAAAGAAAGATTGAGAAATTTACCTTGGGTCACACAGCATGTAAGCAATAAAGCCATGATTTGAAGCTAGATCTGTCTTCTCTCAATGCCTATGCTATTAGCCTTTTTGCTCTCTTGTTAAGCCTACCAAGGAAAACGTAAATTCCACTCACTCTTGGAAACTTGGGAGCCTATGTTCCAGGCAATTTTGTCAAGAACAAAAAAACACAATTTCTTGTACTCTTGTAGTTTCGTATTCATTCATGACTTACCAATGTATTTGTTAAATATTACATATCTTCCCATTCATACTCAGAAAGCAACGTGGGCCTTGTAGATCGAGTGTTT
Source organism: Homo sapiens (assembly GCF_000001405.40). Taxonomy (NCBI): domain Eukaryota; kingdom Metazoa; phylum Chordata; class Mammalia; order Primates; family Hominidae; genus Homo; species Homo sapiens. Next base: position 47,099,325 of record NC_000006.12, on the reverse strand, counting down.
ATGATTTTAGACATTCTTGATTCAGGCCTTAGCACTAGGATGGTACATTTTCTCTGTGCTCTGCTGGTGCTTCTATGCCCAGAACAGAGCTAGGATGACCAACTGTTCTATTTGTTCTGGACTGAGCAATTTCCCAGGACATGAACATTTCAGTGCTAGAACTGGGACAGTTCCAGGCAAACTGGGATGATTGATAAATGCCAGGTTTTAAAAATACCTCCGATTTAGTACGGCAGCCTCAGAAATTCTAAAGCCACATTGAAAAAAAGATTAAACTATTTTTTCTTCACATTATTCTATGATTCAGGTTCTGGTTACATCTATCCCTGTGTTATCCTAAGCTTAATTTCTAGCCCTTGCTTACTACAAATAAGTTGCGGCACAGAAGTTGCATGATAAGACAGGCAGGGAATTGCAACACCACAAGTCATCTTGGCATCCAAATACGGCAAGTGATGAAGGATGTAAGCCGTCTTCAACATAGCCCAGATCCCCATCTCTTACAATTTTAGTCCTAGACATCTGACACTTGGCTCAAAATGCACCGTGCTTATTTCACTATGTTGTAATTGCTTGTTTATTCCTTGTCTCCCTTGTTAGACAGAAAGATAATTGAGGGCAAGGATCTAGCAATCTCAAGATTTAGAACTGGACCTGCTCCATGAGATTAGCTCAGTGACTCATTGGGGAGCATCTCGGGATACGAAGAGGGCACATTTACTTGAGATTTGTTTCTGAACTTTCTTGATTCATTATGAAGCTTGGCTCTTTGTATCATCCTTGAAATACATTAGGCACTTGAAGTAGGCATGGGGTTGGGGGATCTCACATTATAGGAGAGTTTCCTGCTAAGTTTAGTTTCCACACTCATCCCCCATAGACTGATCTGGCCTGGAGACTCTACCCACTCCCCGCAATTCTGTAGGAATCAGAGTTACAAGAGTGAAGAGAGCCCTAGGGCTTCTTGGTTAGCTAACTTTCTGACTCTGAAGTGGCCTTTACTCTTCCTTGTTGTTTGAGGGAATGCCAGACAAATGAAAAAAATTTATTTTTTAGGGGGGCAAATATTGAATTCAAGAAAGTGGTGAAACTTCTTTAGAAAGTTTCGCCTAGAAATCATGCCATCCTGTATAGTATCATTAAAGATAGAGAGAAGGATGGCAAAAAAAAGAACTAGCTTTACAAAGCACTTATTTTGTGCTAGGTACAATGCTACCTTTTTACATACCCAAATGAAATGATGACATGCCACAATATTACAAGATTAATTATAATTTCCATTTACAGGTAAGCTTGCAGTGTGGTTGTATAACTTGCCCAAGGTCATAAGAAACAGAGGTGGGATGTCAAATCAGGTTTTTAGTCTGTAAACTCATGTCCGTGTTTGGTAACATGTAGCATCACCTCCCGATGACCTTGAAAATCTCTGGACTGGCTCCTGGGTCCCAGATTTCTCTCAGCTTTCTGATGTTACTCAGATACTGAACGTAACCAGGAAATATTGGGTTAGTTTCCAGAGAAAGTCTATTAGAGGCATAGTGCTAATGATAGGATGGTGGGGAAAACATCTCTAAAGGGAAGGAATGAACAGCATGAGCCATGGTTTGGGAGCTTCCTTATAATATATGGGGGAAAAGACTCCATTTATAAATGCTCATAAGGTCTCTGGTTAAATTCCATCATATAAATTATTCGCAGAGAACTGCTCAGGATTTCCCCTCCCTGCAGGGTGAACAGCTGGCCTTCTGCAATGCCAGGCCTAGGTCTTCCGGTTCTTTGAGGATCAGTGCCCTCTGCAGGTTGAAGTCAGAGAAGCCAAAAGCATGAGAATAAAAGGACAAAGAGTTTTCTGCTCCTGTTCCTTCTCATGTAAGTGCTTGCCTCAAAGTACATTAAAGACAAAGTCTAGGGGACTTTGGAGGAAATATTTTTCCTTATGTGACCTTGAGTGTGAAATGTCATGGAACCACTGGGCAAGTGATGAAGAAACCAGTTGGTTCCTCGAATTCATCCTCATGATGCTGATTTGTTCCCCGCCGTCCTTCCTGCATGTTCCATCCTGTTTAACTGTCTCAGTCCAACGGGGCCTCAGCAACAACCCTTCAACAGTGGGGAGAATTTCCCAATGGAAAGGCAGTACAAATACACACTGGAGGACTCAAATTGACTGTCTGTGTTTTCTTTATTAAGATAAAAGTTACAGGAGAGCTTAGAGAGCAGATGCAGAATGGCTCTGTGGCTCTGTTTCTGCCCTGCAGCCCCAAGTCAGTGGCGGCAGGGGCTGGGAGAAAATGGCCTAACATTTTTTTACCACCTACTTTGTGCTGGGTTCAACTTTAACTTCACTAATTTCCTTAAGAAGGGGAATTCTATCCTCTGGTCCTCTTTGAGCCTTTGGTTGGGTTTATTTCTAAACAACCAACCTGTCATTTCTTCTTTTATTTTTGAAAAGGAGCCTCGCTCTGTCACCCAGCCTGAAATGCAGTGGCATGATCACGGCTCACTGCAACCTCCGCCTCCTAGGTCAAGAGATTCTCCTGCCTCAGCCTCCCGAGTAGCTTCTATAGGACATTCCATATTAAGAGCTGAGGTCAGAGTCAGCAGCAAGGAAATGAAGTGGCAGCACAATCCACCAGGGTGTGCCTGGGGGATCTTGTGCCTGTGGTCAGGGCGGACAGAAGCAGGAGGATTCCCAGACTCTAAGCCTTCTTCTTTTTCTTCCAAGCAAAAGTAATTTAGGAAGCTCAGAAAAACCATCAAGTCTAGGAACACTTTGCTGCTAATCTGGCTTGAATTCATCATCTGTTTGGAAAACTGGGCTTTGATTTTGTTCCTAAGTCTCAGTCACCGTGCTGTAGCCACAATGTTGATGACTAGATCTTTGCCCTCTTCCTGTGCCTGAGGCCTGGATGTGGTAACTGAAACAGATGTTGGTGCACCCCCCGGTATCCCCTCAAGTCTTACCGTTTCTGAGCTTGTTGGTTTAGTTTGCAACTGTCAGCGTCTGTGTCCATTTGTTTTCTGGCTTTTTGTGGAGAGAGAAACCCTTTGTGGCCATGCACATAGCAAGCCAGAAATGCCAGGGAGCTAATGTACATCCTTCCAGCAGCCTTCAACCCTTCTCAGATACTAAGCATGGCTAAACATAAAGCTGGTGTATCATCTATAGAATTTAAGAACAATGTGAAACTCAGTACATCTGTAAGATCATGCTCAGAGGCAGTGCTTGGCAGGCTTGTTCCTTAGAATGATCCCAAGTTTCTTAAAGACAAAAATTAGGACTTGATGAGTACCCCAAAATTCAATGTCAATTATAGGAAAAGATTTTCTAAGAATTACTGGTGTGGTATTGGGCAAAATTGTGCAGCATTCATCGGAATCTGTTACTCAGACTGAAGAGATTCAAACTCATTGGGTTCAGGAGACTGTAGTCTCTTCCATTCAATCTTGGCACCTTAGAATAAGTTTTGTATTAATTATCTCTTGCTGTATAACAAATGATGCTCAACATAGTGGCTTAACACAAGAATTATTTATTATCTCTCACAATACTAGTTCAGGGATGCAGGAGTGACTTCTCTGGCTGGGAACTGAAGGTCTTCCTTTGGGTTGTGGTTAGATGCTGGCCAGAGCTCCAGAAACAGGAAGGCTTGATTAAGAATGAAGATCCACTTCCAAAGCTGCTTCCTTACATGCCTGGCCATAGGTGAGAAGTCCCAGGGAGCCTCTCTGTGGAGCTGCTGGAGTGTCCTCATGGTAGGGTGGCCCATTTCCCCAAGACTGAGCAACTCAAGAGGCCAAGATAGAAGCCGCAATGCCTTCTTTTTTTTTTTTTTTTTCTGAGATGAAGTCTTGATCTGTCACCCAGGCTGGAGTGCAGTGCCATGATTCAGCTCCCTGCAACCTCTGCCTCCAGGATTCAAGGGATTCCCTTACCTCAGCCTCCCGAGTAGCTGGGATTACAGGCATGTGCCACCATGCCCAGCTAATTTTTGTATTTTTAGTAGAGATGGCATTTTGCCATGTTGGCCAGGCTAGTCTCAAACTCCTGACCTCAAGTGGTCCATCCACCTCTGCCATCCAAAGTGCTGGGATTATGGGCATGAGCCACCATGCCTGGCCTGCAATGCCTTTTCTGACCTAGCCTCAGAAATCACCCACTGCCATTTCTGCTGTATTCTATTGGTCACATGAATCAGTCCTGCTTCAAGGTAAGAGGGGACTACAGAGGGCATGGATACTCAGAAGTGAGGCTAACTAAGGGCCATCTTGAAGGCTGGGTGCCATAAGTTTCTAGGAAAGAGTCCATTCCATAAACAGTTTTAGGTGAGAAGCATGTGAAACAGCAACAGATTCAAAGGATATTGGAAAGTGCCTGTTGACCAGACAAGCAGAAACATTTAAAATGTTTTTTTAAATTTTGTAATTTCCCACAATGCTGTTTACACAACGGGCAATGATCTGTAGCTTGAGGTGGCAACTCCTTAGAAACCTGTAGATTGAGTTGCACTTGAACTAAACAGAGAGTTTTGCTTCAGATGAGGGAGAGTCAGCTCTCAGTGACTGGCTTTCTTCCAAAACCCTGAAAATCCATTCCATTAATTCTGGAACCTTGAACCCAAGAGTCAGACTAGTGCATGGTCTGAGTTTTGCTACCTGCAGGCACTTTCTGGACCAGGATGTGGCTGCACAGTGGAGCCCTTTGTTGTGCTCTGGGCAGAGGAATTCCACTGGCCTGACTGCTTCAGGGCTCATTTCCTGAACAGGACGGTTCTACCACCTGGTGGACCGGTCTCTCCAAAACAAACAGGCTCCTCATCATGCCTCCAAGCCTGAGCCCTGTGCTGATCCCCAAATGCTGGGGAACAGAGATGACCCATGGACTCCTTATCAAGTGCCTTCAAACACCACTTGCTCATAAGAAGTTTTTACATTCATTAAGTTCATGCTACCAAAGGTCAAGTTCCCACTGCAGAAATGAAAAAAAGAAAAATGAGGAAGACAAAAAAAACCCAGAAAGCTGAGAAAGCAGCACTGAAAGAAACCAGAGAAAATGAAAAGCCAGCAATTGGTATGCTGAGCTTTGTTACTTAGTCATGAACATAGCCTGAAAATGCCACTCTCATCTTGTGGGAAGTTGTCCTTTCAGCCATTCCAAAAAAATAATAATAATAATAACAATACTATGGTACATTTACTTCATGATGTAATACATTAAAATACATTACCCTTTAGCTTTCTCAAAATAACTTGCTGAGGTCAATATTATTTGCCTCTGGCCACTCTAAAATGGCAAACCCTCCTTTTTTCCTAATCCCAGTTTATTTTTTTTCATACAGCTTCTCAGTATTATTTGCCTCTGGCCACTCTAAAATGGCAAACCCTCCTTTTTTCCTTATCCCAGTTTTTTTTTTTTCATACAGCTTCTCACTATCTGGCATTGTATTCTATGTCTACATATTTGTTTATTTTCTTATTGTCTATTTGCCTAAAAGGTAAGCTCCATAAGAGCAGGGGTTTTGCCTATTTTGCTTTTTGCCACACTCCCAGAGAATACTCCATAAATTATTGTGGAAAAATGACTTTTGCATCAAGTCAGCTATGAGAGGTTAAATACCTTCCCCCAGGTCGTTTAGTCCAAGTTTAATGCACTTTTTACCCTGTTGTGCTTCCTGTTTTCTATATCAAGAGCCAAAAGCCCAGATTTTAAGAAACTGAGGCCACCAAGTTGCAAAGTGGGAACATGGAAGAGCTCAGACTAGAACCTAGGTCTTCTGATATCTAGTTACTCAGTCATGTGTTTGCTATCACAGGCAAGCTAAGGGTTGTGCCCCAGCATATAAAGGTAATGGTGAGGTAAGAAACTACCCTTTTATCCTCTTGGTTTTTCCACTGTGGCTGTTTGGCCTCTTGGTTTATGGGCCTGTAAATGCACAGTGTGCGTATCTCAGCGTTGTGCAACATGCCTTGCTCCACGTCCATTCCACTCGATTATCAACACGATCTGTAAGGAAATAGCTTGAAAACAATTACACCTGCCTACCATGACTACTTGGATGCATATAGCTATGTGTCTACATGGGAGGAATTTACATCCAAGCCCTGAGCAAAACATCTAAATCAGGTCTGGGCATGGTGGCTCATACCTGTAATCTCAGCACCTTGGGAGGCCAAGGCAGGAGGATCACCTGAGGTCAGGAGTTCTAGACCAGCCTGGCCAACATAATGAAACCCTGTCTCTACTAAAAATACAAAAATTAGCTGGGCATGGTGGCATGCACCTGTAATTTCAGCTACACAGGAAGCTGAGGCATGAGAATCTCTTGAACCCAGAAGATGGAGATTGTAGAGATCCGATATCATTCCACTGCACTCCAGCCTGGGCAACAGAGCACTCCAGAATGGGCAACTCTGTCTCAAAAGCAAAACAAAACAAAACAAAAAACAAAAAACAACAACAACAAAATCTGAATCAGCACAGGGATTAAGTCCCACGGAAGTTCAGAACAGATCTCATTTGTCATATTTACACATTTTCAGGACCATTTGACAATTCGTTATCTATTTTTGGCTTTACTAGGTAAAGCTGAACCCTCACCACCTGGTTTTTTCCTTCGTTTCTCTGGCTTTGTCTCTCCTGAGAGCTGAAAGTAGCTGCCAGGATGGAGCATGCCCAGTAAACACTCAGGAGTTTTGGTTGTCAAGTTGGGGAACCTACAGCAATTACTCCCTTATGCCCATTTGCTTGTAGAGCCAAGAACAACTGCAATACATCAGCTGGGAGTCAACCCTCACGAGCAAACAGATTAGTTCAGCTTATATCCCTGAAACAGCTTGTTAGGTGGGGTCTGGCTCTGCTGAGCAGAAACACATGTTTATACCCAAGTGACTCAGTTCAGTGTATTCCTCCGGAAAACAGTGTTGGAGTCCCTGTGTCCTTGGCATTAATTTGGTGGATTTGTTACACTGGACCCATCTTGCCCCATCACTGCTGTGTGAGCTACCTTTCCAAGGCCTCTGTCTGCTCTGCACCACAGGGTGGACAAAAAGAGCATTATCTGATACACTACTCAAGAACTGCGGTAATCAGGCTGAAAATAAATGAGGGAATTTTTGCTAGTGAATACATTGAATCAAGTGACTGCAGACTGTAAATTCTCCTCACAGTTTGTCACATTTCCATGTTATCTTTTCCCCTTGGAAAGATGGCATAAAGAAAAAAAATCACTGGAAAGAGTATGGGCCTTGGAATGTGGTTTCAAATCACAGATCTGCCATTTGCTGACTGTGAAACTTTGACTGGGATGGCTAACATTTCAAAAATCTCCTTTTTTGTTTTTATCTGTAAGCCAGGTCCAGTGACAGCTAACTTGCAAGATTGCTGTTACGTTTGAATAATGTGAGTACAGCTACTGACAGTTCCCAGTAGGCAAGCAGGGTCTTCATATATGGTAGTGAATGTGATTATCATTAATATCACTTGCTAAGTTTCCACTGTGTGAGTCAGGATTAGGACAGCCACAGTCTCACTGAAGGGCGGAGAAGGGAAAGCTGGGGGAAATCCTTGTCACATCTAACTTTTGTGACTTTGGACAAGTCAACCTGTCTGGGACTTAGTATCTTTAAAAATACGGAGAAATATGAGTATGGTGGCTCACGCCTGAAATCGCAGCACTTTGGGAGGCTGAGGTGGGCAGATCACTTCAGGTCAGGACTTCGAGACCAGCCTGGGTAACATGGCAAAACCCTGTCTCTACTAAAAATACAAGTTAGCTGGGCACGGTGGCACCCTCCTGTAGTCCTAGCAACTCAGGAGCCTGAGGCAGGAGAACCGATTGCTTGAACCCAGGAGGTGGGAGGTTGCAGGGAGCAGAGATCGTGTCACTGCACTCCAATCTGGGTGACAAAGTGAGACTCTGTCTCCAAAAAACAAAAAGAATCACAGGAGTTCAGAGAAGGGAGCTCCAAGGGCAATGGTGCAGGTTGCCTGAAACTCAGAGATTCCTAGTTTAAAACAAAAGACCTTGAAAGTGATTTATCCTCACAGTATTCAAAAGGTAGACTTTACGATTCAATAGAAACACCAAAGTCCTTAAATCATCTGGTCTATCTTGGAAAGGTAGGGCAGGGCACGATGGGGCAAGGCCAGACACCAAGAGCACATGTTAGTTTTATCTTTACAGACAAGGAAACTGGAGTCCAGTGATATGATGAGAGTGAGATGGGAATGGTGAGGTGAAGGCCGGATATTTCCAAATTTGGTCAATGGAAGTGGAAAGAAATCAGGGTTTAGAGTCAGACAGACTGCGTTTGCTGTTCAGTTCCTCCCTTTACTAACCATGCGACTAAAGCCAAATCACATTGAACCTTTTCGAGTTTCATTTTTTTTTTCATCTGTAAGAGGAGGGTGAGGAAAACACATCAATGGTATCACTGGGGTTGGCATAGGGATAGAGTGAAATAGCAGCGACAAGGATGCAATTTAGCACCGAGTTGTGTTCCTACCCCTCCCTGTCAGTTGTGATAATGAGTTTAACCCCTTTTCTAGGCTGAAGCCAATAGAGAGCTCCCATTTTGTAGACCAGAAGGCAGGGAAGATTGTTCTTTTCTCTTAACTGGAATAAAAGTGTAAGCTGAGTCAAAAGCAGGGCTGATGGGTTTTATTATCTTTGTGTTCTAAATACCTATCACAGTGCCAAGAACTTGGAAGGCACTACAAAAATATTCAGGAACTGAAAATATCACCAGGTTGTTAACGAAACTTCAAATTGTTCCTCCACCTACACCATCCCATTTTTACAATAGAAGAAACACCAAATCGACATCATTTGAGAGAGTTCTGCTTCTGGCCCTGTGAAGTACCTTCTATTGAGCCAATCTACATAAAGATAACAACTATAAAATCTGGACAAAATATCGTAAAAAATTAACTGAAGGCACAAGGGAGTGAGTACAAGCACACAGATACTGGAAGAGAGTTGATTTGTGGATGTAGGGAATGATACCAGCTACATTTCTCTTTTTTAAATTTTTAAAAAATTGTTTTCAGCTTTTGGCATGAGGGCAGGCCACAATCTATCCCCTCTGTTGTGAATAAAACCAGTGGAAAATTATGTCTTACTGGCTTAAAAAACCCAAAGATGGAATTCAAGACAACCAGAGCTGCTGGAAAGTGAGGAGAAAATTCTGAAAAAGATGGAGTCAGGGAGAGAAAGCCCTAAATTCTGCTTATAAACTCCACCTGAATCTCTGACTAATTTGAACCATAATATGCACAGGGAACAACTTCAGAAAACAAAATCAATACAATTATTTATTTATTTATTTATTTATTATACTTTAAGTTTTGGGATACATGTGCAGAACGTGCAGTTTTGTTACATAGGTATACAAGTGCCATGGTGGTTTGCTGCACCCATCAACCCGTCACCTACATTAGATATTTCTCCTAATGTTATCCCTCTCTTAGCCCCCCACCTCCAACAGACCCTGGTGTGTGATGTTCCCCTCCCTGTGTCCATGTGTTTTTATTGTTCAACTCCCACTTATGAGTGAGAACGTGAGGTGTTTGGTTTTCTGATTTTGTGATAGTTTGCTGAGAATGATGGTTTCCAGTTTCAACCGTGTCCCTGCAAAGAACATTAACTCATCCTTTTTTATGGCTGCATAGCATTCCATGGTGTATATGTGCCACATTTTCTTAATTCAGTCTTTCATTGTGGACATTTGGGTTGGTTCCAAGTCTTTGCTGTTGTGAATAGTGCCACAATAAACATACGTGTGCACGTGTCTTTATAGTAGAATGATTTATAATCCTTTGGGTATATGCCCAGTAATGGGATGGCTGGGTCAAATGGTATTTCTAGTCCTAGATCCTTGAGGAATCGCCACACTGTCTTCCACAATGGTTGAACTAGTTTACAGTCCCACCAACAGTGTAAAAGCGTTCCTATTTTTCAGCAACCTCTCCAGCATCTGTTGTTTTCTGACTTTTTAATGACTGCCATTCTAACTGGTGTGAGATGGCATCTCATTGTGGTTTTGATTTGCATTTCTCTAATGACCAGTGAACATTTTTTCATATGTCTGTTGGCTGCATAAATGTCTTCTTTTGAGAAGTGTCTGTTGATATCCTTTGCCCATTTTTTGATGGGGTTGTTTGCTTTTTTCTTGTAAATGTGTTTAAGTTCTTTGTAGATTCTGGATATTAACCCTTTGTCAGATGGATAGATTGCAAAACTTTTCTCCCATTCTGTAGGTTGCCTGTTCACTCTGATGATAGTTTCTTTTGCTGTGCAGAAGCTCATTAGTTGAATTAGATCCCATTTGTCAATTTTGGCTTTTGTTGCCACTGCTTTTGGTGTTTTAGACATGAAGTCTTTGCCCATGCCTATGTCCTGAATGCTATTGCCCAGGTTTTCTTCTAGGATTTTTATGGTCCTAGGTCTTATGTTTAAGTCTTTGATCCATTTTGCATTGATTTTTGTATAAGGTGTAAGGAAGGAGTCCAGTTTGTTTTCTGAATATGGCTAGCCACTTTTCCCAACACCATTTATTAAATAGGGAATCTTTTCCCCATTGCTTGTGTGTGTCAGGTTTGTCAAAGATCAGATGGTGGTAGATATGTGGTGTTATTTCTGAGGCCTTCGTTCTGTTCCATTGGTCCATATATGTGTTTTGGTACCAGTACCATGCTGTTTTGGCTACTGTAGCCTTGTAGTACAGTTTGAAGTCAGGTAGCATGATGCCTCCAGCTTTGTTCTTCTTGCCCAGGATTGTCTTGGCTATGTGGGCTCTTTTTTGGTTCTATATGAAGTTTAAAGTAGTTTTTTCCAATTCTGTGAAGGAAGTCAGTGGTAGCTTGATGGGGATAGCATTGAATCTATAAATTACTTTGGGCACTAAGGCCGTTTTCACAATACTGATTCTTCCTATCCATAATCATGGAATGTTTTTCCATTTGTTTGTGTCCTCTCTTATTTCCTTGGGCAGTGGTTTGTAGTTCTCCTTGAAGAGGTCCTTCACATCCCTTGTAAGGTGTATTCCTAGGTATTTTATTCTCTTAGTAGCAATTGTGAGTAGGCGTTCACTCACCATTTGCCTCTCTGTTTGTCTGCTATTGGTGTATAGGAATGATTTTTGCACATTGACTTTGTATCCTGAGACTTTGCTGAAGTTGCTTATCAGCTTAAGGAGATTTTAGGCAGAGAGGATGGGGTTTTCTAAATATACAATCATGTCATCTGCAAACAGAGACAATTTAACTTCCTGTCTTCCTATTTGAGTACCCTTTATTGTTTTCTTTTGCCTGATTGCCCTGGCCAGAACTTCGAATACTATGTTGAATAGGAGTGGTGAGAGAAGGCATCCTTGTCTTGTGAAATCAATATCTTTTTTTTTCTTTTTAAAGCCTTTTATTTCAGGTTTAGGGGACATGTGCAGAATTTTTTTTTTTTATTTTACCTTAAGTTCTGGGATACATGTACAGAACATGTAGGTTTGTTACATAGGTATACATGTGCCATGGTGGTTTGCTGCACCTATCAACCCATCATCTAGGTTTTAAGCCTCACATACATTAGGTAATTTTCTTAATGCTCTCCCTCCCCTTGCTCCCCATCCTCTGACAGGCCCCGGTGTATGATGTTCCCCTCCCTGTGTCCATGTGTTCTCATTGTTCAACTCCCACTTATGAGTGAGAACATGCGGTGTTTGGTTTTCTGTTCCTGTGTTAGTTTGGTGAGAATGATGGCTTCCAGCTTTATCCATGTCCCTGCAAAGGACATGAACTCATTCTTTTTTATGGCTGCATGAAATCAATACGTTTCAGAGGAACATAACAGAAGTCAAAGTTTCTACAGCGTATTTTTTTGCAATGCCTGGGATATAATCTCAAATTAATTGTTGTATGAAGAAACAGAAAGATGTCCTCTGTGCATTAAAAAGACCCCAAAATTGTCCAGGCACGGTGGCTCACACCTATAATCTCAGCACTTTGGGAGGCCAAGGCAGGTGGATCACGATGTCAGGAGTTTGAGGCCAGCCTGGCTAACATAGCGAAACCCCATCTCTACTAAAAAGAGGCACATAGCCAGGCATGGTGGCATGTGCCTGTAGTCCCAGCTACTGGGGAGGCTGAGGCAGGAGAACCGCTTGAACTCAGGAGATGGAGGTTGTGGTGAGCAGAGATTGCACCACTGCACTTTAGCCTGGGCAACAGAGCGAGACTCCATCTAAAAAAAAATACCCCCAAATTACAACACTGTAATATGAAGCTTATAATATATGTAGATGTAATACCTATTAGAACTATTGCACAAATGATGCAAATTTGTTATATTTGACATGAAGTTGTATTATATTAACTCTACGTTGGTTGTTAAAAGTTAAGAATGTATATTATAGTTCCTAGAGCAAACACTAAAAATAACATGCAAGTAGATATGGCTAAAAAGTCAACAAAGAAATTAAAATGGAATATCAACTTAACTTTACTTGATTACGGCCTTCCAGATATGCTTCTACTGCAGATTTTCAGGCCCACTCAATAGAAGCCTCAGCTTATAATCACAGAATGAAAGGATTAGCAAAATCCGGATGTGAGCATCTAAAAAGGCTCCCTAGAGAAATGACCCCTCCAGCCTTAATGAGAACAAGAAGGAAAGCAATAGAATTCAAATGGGACATCCCAGATTTAGGGATATGAGCAAGACTAGGGGCATGTAAACATAAAAGGGCAGGGCCACTGAAGTTCAAGGCTCGGAAATGTGTAAGAAACTCCTGGCTCTCTCCTTTGAAGCCCGCTTCCTGCAGCTGGTTGTCCCTGGACTTAGAGAAGGTAAGGCTGAGAGAGGTTCCAGCCACAACCAGCCACTACCAGTATTTTGGACTAATTTGGGTAAACAAGTGGGTAAGAAGGTTGCTGACTACACTTCCAAGATATTGTAGAAGGAAGGAAAAGAGCAAAACAACATTATTGTCCCTCTTTCAACCTGGTGTCTTTGCACCTGTATTGCCATGCCACAAAGCAGGGGAAGTTGCTTAACCTGTCTGCCATTAATCCCTCAGATTATTCACATACTCCCTTGAGATACGGTTTCCAAGTCAGCATGGGCTATTTCAAAATCAACAGCTGTGGAGGCATGAAGGTGCCTGAGAAGTCCATACTGGGCCAGCCCCAAATCCCACATTATTTTTTGTGTAAATGAGGAATTGCAAGGACTGAAGAAGTTTTAGGAATACAAATTAAACTGAGAACTCCAAACCTCAGCAACTCCTTCACATGGTTTTCTGGAATCTACATGTCTGACTTAGTCCAAAAGGTCTTACCTTGTTCTGGTTCAATACCTACAGAGAACACATTGCCTTCCAAAGTGGATTAGAATTTGAGAAAGAACTTCTTATTTGAAACTGGGTGGGGGAAAAGAGGGCTGAGATAAATAAGAAAATAATGAGGTGGATCCAGAATTTTTTTTTTTTTTTTTGAGACTCAGTTTCGCTCTTGTTGCCCAGGCTGGAGTGAAATGGTGCAATCTCGGCTCACTGCAACCTCCACCTCCTGGGTTCAAGCTATCCTCCCGTCTCAGCCTCCCAAGTAGCTGGGATTACAGGCATGCACCACCACGCCTGGCTAATATTTTATATTTAGTAGAGACAGGGTTTCACCATGTTGGTCAGGCTGGTCTTGAACTCCTGACCTCAGGTGATCCACCTACCTCAGCCTTCCAAAGGGCTGGGATTACAGGTGTGAGCCACCACACCTGGCCAGATCCAGAATTTTTAAGGGGGACAAAATATTGGCTGACTCATGGGCTATTGTGTCTTTGGGTTCTATAAATGACTAGACAAGGGTCTGGAAATCCCTGTGGTGGGGAGGAGCTGCCCGACTGCAGCATAGGGATTAGGGTCAGGGGAGACAGGAGTAAAATTTAAGGGAGCACCAAAAAAACACAGCAATCAAAATAAACATTTTAATGTAATACTGGAAAAAAAAACTACAAAATTCCTGTAAAAAGCTGTGATTAACAAAATACCAAAATTTTACATAAAGACAAGGTGTTGCTGTTTGTTTGTCTTATGACATTGGGTTATTGTGCGACAGGGAAGGCTGTTTCCCATCAGCACTTGGTTCCTGGATCTGCGTTGCTCTTGCATCCTCCTGTGTGGGCATATGAGGAGGGTTGGTAATGATGAGATGCTTTGTGTATAGACAAGATTTTTGGTTTTGGTTTTAATGGCAGAGGTTTTATTAATGCTTTTACTTGATTTAAAGTGTAGGAGGATATCTTGATAAGTGCTTATAGGGCCACGTATTTTTCCTTTGCCTTAGGCTCCAATAAGGCTCAGCATGATGCGGGGCTGAGCAGGATGTGCTGTGATTGGGGAAGACTTGGGAAAAGCCAAGAACAGTTTTACTGAGAACTTGGCATCATATAGGAGCTTTTGAGAATTCAGAGTGATTTGATCCACAGCTGAGGGCTTGAGGAATAGCTGGCTGCAGATTCCTAAGAAGAAGGGCAAGAAACACAGCAAACTGGAGGACTCAGTACTGTAACAGAGCCCACAGAGTGGAGAGAGCTTTGGCTGAGGAGTCAGCTACTAGTCCTAGGCCTGCCCCTAACTTCCCATGTGACCTGGCCATATCACACCCTTTCTGAGCCTCCGTTTCTACACCAGTAAAATGAAGTGGTTCTCATGCTTGTTTTATCTGGGAGCCATTTCCAAATAAATCTTATGTGGAAGCCATAGATAGAAGTAGTGCTGATCTGGTTGAGCTTGAGGTGTGCTATGATCTGAATGCTCATGTTTCCCCCAAATTCATGTGTTGAATCCTAATCCACAATGTGACGAGTATTAGCAGTGGGCGGGATTTGGTGGCGATTTGATCATGAGGTGAACCCTCATAAATGGCATTAGTGCCTTACAAAAGAAGTCCAAGAAAGATCCCTTGCCTCTTCCTGATGTGAGGTCACAGCAAGAAGATGCTGTGAGCCAGAAAGCACCCTTACCAGACACAGAATTTGCCTTGATCTTGGACTTCTCAGTTTCCAGAACTGTGGGAAATAAATTTCTGTTTATACGCTACTTAGTTTACGGTATTTTGTTATAGCAGCTGAATGGACTAGAACAGGGCGTAAAATGAAGACCCTCACCTGTTTAGTTTTCCTGGATGCCCCCAACGTGGTCTCTTATGGAAACCTCCACCATCTCAGGGGTCCTCAGAGGACAGTTTGTAAACACGGTATTAGGGAATGATTGATGTCCATTCCAGTTTCAAGATTCTATTCTAGCTCAGAAGAAAGCTCTGCCAGTACTGCATGTTGACAATTTGACAGTGAAATGTTTACCCATGTCAAAAAACCAGAGGAGCCTCCAGTCTTTGGACTGCACTTTTGGGTGTGCCCTGTTCTGTTTCTGGACACTTCCAGCCTGCAGGGCCCATGGAGTTAGCAGAAGCATCGTTAGGATTTAGTCAGCCTTACTGCGGCCAGTGCAATTATACAGTGGAGTGAGGCACACTGCCAGGATTTTAACATGAAGCAGGCACTCCTGGGGAACATTGACAAATGACCAGGGGTTGTCTGCACATGGCCAAGAGCCAGCCACAGCCAGCTGGGCTCTACTTCCTGATGAATGTGACAGTTCCTGACTTGTGAAATGTTCCAGGACTAGGAGTAAATGAATTCTAGTGGTATTCAAAACAACAACGAAGTTCTCTTCTTCTTCACTAGGGTTGTTATCAGCTGGGTTATGATTTTGGTTTGGTTTTGGTTTTAACAGCAGAGCTTTTTTACTAGTGTAAAGACTCTGTTATTCAATTGTTATGGATCTTCAAACATGTAACAGCCTACTCTTAAAACACAGGGGCTGGGAATGCAACAAGAACTATGGGACAAACAGGAATTTTAGGGTCTGGCTGTTCCCAGTTGGAACTCCAGTTCCAGTTCTTAAGAACTAGATTTCTTCAGAATACTAGCTGTGTGATATTGATCCAGTTTTTTAAACCTATCCGAACTTCAAGTTTCTTAGCTATGCAATGGAAATAAGTTATCTGATAGAACTGTTCTAAGGATTATAAATGGGATTATGTGAATAAAATTCATATAGTAAATGCTCAGTAAATGTTTCCCTCCTTTCCTTTTTCTGTAACTCTCATCTCTTTAGAGAAATAGGTCAAGAAAAGGTTGCTTAGGTCAACAATTGGATCTGTTTTATGGGATTATGCTGATTATTTTTCTTTTTCCGTTTTCTAAGGTTTTCATAGTAAGCATGTGCATCAGGATGTTTTAACTAGTCTAATACCTAACAAAATTGAAGTTTAGAAGTAGAATGGAGCTCTTATTTCTTTTTTCTTTCTTTCTTTTCTTTTTTTTTTTTTTTTTGAGACGGAATTTCACTCTTGTTGCCCAGGCTGTAGTGCAATGGCATGGTCTCAGCTCACCGCAACCTCTGCCTCCTGGGTTCAAGTGATTCTCCTACCTCAGCCTCCCAAGTAGCTGGGATTACAGGCATGTGCCACCAAGCCTGGCTAATTTTGTATTTTTAGTAGAGACAGGGTTTCTCCGTGTTGGTCAGGCTGGTCTTGAATTCCCGGCCTCAGGTGATCCACCCACCTTGGTCTCCCAAAGTGCTAGGATTACAGAGATGAGCCACAGCGCCCAGCCAGAGCTCATATTTCTGACAAAGGGCGAATTTCTCTATATAAAAAAGGATAGTAGAACTAAAATTTTTACAAGACCAGTAAGCCAATATAAAAAATGAGTTAAAAAAATAGACAGTTCATAAAATAGGAAATTCAAATAACTCTTAAATGTATAAAATAATGCTCATGATCACTCAGAGTAAGATAAATATAAATTTAAATTACACAAAGATACCATTTTTCACCAATCAGATTTGCAAAAATACAAAAGTGACAATACATTCTGTTGGGCCAGTTCTATGGAGGGTAATCTGCTATGCTTACATGTGTCACAGATGTATGCATATCTATGAACTTATATGGAAAGATCTCTAAAATATAAAGCAACAAAGGCAAAGTGTATAGAAGAATGTGTAAAATGAGCTACATTTTGTGAAAAAGGAGGACAACATTTTCTTGAAATGCAATAAAATTCTGGAAAGATACACTAAGAAGAGTATTGGAAACTGGCTGGGCACAGTGGCTCATGCCTGTAATCCCAGGACTTTGGGAGGCTGAGGCAGGCGGATCACCTGAGGTAGGAGTTCGAGACCAGCCTGGCCAACATGGTGAAACCCAATCTCTACAAAAATACAAAAAAATTAGCTGGGCATGATGGCAGGTGCCTGTAATCCCAGCTAGTCAGGAGGCTGAGGTGACAGAATCACTTGAACCCGGGAGGTGGAGGTTGCAGTGAGCCTAGATTGCACCATTGCACTCCAGCCTGGGTGATAGAGCGAGACTCCATCTCAAAAAAAAAATAAAAAGAGTATTGGAAACTGAGCAAATGACAAAGGTGGAAAGAAGATTGTTCACTGTGTATAATTTTATGATTTGTTAATTTTTAATTCTAAAAATGTATTCTTAATTTAAAAATGTTGTAATAAAACATAAAAAGTGTGTTAGGAAAGATAGAGAACATTGTATAGCCAATCAACAGTGATTGCCAAACCTGCATTAAGTTCTAATCCGATAAAGAACAATAAAATTTTTTTTTAAAGATAACAATCTTCCAATATGAGGGGGACTTTATTTCTGAAACACAGTGAATACGGCAGTCTCAATTTGCTACAATTTAGATTCTGGTTGGGAGTTTAAGTAGTACTTTACCAATGCCACATTTCATCAATGCATTATTTTTATAACTTTTTTTTTTTACAAATATATGCACTTTATGTAACATACAATCTATCTATAAGAATATACTATTATTAAAAATAACACAGCACTCATAGTTCCATTACCCAGAAGAGAGTAGTGGCTTCAGAATTTCTGTGTAGGAAGACAGCAAACTGGTTGGAAAGTGACAACTATAGAGAACTGAGTCAATGTTTCTTTGCAAAACATTTTACTTTTATTGAGGTTTGTTCTAATCAAAGATGAAAGACGAAAAGCTAAGGCACTGAAGTAAATGTTGGTGCCTGAGATCGTTTGTATTTTCCAAAGGTCCCCACAATATATCTTATCCCACATGTTCTTCCTACAATGTGATGTTGGCCCTCCTGCCACTGAGTGGTGAAGTCTGTGTTTCCTGCTGTCTGTCATGGGCTGAATTGTGCCCCCCACAAATATTTGTGTGTTGAAATCCTAACACCTAGTACCTCAGAATACAAACTTATTTGGAATTAAGGTTTTTAAAGAGGTGATTAAATTAAAATGAGTCTTTAGGGTGGGCTCTTATCTATAAGGACTAGTGTCTTTTTTTTTTTTTTTTTTAAGAGACTGAATCTCACTCTCAGTCTGCACGCTGGAGTGCAGTGGTATGACCATAGCTCACTGCAGCCTCAACCTCGTGTTCAAGTGATCCTTCTGCCTCAGCCTCCAGGGTAGCTAGGAATACATGCTGTCACGCCTGACCTGGCTTATTTTTTAAAAAATTTTTTGTAGAGATGGGGTCTTGCTATGTTGCTAGCTATGTCTCTAGCTCCTGCCTCAAACAATTCTCCTGTCTTGGCCTCCCAAAATGCTGGGATTACAGGCATGAGATACTGTACCCAGATAAGGACTAGTGTTTTTATAAGAAAAGGAAATTTGGAGACACAGAGAAACACTAGACATGTATACACACAGAGAGATGATGATGTGAGAACACAGTAAAAAGGTGGCCATCTGCAAGCCAAGGAGAGTTCCCCCAGAGAAACCAACCCTACCAACACCCCAATCTTGGACTTTCAGCTCCAGAATTGTGAGAAAATATAGTTTCTATTGTTTAAGCCACCTGGTCTGTGGTATTAGGTTACAGTAACCCTAACAGACTAACACACCTCCTATCTTAGTTCAGGCTGCTGTAACAAAATGCTATAGACTGTGTGGCTTAAATAGCAGACGTCTATTTTTCACAGTTCCTGAGACTGGGAAGTCCAAGATCAGGATGCCGGCATGGCTGGCTTCTGGTGGAGGCCCTCTCCCTGGCTCGCAGACAGCCATCTTCTAACGGTGTCCTCAAGTGGTGGAGAGACAGAGGGCTCAGTTTTCTTTCTCTTATAAGAGCACCAATCCCATCATGGGTACTTCGCCCTCATGACCTTATCTAAATCTAATCATCTCCCAAGGCTCCTACCTCCAAATCCCATCCCACTAGGGACTAGAACTTCAACATATGAATTCTGGGGGGACACAGACATTCAGTCCATAGCACTTCTCTTTGAATCTGGCTGGTCCTTTATGGGTGCCTGGACCAATACAGTAAGGCAGAAGTGACACTGTGACTTTCAAGGATAGGTCATAAAAATACCAAGTGCGTTCCCCTTGTTCTCTCGAAATGCTCCTTCTTGGAATCCAGAGCCATGAGGAGGAGAGGCCACCTTGTGGAGAAACCACGTATAGGTGTTCTAGCCTAAAGCCAACACCATCGTGAGCCTTCAGATGACTTCAGTCCTCAGCAGTCATCGTCACCCCCGAGTGTTCAAGCTACACCAGCTGATACCATGTAATATAGTGACAAGTTGTCCAGCCAAGCTTTGCTCACATTGTAGATTCGTAAGGGAAATGAATGATTGCTGTTGTTTTCCGTGACTAAGTTTGGGGTGGTTTTTTACCCAGCACCTAGGTCCCTTTTACTGAGCCAGTGTATCCATCCTTCACCAGATAAGAGTGTGGGCTGCTAACAGTTTACAGCTGCTCCTTCTTCCTTCAGAGAATTACTATAGGCTGACTGGAGTCCCAAGGGAGGTTACGTTCACCACCCTCAGCCCAGGGGCAGCCTGCAGCCAATGAGCGGTACATAGGTGGTCCCCTTGCCTGAAGCAGAACCAACTCTGGGGTACATTTCACGCTCCCTGAGATTAGGGTGAAGCCGGAGCTCAGGTGAGGACATTCTTGTCTAGCTCTTTCCCTGCTCCGTCTCCTTCCTGCTCTCCCTTTCTTCTGAGACTCCCCTCAATAAATCGCATGTGCTGAAATCCCTGTCTCAAACGCTGCATCTAGGTGTCTGATCTAAAACAGGGACAAACGGGAGATATTAGGCAGAGTCAGGGAGAAATCTTCCCCAGCCATCTGTTGATGGCTCTGCTGCCCAGACATATCTTGTTAATATTTTACTATACATGAAATTATCTAATACTTGTAAAGCATTTAGTAAATTCCCCAGCTTATAGTAAGCACTCAATAAGTGTTAGCCATTATTACCATATCTCTCAGTACTTTTTTTTGTTTTTTTTTTTTGAGACAGGGTCTCACTCTGATGCCTAGGCTGGAGTGCAGTGGCATGATCTTGGCTCACTGCAACCTCTGCCTCCGGGTACAAGTGATTCTCCTGCCTCAGCTTCCTGAATAGCTTAGATTGCAGGTATGTGCCACCATGCCCAGGTAATTTTTGTATTTTTAGTAGAGACTGGGTTTCACCATGTTGGCCAGGCTGGTCTCAAACTCCTGGCCCCAGTGATCTGCCCGCCTGGCCTCCCAAAGTGCTGGGACTACAGGTATGAGCCACCACGCCCAGCCTCCGAGTACTTTTTCTATATTTAATAATAATGTCTATTGAGTACATATTATATGTCAGGCACTGTTTGAATTATATTTCATGTATAACCTACTTAGTTCTCACAACAAGCTTATTTGGTAACAGGTAATATTATGATTGAGGCAAATGAGTCTCAAAGAAATTAAATAACTGATCCAAAGATATACAGGAAATAAGAGACAGAACTGCAAGTGTTATACATATGCTCATATTATATTTTAATAGTCAGTTCACTAACCTTTTTGTGACCAATTGCCTAAGTGTGAAGCAGGATACTTCACTGCATTTTAAAGAGCTACGAATATGTATAGTGGTTCACTGCAGCTCTTACTTCATTCTCCTATCCTGGGAGCTACCATGCTCACAGACTTCTTGGTAACATCATTTATTTTGATTCTTTCTTACTGAAGTGCCTCACCTCTTCTCTCTACTTATCTAAACCTAACTATCCTTTAACATTCACTTCAAAGCCTATCTCTCCAAACATGAAATCCCATGTTAATTACTTCACTATTCACAATAGCCCAAATGCAGAAATGTCCATCAATGGATAAATGGATTTAAAAAATGGGCTATACACATAATATGGAATATTATTCAGCCTTAAAATGGAAGAAAATCCTGCAATATGTGACACCACAGATGAACCTGAAGGACATTAGGCTAAGCGAGATAATCCAGTTACAGAAGGACAAATGTTTCATGATTCCACTGATACGAAGGATCTGAAAAATAGTCAAATTCATGGAAGCACAGAATAGAATTGTGGTTGCCAGGGGCTAGGAGGAGAGGCAAACGAGGAGTTGCTGTTCATTGGGTATACAGTATACAGTCTCAGTTATATAAGAAGAATATATTCTAGAGATCTAGTGTGCAACATCATGCCTATAGATAACAATACTGTATTATACACTAAAATGTGTTAAGAAGATAGATCCCAGGTTAAGTATTTTTACCACAATAAAATTTAAAAGAAAAAAAAGAAAACCCTAAGTTCTATTCGTCCATGTTGTTTTACCTGATTTCTGATGCACTTGCTCATTTCTTCTGCAGTGAACTCCTTCAGTATTTATTGGATATGTAAGTTATTTCTGCCTCTATTTCCTGCCACTGCTGATCCCTATACTGATGATTCTGTTTCCATCAGTCACACTGAGAGCATTTTGAAGGCAGGAGCAAAACTTATGTATTTGTTATTTCTCCAGTATCTTGCATAGTGCCTGTGACAAGGCAGATTCTTGATAGAATTTTGTTGATTGCATGAATAAATCAATAAACTATTTCATAGATGTGCATGTTTCCTATCTTTAATCTCAATTATAAGATCGTCGAAGTCCAGACCTGGTTTTTAATTTCTTTTGTCCCTCATTATGTTCAACAAATGCTAGATCTGTTGCAGAAATACTCATGGAACTGAACTAGAATTGTCTGCCCTGAAGGATTGGTCACATTTTACTCTTGCTCTGGGAAAAGGATAACTCTCTGTCAAAGGGAAGCAGTCCCACGTGAAAGCCTACATGGAATTAGCAAAATATTTAATCTCTGAGCTTGCTGCACAGCCTGCTCTATGTGTACTGTTTCTATAACTCTGCATGTGACCAAATGTCCTTGAGTTGACCTTGTGGGGATATGTAAACCGTGGGACTCAAGGAGGGATGTTTGTGGGAGGAGGGGATCATGTGATGTGGAGCAAACTTTATTTGCAATTCCCTGACTCTAGAGTGATTTCTGGGAAGTGGCAAGAGGTGACTCCACAAAGAGCCTTGCCGGCTTCTACAAAGACTTGACTTTTTGTGGGGATGGCATTCTGCCAGGCTGAGAGGAAGTAGAAAGTAAAGGGGCAGCTCACTCCAGGTCCCATCCTGACTCGCACCAGTTTTTTAATGCCAGTTTTTAGCATGAAGCTTCTCCTTCACAAGCTGAAGGCTGAGCTAAAGGAATACTGGTATGACCCTTTGTACCGAAGACCGAACTCATTCATTTCTATAAATAAAAACCAATTTTAAAAATGCATCAAGGAGCTTGCTATTCAGAGTATCACAGTGCATACTTTTGCAGCGTGAACTGTCTGATCCCCCTCAACTTTATCACTTTCGTAAACATACATGATCAATATTGTAGTTTGTTCAAATAAATTTATGCTCATTTTCGATGAATAGAAAAAGGCCACAAGGTACAAGGGACTTAGGAAAGTACATGAAGCTTTAGAGAATATTTCAAACTTGTTCCTATTGGGGTGCTTGGATAGCTTCAATTTCAACTTCGAGGTTATTATATGTGCATGCTGCTGTCAGCTAGAAGAGATGAAGCCTCCATGGTTTGGGGTCAGGGTTGGAATAGGGTAGGGAGAAGTTCTGGGCAATTCGCAGCTGTAGGAAGTGCGTGTTCTCTCTTAATTTTGTTTACTTAAAAAGAGAAAAAGAAATCCACATGTCTCTTTGAAGCCCTGTGGGACTGTTTTCACTGTGAGCACACAGAGAAAGCCTGGGATTGTTCCTGGAATGCTGGTCTCACCATTTATTGTCCTTGAATTTAATGCCTGCTTTGCATTTGGGATAAAGATTCATTCATTCCTGTGCCAAGAAATAAAGAATCCCATTGTCTTCCTGCCCAAATTGTTCCAAGACCATCTTTTTTTCCAAGGCCAACAAGCCCAGATAACATCTTGCATGGCCCCATGATCTGGTGTCCAAAAGGACGTTGTACCCTCTCTTGTCAGAGCTTTTCCGCCACAATACTGTTACACAGAGTAGACCTGCTCCTCTCAGCACCAGAAACCTCATCTCTTTCACAGGGATCCTTAATCACCTCTGCAGATTGCCAAACCAGACATACTGCAATTCACTGAAATGACGGCCGTGTCATTTTAATAGAGTGGTGAGCCCTTGGTGGCTGCCGACTAGATCCAGGGGGAGAAATGAGTGTTGCTGTTTTGCATGCTGTGACATGCTTTATCTCAGAATATTCCTTGATTACTCACAAGAATAAAGGCCAGTTTAATTAAAATGAACACAGAAGTATGAAAAAATCACGGGCAAAAGGGGTTCCAAATAAGTTGGTGATTTCTTCAAGCTAAAACCACCCCCAGGGGCTGCAGCCTAAACACATTTCTTTTTCCTTTCTAACAGAATGTTCCTGTTCATTTAGAGGGTTTAATTCCAACCATCATGAAAATGGCCACGTTGTTTCTTCCACATCCCTTCCACATCTGCCCTCCTAAACCTTCATCCTTTCCTTCAAGCCTTCCTCTGCCAAAGAGCTACTGGCCTCCAACTTCTGAGAGAAAATGGAAGATATGCCCCCTCCTCCCCGCCTCTCTCTTCCTTCAGTTTCACACAAAGACAGTCTTTCTCCAGTTTACTGCTAGTCCCGCCTCTTGTATTCCTCATCCAAATGTCTCCTCTAGGAACTTGTTCCAAGTTATTTCTGCTTTCCATTGCATCGTCCTTTTCTCTTTCAACTGGCTCCATTTCCATGTGCTATAAAAATGCTCAGTTCTCTTTCATCTTTTTTTTTTTTTTTTTTGAGATAGAGCTTTGCTCTGTTGCCCAGGCTGGAGTGCAGTGGTGCGATCTCGGCTCACTGCAACCTCCGCCTTCCAGTATCAAGCGATTCTCCTGCCTCAGCCTCCCGAGTAGCTGGGATTACAGGCACTCACCACCATGCCCAGCTAATTTTTGTATTTTTAGTACAGATTAGGTTTCACCATGTTGGCTAGGTTGGTCTTGAACTCCTAACCTCGTGATCCACCCGCCTCATCCTCCCAAAGTGCTGGGATTACAGTCGTGAGCCACCACGCCCGGCCCTCCTTCATCTTTTAAAAACACCCCTCCTCACCTTTACTTAACCTGTGTCTTTCTCCTCTTCTTCCCCAATACTTTTCCTTCTTCCCTTCCCCTCCTGGATAAGGTCCTTCAAAGGATCCTTTCTATTGGACATGTCTACTCCTACCTACATTTTGCAGGCTATATTTTCCACAACATTGGTTTCCTCTTTAAACCCTCAGCCTCCCACACAACAACTCTCCCACTCGTAGCCCACAATTCCAATGAAATGGTTCTGAAACAAGGCACGAAATATCTTCTTTATTTTCTTTTTTAAAAAATAAATTTTGTTATGTATATTTGAGGTTTGCAACAGATAGATAGTAAAATGGTTACTGCAGTGAAGCAGATTAACAGGTCTATCATCTCATACAGTTACATTTTGAAAATGACCTTCTAATTGTTAAAGGCAAAGGACTTGTTTTAGCCTCACCTTGTTTGGATTTTTACATAGTATTTGTCTCCATCAATTACTTTTTGAAATTCTACTCTTGATTTCCATGACACCATCACCTCTTACTTCTCCTTCTCGAGAATTTCTCCCTACCCTATTCCAACCCTGACCCCAACCCAAGGAGCCTTCATCTCTTCTGGCTGACAGCAGCATGCATATATAATGACCTTGAAGTTGAACTTGAAGTTCCCAACAGGAACAAGTTTGAAATATTCTCTAAAGCATCATGAACTTTCCTAAGCCCCTTGTACCTTATGGCCTTTTTCTATTCATCGAAGATGAATACTTTTCCTTCTCACTCTCTGATGATTCCTTCCCACCCCCATCCCCAGATTCCTTAGGGTCCTTGGGTCTCATCCCTTCTCAATCTCCTGTGGCAATTTCCTCCATGTCCATGGTTCCATCTTCTACCTACATACTGATGGCCCCTATATTTATATCTCCACCCCAGACTTTCCCCCTAAGTTCCAACTGTTTCCTTCAAGATCTCTTCCCCTTGGCAGCTCAAACTCAACACACCCCAAATTGCACTTACCTTTCCTATAAATCTTGTACCCCAATCTGCAGAATGACACCACCATTTAAATCGGAAACCTGGGGGTCATCCTCCCTCTTCCTCTTTCCTTCACCTCCTATGGTTTCCTAGTCAGTTACCACATCTTGTAGACCTGACCTTCCTTGGCAACTCTGATATGTATTTGGTGCTCTCCTCCTCTGTTCCTGTCTTTTTCTTGTATTATTAAAATGCTCCTCTTGCCTCTGGGTTTTTGCGTGTGCGTGTGTGTGTGTGTGTGTGTGTGTGTGTGTGTCTGCAATCGATCTTCCTTAAAGCAGCTGGAGTGAAATTCCTTCAATGGCTTCCTGTTGCTTTTAGGATGCAGTGCATACTCCACAGGGGAAGCAAAAAACCCTATTATCATCTAGCCCCAGCCTGCCCCTCAGCTCTCCATTTATCTCTCACCCACACCTCTTGCACCACAACACACAGACCACAAGCTAAACATATGCTCTATTTTCACTTTGCCCAGATTGACCTCTCTCTATTTACCTTTCCTTATTTGTCTCGTTGCTCAATTTTTCTCTGCCCCCAACCCTCATCTATGCCACATTACCTAAAAATCTGTGTTTTAAGACCCAACTCCAGGGTTATTTCATCTCTAACCACTAGGAGGCTTTTCTTGAATAATACCCCACCCCTACCTCCAGGTACAGCCATTCCCTCCTTTAAACCTCATGGCACTCTGTACATTCTTGAACTTGGATGCCATTGTCCTTTATTACCACCATTGTTCATTTTTGTTTCAGCACTTTTCACAGTGCCAGAATGGAATAAATGTTTCTCTGAATCAGTGAATGGACTCTTAGCATTTCCAGTCTTACAAGGGCAACTTACAAATCTCAAGTAGCAACCGTGGATCAGTTTTGCTCTACAAGATAACTGCCATGAGAAAGGAGATAAAGCTATCTGGCTTGCCTGAGATTTTCAATAACCAAGAGTATGAGTTTTCTCTTAGTTAGCATTTGTGGAGTGCTTACTGAGGGTTAGGTTGTGTGAGAACATTCTCTGCTGTTAGCCAAACATTAAAATAGCTCTTTCAGGATAAGTGCTTTTAATGCTCTTTAATACTTTGAAGATAATTGTAATTTGGGGTTAGGAAACACTTTAGCAATTTAAATTTATAAGTTGTTCAAATTGAGTTTGCATTTTATTTTTACAGGCTAGCAACATAACTAATTTGAATTTGTGCTTTGCTATTTCATTTTTTCAAGCACAGGCCTCACTCCTTGGTAGCTAGGAGGAACACATTCTTAGGTGCCCCGATGTAGAATATTTGCCTAATGGTGTCAGAGAAAAGAAGTCATAGCTGAACCTATTTACTGAGTATTTCCTCTGTACTAGGCACTTTCTTCATATTATCTCATTTAATCCTTACAACAACCCTTGTGTGCAGGGATTCATTTACATAAAAGGAAACTGAGGCTCTGTGCATGCCATTCAATGGAGAGATCCCTCTCCAGCAAAGGGTGTTCATCAAGAGAGTTGTTGGCCGGGTGTGGTGGCTCATGCCTGTAGTCTCAGCACTTTGGGAGGCCAAGGTGGGTGGATCACTTGAGGTCAAGAGTTCTAGACCAGCCTGGCCAACATAGTGAAACCCAGTCTCTACTAAAAATATAAAAATTAGCTGGGTATAGTGACATACACCTGTAATCCCAGCTACTCAGGAGGCTGAGGTGGAACAAAATCACTTGAACCCGGGAGGCAGAGGTTGCAGTGAGCCCAGATTGCACCACTGTACTCCAGCCTGGGTGACAGAGTGAGACCCTGTCTCAAAAAAAAAAAAAAAAAAAAAGAGACTTCTTTGCTCCTGGAGATATTTTTGGGCAGGCAGTGGGATAAGGAGGCAATGGTGTTTGTCTGGGATCTTTTCCAACCACTGGCCTTCAGTACCTGCCAAGTATCCTGGGTCTCACCCTTCCCTGAGACCCTCATCCTTTTGTAACCACCAACGAGAAAGGCCTGATTGTGTCATCTACCCTGATTTGTGGCACCATCTGTTTCCATGTTCCCTGACTACTTTGGGTGCTAGTTTGTTTAATCCTCTGAAATTCAACACTCTTGAAATTCAACTTGAGCCAGATGCTCAAGATCAAATAAACTAATCTTCTAATCTTATAAACTAAACTATTAATGGGTAATGGGGGGAAGATTAGAGAATCTAATCAAGACACAGGCTAAGAATCTCTATCTTCCCCATCTATTTCAAAAATTCATATTAAATGCTTTCTGGAAACTATGTCTTACAGTGCCAGTGTTGTTTACCCTAAGGACGAGTCTTAGGGTACATTTTAAGGCATGAAGTAGGAAAGGGTCATAGTGCAGTTGACCAGAAGATATCCTCTTTTAAGGAAAGTATGGGGCTTTGAGTTGAAAAGCCTCAAATTAGCTAGAACAGTGCTGTCCAATAGAAATATACCATTAGCCACATAGCCACATATGTAATTTAACGTTTTCTGGGAGATGTTATAAAAATGTAAAAAGAAACAGGTGAATTTAATTTTAATAATATATTTTATTTAGCCTAATTGATTAAAATATCATTTCAATATATAATCAATATAAAACTATTCATGAGATATTTTACATTTTCTTAGTACCAGGTCGTTGAAATACAGCATGCATTTTACATACTGGATTAGCCACATTTCAAGTGCTCAGTAGCCACATGTGGCTAATGGCTACCATATTGGACAGTTGCAGCTCTAGCATCTCAGGGTGAAAAGAATACTTAAAAGTCATTACATCCTACAATGCATCGAAAGCCTGAAGCCCCTACAGAGCATCTGAGCCAAATAAATGCCTGTTCTGCTCATGGGTGATTATATCTATTGGAAAACATCTTTTTTCAAGTTGGGATGATCTGACCTTTAGTAAGTTTTTGAACTCTGATCACCCAGGTTCAGAGAAAGCAAGCATCAAATTTTTTACAGAGAAGAACCCTTCAAGTACCGTAAGAAGGCCATTGTGTTCTTTAGGCTAAGCATCCCTAATGTTTTCAACTGCTCTCCATGTGAGGAGGAGGATTTCCAGAGTCTAAAGGAGGTTGGACATGAGTCTCTCTTAAGTGCTCCCTAACTCAAATGTTCTTAAAATTCCAAATGTTAAGCTGTCAAAGGCTCCGTATAATGTAGAAATGAAAAACTTCAAAGAAAAAAATAGACAAGTAAATCGATGAGTCACTACACAGTGACTCTAGGTTATAGGGCCTAGAACCAATAAAAAGAGAAAATTGTGATATTTCTGCATAGGTCCACAGCTTCTCCTGCTACATATAGGTCTTAAACCCCTGCATCGTGTATTTTTCTCTTCTGGGCCATTCCACCCTTTCATCTGGTCTACCATTTAATTTTTCTCTAAACTTTCCATATACAAAGAGCACACCCAACAAAACCTCTCAGAGAAGAATAAGTAGTCATTTATTAGTGTGAATTCAAGCCAGTGAGTTTTGTTCCCAAGGATAATTACGATTCAAACCTTATCCCTAGTTATAGGTATTAAGGAAGGAGGACATCTTTCTCATGCATGAAATAATTAGTAGAAATTCGGCTATAGCTTAATTTAAGCAAACATTCAAGTTTAGGTCTTTGATTTGTCTTATAGATTGATCAAAAAGCACCTCTTAAGTAGCAAAACATACTTTCTTCCTTCACTGTATCTAGACCATTTACCTATTTAATCAACAGGTGAGAGATTGCAAGAGGGTAACTACTCCTAGTCCACGGAAGGCCCAACAATGGGAAGTCAACCGAAAGCTTTGGATGGATTTGCCAAAATTCTTCATCCCTATTGGAAAAGCAATTTACCTTCTTGAGGAGAGAGAGTAGCTCTTGTCAAGTAGCAGTATCATGTTCCTTTAGCAGGGGCACAGTGACAACACATTATTAGGGTGATGGAGGGACCTCTGGAGTTGAAAACAGGGAGGGATGGAGGGAATTCTAGAGTTGAAAACAGGAAGAACATGGCCCCTTATCGTAAAGGAAGTAGTTGGCAAATTAGTGTCACATAGGTAAAGGATATCCTTTGCTTTCGGTAAACTCATAAATCCAGGACAATTTAATATTTAAATTAGGAGAAGATTTATAAAAGTATTTATTAAAATCAAGCGTAAAATCTCCTGAAGGAATTTAAGAAGTAATTCGATTTACAAAACACAATTTACCTTTTCCAAAACACTTCTTTTTGGGCAGACATAGCTATACCATCAGTACCTATTTGTATCTGTTCTTATATTCCAGTCAACATTCAGAAGACTCCAGCCAGCAACCCATCTCAACATCAATAAAAACAGTGCAAGCAGGCAGAACCTTAAATAAGGGGAGATGGAGAGAGAGTTACTTTTGCAAGAGAAGGGATGAGGGATACGGTAAAAAATAAGGAGTAAATGAAGTAAAGGATTCATTCATTCCTCCTCAGGCACTTTTTCAGGAGGAAAAAAGAGGATGGCGGTGAATAACATTACTCATTGTGGCAGATGGTATTTGGCCACAACAGTATCTCCCATTACACATACTTTTTTAAATAATGTGACCTTACCATGTACTCATCAATAGGTGGAATCTAAGTCCCCTCCCCTGGAATGTGGAATGGTGCTATGCCTTTCTTAGAACCCATAGAATGGGAATTGCAGTGAATTTGCATGACTTTTTATTTGTGGCTTGTTTTCTTAAAAACTTAGTGTGTGGGTACTATATTTACCTTGCTTGTTGCATGATGTATACATTTAATTTCTTAAACATTTTATTTTGAGATAATTATAGAATCACAAATAGTGGTAAGAAAAAATACAGAGATCCAATGTACTGTTACCCCAATGGTAATATTCTTAATATCATACAAAACTGTGTAGAATTCAATATCACAGCCAGGATATTGACATTTGTACAGCCAAGATATGTAGCATTTTCATTACTGCAAAGATCCCTCATGTTGGCCTTTTAAAGTCACATCTGCTTCCTTTCCATTCACATCCCATCTTAGCTCCTGAAAATCACTAGTTTGGTCTCCATTTCTTTAACAATAATTTTGTCATTTCAATCATCTTAAGTAATGGAAATATAGAGTATGTAACCTTTTAGGGTTGGCTTTTTCACTCAGCATATTTCTCTGGAGATTCATCAAGAGGTTTGCTGCCCAGGCATGGTGGCTCAGGCCTGTAATCCCAGCACTTTGGGAGGCCAAAGCAGGCGGATCACCTGGGGTCAGGAGTTCAAGACAAGCCTGGAAAACATGGTGAAACCCCATCTTTACTAAAAATACAAAAATTAGCCAGGCATGGTGGCTTTGATCCCAGCTACTCAAGAGACTGAGGCACCAGAATTGCTTGAACCCAGGAGGCAGAGATTGTGGTGAGCTGAGGTGGCACCACTGCACTCCAGCCTGGGCGACAGAGTGAGACTCCATCTCAAAAACAAAACAAAACAAAGAGGTTGTTGTGTGTATCAGTATTTTGTTCCATTTCATTGCTGAGAAGTGTTCCATTGTATGAATGTACCAGTTTGCTTAATCATTCACCTGTTGAAGAACATCTGGGTTATTTCCAGTTTTGGGTTATTATGAACATAGCTGCTATGAACATTCACGTACAGCTTTTGTGTGTGTGTGTGCATGAACATTTGCTTACAAGATTCCCAGGAATGCAACTGCTAATATATAGAAACATAAGTAATTTTGCATATTGATTCTGCAACCTTGCTAACTCACTTGTTAGTTCAAGGATTTTTGTTTTTGTTTTTGTTTTGTCTATATAAAACAAAATATAGATGTTTTGTTTCTATATAATCATGTTATTTGCAAATATAGAGAGTTTTATTCTTTCTTTCCAATCCGTATATTTTTCATTTCCTTTCTTGTTTTGTTGCATTGGCTAGAAGTTCCAGCAACATGTTGGCTAAAAATAGTGGTGAGAGTGGATGTCTTTACTCTGTTTCTGATCTTAGGAGGAAAGTATTTAGCCTTTCACTAATAAGCATAATATTCTCTGTAGGCATTTTATAGATGTGGCTTATCAAGTTGAGGAAGTTCCTTCTTATTCCTAATTTTCTGAAAATTTTAAAAAAATCATGAAGAGGGACTGAATTTTGATAAGTGCTTTTTTCTGTATCAATTGATATGATCATGTAATTTTAGCCTTTTGGTATAGTGGATTATATGGATTGATTTTGGAATATTGAACTAGCCTTGCATCCCTGAAATAAACTTCACTTGGTCATGATGTACACTTTTTATATTTGCTGAATTCTATTTACTAATGTTTTGTTAGGGATTTTTTTTGTCTCTAAGGGATAATGGTCTGTAGTTTTCTTTTTTTATACTGTGTTTGTCTGGTTTGGTATCAGTGTAATACTAGCTTTATGAAGTGAATTGAGACTTGTTCAGTTCTCTTTCATTTACTGGAAGAGATTATGTAGAATTTATGTTAATTGTTCTTTAAATGTTTGGTAGAATTCTCCAGTGAAACCATCTGATCCTAGAGATTTCCTTTTTGGGGTTTTTAAAATTATAGTAATAATAGTTAGAAGACTTTAAAAATTATCTACAGTCATACATCACTTAATGATGGGAATACTATCTAAGAAATGCTTTCTTAGGCAATTTTGTCTGTTCAAACATTATAGAGTGTACCTACACAAACCTAGGTGGTATAGCCTACTACACACTTAGGCTATATGGGATAGCCTATTGCTCCCAGTCTACAAACCTGTATAGCACGTTACCTTACTGAATACTGTTGGCAATTGTAATACAATGGTAAGGATTTGTGTATCCAAGTATATCTAAACATAGAAAATGTACAGTGAAAATACAGTATAAAACAGAAGTCCCCAATCTTTCTTATCAGGGACCTGTTTTATGGGAGATAATTTTTCTACAGACAAGGTTGGGGAGTGGTTTTGGGATGAAGCTGTTCCACCTCAGATCATCAGGCATTAGATTCTCATAAGGAGCACGCAATCTAGATCTCTCACATGCACAGGTCACAGTAGGGTTTACACTCCTATGAGAATCATATGCCACTGCTGATCTGACAGGAGGCAGAGTTCAAGTGGTAATGCTCACTCACCCACTGCTCACCTCCTGCTGTGTGGCCCAGTTCCTAACGGGCCATGGAGGGGTGCTGATCCTCTACCCAGGGGTTGGGGATTTCTGGTATAAAAATTTATAAAAAATACACCTGTGTAGGGCACTTACTGTGAATGAAGCTTGCTGGACTAGAAGTTGCTCTGAGTGAGTCAGTGGGTGAGTGGTGAGTGAATATGAAGTGAATGTGAATGAATGTGAAGGCCTAGGACATTACTGTACACTACTATAGACTTTATAAACACTATACTTAGACTACACTAAATTCATAAAAAATTTTTCTTTAATAATAAATTAACCTTAGCTTACTGTAATGTTTTAAGCTTTATAAACATTTAACTTTTTTATTCTTTTGTAATAACACTTAGCTTAAAATTCAAATTGTATTACCATACAAAAATATTTTCTTTATATGCTTGTTCTATGAGGCTTTTTCTACGTTTAAAATTTTATATTTTTTAAACTTTTGAAACTATTTTGTTAAAAGCTAATACACCAAGCTGGGTATGGTGGCAAGTGATTGTAGTCCTAGCTACTTGGAGCCTGAGGGAGGATCACGTGAGGCCAGGAGTTTGAGGCCATGCTGGGCAACATAGTGAGATCCCATTTCAAAATTTAAAAAAAAAAAAAGAAAGAAAGCTAAGACACCAACGCACATATTAGCCTAGGCCAGCAGAGTCAGAATTATCAATATCACTGTCTTTCACCTCCACATCACGTCCCACTGGAAGGTCTTAGGGATGATAACACGCATGAAGCTATGATCTCCTATGATAACAATGCCTTCTTCTCAAATACCTCTTGATGGATCTATCTGAAGCTGTTTCACGGTTAACTTTTTTTTTTTTAAGTAGAAAGAGTACACTCTAACATTCTAAAATAATGAGAAAAGTATAGTAGAGCAAATATACAAACCAGTATAAACAGTCATTTATTATCATTATCAGGTATTATGTATTGTATGTAATTGTAAATGCTGTACTTTTATACTGGCGGTACTGTAGGCTTGTTTCCACCAGCATCACCACAAACATGTGAGTAATGGATTGCACTGTGATGTTAGGGCAGTGATGACATTACTAGGTGATAGGAATTTTTCAGCTCCATTATAATCTTTTGGGAACATCATTTTGTATGCAGTTCATTGTTGACCGAAATATCAATATGTGGTGCATGACTATATTTAATACTGTATTTCATACAGTCATGCACTGTGTAATAGGTGAGTAGTGGTAGTTTGTATTTTTTGAGGAATTGGTCCATTTCATTTAAGTTGTTAAGATGATGTGTGTAGTGTTTGTAGTATTACTTTATTTTTTGATGTCTGCAGGGTCTGTAGTGATAGCTTCTGTTTCATTACTGATACTGGTAATTTGTCTTCTCTCCCTTTTAAAAAATTAGAGTTGCTATAAGTTTGCCAATTTTGCTGAGCTTCTGAAAGAACCAGCTCTTTGTTTTATTGTTTTTTTCTCTATTATTTTTCTGGTTTTAGTTTCACAAATATCTGCTTGATTATTTTCTTCCTTCTAATTGCTTTGGTTTATTTTGCTCTTATTTTCAAGATTCTTGAAAATTCTAGAGAATCCTTGAAAAATTTTGAGCTTATCATATTGATTTAATATTTTGATGGTTTTCTAATGTATGCATTTAATGCTATAAATTTCTTGCTGCCCTGTTTTAACTGTGTTCCACACATTTTGATATGTTTTATTTTTATTTTTATTCAGTTTAATGCATTTTAACTTATTTGTTACTTCTTTGAGCCAGGGGTTAGTCCAAGGTGTATTTTTAGGTTTCCAGATGATTAGAAATATTTTTTCTCTGTCATTGATTTCTAGTTTGATAACATTTTGGATGAAGAACATTCTTTGTATGATATTAATTATTTTAAATTTTGGAGGGTTTGCTTTATTCTGTCTTTAGTTTTCAGAAATTTTACTATGATGTATCTTGGTGTGGATTTCTTTTGATTCATCTTGTTTGAGATTCTCTCGGTTTCTCAGATATGTAAGTTTATGTCTTTTGCCATATTTGGGGAGTTTTCAGTCATTTTTTAAAAGTATGACAGCCCTCCCTTACTATGCTTTTACTTCCTGTAGTTACCGTTACCCATGGTCAATTATGATCCAAAAATATTAAATGGAAAATTTTAGAAATAAGCAATTCATATGTTTTAAATTGTGTGCCATTATGACTAGCATAATCAAATTTTGTACCATTCTGCTCTGTCTCACCCAGGATGTAAATCATTCCTTTGTCCAGTGTATTCATAGTATACACACTACCCAACCATTAGTCATTTCATAGCCAAGCCAGGTATCAGATTGACTTGCCTGGTGTCACAGCACTGTGTTCAAATAACCCTTGTTTTGCTTAATAATGGCCATAAAGCACAAGAGTAGTACTGCTGGCAATTGGATATGCCAAAGAAAAGCCGTAAAGTGCTTTCTTTGTGTGAAAAGGTGAAAGTTCTTGACTTAGTAAGGAAACAAAAAGAATCGTATGCTGAGGTTGCTAACATCTATGGTAAAAACGACTCTTCCACCTGTGAAATTGTGAGGAAGGAAAAAGAAATTCATGCTAGTTTCCCTGTCACACTTCAAAATGCGAAAGTTAAGCCCACGGTGCATAAGTGCCTAGTTAAGATGAAAAAAGACAAACACATGGGTGACATGGTTTGGCCTTGTGTTCCCACCCAAATTTGAAGCTGAATTGTGATCCTCAGTGTTGGAAGTGGAGCCTGGTGGGAGGTGATTGGATCAAGGGGGTGGTTTCTAATGGTTTAGTACCATCCCCCTAGTGCTGTTTCATGACAGAATTCTCACGAGATCTGGTTGTTTAAGCACGTGTAGCACCTCCCGCTTCACTCTCTCTCTCCTGCTGACCATGGGAATACCATGCTTGCTTCCCCTTCACCTTCCATCATGATTGTAAGTTTCCTGAGGCCCCTGCAGAAGCCAAAGCCTGTACAGCCCACAGAACTGTGAGCCAATTAAACCTCTTTTCTTTACAAATTACCCAGTATCAGGTTTGTCTTTATAGCGATGCAGGAACGGACTAATACAATGCATGAAATATATGAACAAAAATGTTTACTGACTGACAGCATTTGGGTTTGGTATTATCCTTAGTTTCAGGCATCCAATGGGGATCTTGGAATATATTCCCCACAGATAAGAGGGGACTACAATACTTTTCATATCTTCTCTCTTTATTTTCCCCTTTATTTTCTCATGATTCTATTGATTAGAAGTCTGATATGGGTCTCATTAGGCTAAATTCAGGGTGTCAGCCGGGCTGTATTCCTTAATGGAGGCCCTGGGGAAAAAATACTTCCAATTTATTTATGTTGTTGGCAGAACTCAGTTCCTTGTGGTTGTAGTACTGAGGTTATGCTTCCTTGCTGGCGGTCAGCCAGGGGCTGGTCTTTGCTATTAATGGCTGCCCACTTTCCTTCTCATGCTTTCTATGTTCTCCTCAAGGCCTCACTACGGTCCTTGCACAGGTGCCCCTGCACTTCAGAGCCTGCAACTGTGTGTCGGTCTCTCTCTCAGGCTTCATATCTCTTTCACCTCCCCTTCTGTTGCATCTCTCTTGCTTCCTGTTTTGCCACATATCTCTTCTGCTTCTAGCTGAACAAACTTCTCTGCTTCTGAGGGTTTACGTCATTAGATTAGACACAACCAGGTAATCCAGGATAATCTTTTATTTTTAAGGTCAATTGACTAGTGGCTTTAACTACATCTGTAAACTTTGGCCACATAAGGTCATATATTCACAGATTCTGGGGATTAGGGCATGGCTATATCTGGGGACGGGAAGGGCATTATTGTGCCTACTATAGCAGTCAACTAAAAAGGAAAACATAATTTAGCTCTACCAGTGCATTTGTGCATACAAATGTGTATAAGGGAGAGCTAAATAACTTTTTCAAGTTCTTTCTGGTCAAAGTTTTAAAAATCCACCCTCTTGATATTTTCTGCCATCTCACAAAATGACCTGCCACTTACTGAAAGGCAACACTTTAGAAAAAAGGAAAATGATTGTATTCTGAGTATCAAACACTTTTTTCTTTGTGGCTTCCTTCTGCTGCTACCTGCCCCTCTCCTTCCAGAGTGTTTCTGAGCATTTAGGGATAAGCTGGCCATCTAGCACGTGACAACAGATTGGGGGCAAAGAGGAAGAGAAAAGGAGAGGGTCAAAGGACAAGGAAGGGAAAGGGGAAGAGGAAAAGGAGAATGTACTGGGGAAGGGAGAGGAAAAGGAGGAAGAAAGAAAGAAGAAATAAATCATAGTGTTGAGAGGATGTAGAAGGGCAGTTGGCTATAAGGATGCTACTGATCCTCTATTTGCAAAACTACCGGGCATAGTCATCGTGAGGCACAGACACATGAACGCACATGCGGCCCATGCTTTATGGAACTTTTGTGAAAATTGGAAAAGATATCCCCTCTGGGCAGATGTAGCACATAGCTTAGCAAGGGTGGGAGACACTTGCTGGGTTGTTCAGCTCTGACTGGGCCAGTGCCCTTGGGAAAGCACAATGTCCATGGCTGTATGTAGTGACCCTGACAATGGCTGCCATGGACAGCTGCCTTCCCACTGTTGGAAGAGTGGCCTTGGACTGCTGCAGAGAGTTGGCCTTGGACTGTGGTCACTCTTGCCAGGGTCCTTCTCCTGCAATGCTTAGGGGAGAACCTGGAGTCAGACAGGTTTTGTCTGATTACCGATTGGATTAGGGCTCTTTGATCAGAAATCTGCCCCTCTTTTCCAGCCAAAAGAAGTCTCCAATTCCCTGCTCTTCCCTTTTCTTAATTCTCCCTGGGATTAGTCACCCGGTCAGTGTTAAAGGAAGCCGAGAATCTGGCCATCTCTCCCAGCACCCTCCCCATTTACAGGAAGCTAAATGGCAGCAACTGTCCAGTCCTTACTGGCTGTTTCCTTTGAGACAGTGGCCAGAGGGAGGGGTGGAGCTGAGGCAGGAAGGAAGAATAATGTTGTTGTTTAACACTGCCTGGCTCAGCAGATGAAAGCCTCCAGGCCTTTGGCTGGAGATAGCACAGAAAGGCACGGGCAGAGCCAAACTTCAATCCTTCCTCATCAGTGTTTACACCAGGGAGTCCAGGGCACTGCCCTGCTGGCAGCCTGGGTGCTAGCAAGTTTTTGCCCATGGCCTGATTTGAGAGAGATTCCAGATTCTGGAATGGGCGGAGGGAAGCAAGAACATGTCCTGTTCACTTGGAGGGAATGGAGGCCTCTAGAGTGACCAGATGTGCAGGTCACTTGGCTTCAGGGTGATGCACCCTCCTACACTCAGGACCACATGTGCCAGCAGAATCTCAAAGATGGAGCTAGAGGAGGTCTTACATTGGGATCTGGTTCATCTTTCTGACTTTAGCTAGGAAGAATAGAATCAGCCCATTTTACAGACAAAACAACCAAAGCCTGGCCTTACCTTAGGTTATATAGCTACAAAGTAAGAGACTGGGGGAGGAAAGAGGACAGGGTAGAAACATAG
Source organism: Homo sapiens (assembly GCF_000001405.40). Taxonomy (NCBI): domain Eukaryota; kingdom Metazoa; phylum Chordata; class Mammalia; order Primates; family Hominidae; genus Homo; species Homo sapiens. The sequence continues at coordinate 47,061,251 of NC_000006.12, read as the reverse complement.
TCTCTGGTCCCCTTCTGGGGACACTGCTGGCCAACTCATACCAGCATAAGCAACACCGTAGAATTAGTGTTCGTCCGTTTGCCCTCTCCCTGCTCCACCAACCCACACACATAGCATCACCTCTTTTTCAGGTGTTGCCTATCATCCAAAACTTAACTGTGTGGTGTTGACTATTTAAGGGATGCCATTCCCACAGGAACGGCAGGGAGGCTTTATGGAGGAGAACTTGATTCAGGCTTTAAGTCTCAGTAAGTTAAAATCTCAGGACTTGAAGAGCTGGAGAGGAGACAATTGGATATTCCAGGAAGCAATTTTTTAAAAAGCATTTATTATATGCCAGTCACTGGCGAAGCACGCTGCATACATTATCTCATTTAATCTTTACAGCAACCCTATGGGGTAGGAATTAATTGTTCTAGGCTCATAGATGAGGCTTGGGAGGTGAAATACCTTGCTCAACATCACTAGCTGATTGATCAGGTATAATGGATTCGAACCCAGCAGTTGTCTCCTGTTTTTAACCTCTGCACTTGCTTCTCGTGGTAGAAAAGGAGAGACAAAAGGGCATTCTGAGAAGAAATGGGGAATGGAGTTGGATTGGCAGAGTGTGTGCAATGTATATACGTTCTCCATGGTCAGACATGTCTTAGGTACTCAGTACACCCTTGGCCAACTGCTGATCCAATTCTTAGCCATTATATTGGTGATATGGAAAACCCTGCTGTATTACTGTATGTGGGATCACCAGAATTTGATTTCGTAGGATATAGGATAAGATCATTGTTAGGCTAATGAGATGACATGGATGAGTCCAATCATCAACAGTCCTGTTAGAACCCAATTCCTGTCATTATAGGTGAAGCAGTTTCACTGTTATTGTTTACTTGACCATGTATTTTGTTAATCTATTACTTGACCATGTATTTTGTTAATCTATATGCTCCCTCGGGGTGGGAATCACTAGTGCTTAGCTTGGGTAAACCAAGCTTTTTCCAATTACATCTGTCCTCTCCTCGGGGTGGGAATCACTAGTGCTTAGCTTGGGTAAACCAAGCTTTTTCCAATTACATCTGTCCTCTCCACTGACTCTCAATGAAGCTAATTAAATCAAATTTATTTTGACTTAATACATTTAATATTTATGATACCTATTATCTTGGATAGAGTAATAAAGAAGATAGACAGACTCAAGGCCTTCATTGCCTTGTTCTCAAATGCTTGAACTCTTTTTAAGAATCTAAAAGCGATAATTTAAATTTACATTCTGGGACCAAAATAAGAACTTTACAGGGACTTTTTTTTTTAATTCAATAGGTTCAGAAACACTATTTTTATGCAATGCACAAATAGGGGAACTTCAACCTCTGAAATGCCATAAGACTTCTTGTAAAGTTTGCTTTAAACCATATACTTAAAGTCTTGTGATTTTTAAATGTGAAAAAAGAGACATTAAGCAATTATTTAAAGATAAATGATGAGAAGTTCAGGAATCCAAGGTGGACAGACCTGTTTTTCAGAGCCAACTTTTCCACTAATTGTGTGACTTTGGGTGAGCTGGCCAACGTTTCGAAGCCTTGGTTTCATCATCTGTAAAAAGGAAGAAAAATAGAACTCACCACAGGTGGTTGCATTGTGAAATTTAATTAAGAATATACATGTAAAATTCCTGGCACTAGTAAGTGTTCCATAAATGCTCAGTGAGGAGGTGAAATAAATTAGTGGGACTGCCTCAGTTATTTCCATCCAAAGTCTATTTGTGTCTCCAAGGAAGGGGTAGGTGCAAAGAGGGATGGGTGCAGGAAGTGTTGTGGTGTTTGCTGAGACAACAGCATGAAGAGGCGGCTTCAGCAGGTCCCGTGAGTCAGTGGGAAAATTGCCCAGGTATTGCTATGCCTGGAGGAAATTCACTGCCCCACAGCCCCCAACATAGAGAAAGGTGGATCCTCACATTTTCTTTGAAGGGCAGTTTGCTTCATTTCTTAGTGCAGAAATCTATTCTGTGAAACGTTACACCACTTTTCTAAAAACTCCAAAAATAGTCGTCAGCAAAAAGCATCTTTTTCTTTCCCTTGGATTTTATTTTCATACCTTTTACGCAAGCCAAATCTGTAAAGTGTCCTGATGCCTGGAAGAGCTGATATTAGTAACTCTCTGCATATACCCTGTTCCTAAGTGGTCACTCTGAAAAGACATTGCCCTTGGAGACTTCTTGGGATGTTGGGCCACGGTACAACAGTAACGATGCATGTTGATTGAGTGTGAAGGGTCCAGCGATTGCTATAGCTAGTCAGGGTTGTTGGGGACAGGTGGACTTAGCATTGGCTCTTCAAGTGTTACATACCATGTTGTGGCAGATATCGGGGGATCTGGGTGGCCAAGGTGACCCAAATGAAGTGCTAGAAATTTTCCATACAATAGACAAGGGATGGCAGGCTCTTGGCCCATTGGTGTCTTCTGTATAATACTCATCACCTCACTGATTTTTCTTTATTTCTGGTTAGTGAAATAGATCCGTCTCAATAATATAGTACAATTTTATAATTTTCAAAGAACATGGTAAAACTTAATCATGTAGAATCTCAGAAGAGCAACATCAAAAATCTAGACCCACAGATTGGAAACCTCTGGGCTGGACAGTTTGTAGTTAGTTAACTTGGGCGCAATGGCCAATTTAATATGTCAATTTGACTAGGCCATGAAGTGCCCAGATATTTGGTCAGACATTCTTCTATGAGGGTGAGATTAACATTTGATTTGGTAGACTGAGTAAAGCAGGCTGCCTTCCCTGTGTGGGTAGCCTTCATTAGTTGAAGTTCTGAATATAACACACAGTCTGACTCTCCTGAATAAGAGGGAACGTTATCCATCTGACTGCTTGAGCTAAAGCATGGAGCTACCACTACTGGTTCTCCTGGTTCTCTGGCCTGCAGACTCAGACTGGAAGTTACACATCATCTCTGGGTCTCCAGCTTGCTGAGTGCAGATCCTGGGACTTCTCAGTCTCCATAATCACATGAGCCAGTTTCTTGTAATAAATCTTTTTTATCTATCTATGTCTATCTATCTATCTATCTATCCAACAAACCATCCATCTATCCACTTCTCTCTTTCTCTTTTACCTATTGTTTCTCTTTCTCTGAAGAACCATGACTAATACACTCAGTAAATTAAACATGCTTTTATCTGGCCATGTTGCTATGCTCAGGCATTTGATAGGCATTTAAGTTTGCTTTCCCACAGTTAAGTATCTGTACTGTCATCCCTGGCCTGCTGCCTTACTATGAGTAGGTGTGTAAGGGAATCAGGAGCAAGAATGTGGATTTATCATGACAAATTTATACCCCCTCCAAAATTCTCTAAATTTATGTGGATTTGTTTAAAAGTTTTCATTAAAAAGTTTAATATGTGACAAATTACAAGTGAGGTTTTCAGCTTATAAAGTATAAGTATGAGCATGTGATCAAATCCTGTGAATAAGAGCTAACGGAATGTAGGAAAGTTGCACTAAGCTTGAGAAAAATTGACATTCTGATTTTAGGTCTAAAAATTAAAGCTAAGTTAAATAAAATCTTTTACTAGAGGTTAAAATAACTTACATGAGATGTTGTTACATGCTGGAGACAGAATAAATTTAGCAAAGGATAAAAATTTTAATATATGATAGCACCATGATGGTTTATCAAGAGAAGCAGGAAAAACAAAAGTAAAACCCCGATCTCTGAAAAGTGACATAATGGGGTACATTGGCTTTCCCACCACATGTTCTTTCATGCCAATTATGAGAACAGAAGAAGACCAGTAGATGTAGCATATTGTAAAGTTTTAATTAACTTCTTAAGTTATTATAGTTCATCTCTTCTTTGTTGTTTTTATTGAACATAGGCAGGCAACAGGCATTGGAAATGTTTATTGTAAGGTCTAATACAATTCTCAAATTTTTTTGCATTTGTACTGTTTACTATACAAAATTGTCAGCTCTCTATATCCTGGGACTTGGTATACTTCTTACTGTGTCTGACACAGTACTTACCTTAGTTCTGGGATCATCTACTAAAACAGGCACTGAGGCACTATAAAGAATTAGCTGGCATCTTCAGTAAGTGTAATTCAAAGTAGACCATGAGTGACAGCGATCCTGAAGGAAGAGAATAGGTTAAAACCAAGGAATGTAATATCTTGCATTTGTACAACATGGTTTTTCCATAGAGTGCAAAGTCCTCATTATTGCTTACCTTTCCAGGTGTCTTGCTAAGAATATTGTATTGCTTCCTTGGTAGTATTCCATTGTATGGTTATATCTGAATTTGTTTGTTCCTTCACCTGTTCATGAACATTGGATTGCTTTTAGATTTTGTTACAAATAAATCTACGAATATTGCATACAAGTCTTTTTTTTTTTTTTTTTTTTTTGAGACAGGGTCTCACTCTGTTACCCAGGCTGGAGTGCAGTGATATGATCATGGATCACTGCAACCTTGACCTGGGCTCAAGCAGTACTTCTGCCTCAGCCTCCTGAACAGATAGGACTGCAGGCATGTGCCACCACATTTGGCTAATGTTTAATTTTTTAAGAGATGGGATCTAATCATGTTGCTCAGGCTGGTCTCAAATTCCTGGCCTCAAGTTATCCTCTCATCTCAGACTCCCAAAGTGCTGGGATTACAGGTTTCAGCCACCATGTCTGGCCCATACAACAATTTATGTTGATCTATTACCTTCATTTCCCTTGGGTAAATATATACAAGTGGGATTGCTGGGTCAAATTGTAAGTGCATATTTAATCTTATAACTAAAAGTAACAATTGTCATTAACAATGAACAATTGTTAAATTAATAATTGTCCAACTATTTTCTAAAGTGATTGTACAATTTTACATATCTACAATTTTATGAGTGTTATAGTTGTTCAGCACCGTTGCCAATATTTTATATTGTTGGAAAGCAGGAGACTATGCCACACGATCAATCGTCTATTAAATTAAGTATACCTAAGCATACATATATGTATGTATACATATAAATGGTGTTCTAAGAAAATTTTTAACAGTTGATGACACAAGTATAACATTATACTCTGGAGAAGTTAGACTCTAAATTTATTAGTCGCTAGTGCATGTTGCTTCTGAGAAAAATATTTTCTAATTTTGTTCATCTCATTGTCCTCCCTTATTAATAATCAGTATCAATGCTTACTCAAACACTGAGCACATATTTCACAGGAAAGGTTTGGGCCTTATTCCTCATCATTCACAGTACCCTGCCCCCCACAATGCTCTTGCAGGCAGAAGGGCTGCCAAGGTGAGGAAGGGGAGAAAAAAAAAGGGGTTACCAGAGATAGATCGACAACTGTGCATGGCCTGACCCTACTTACATTTCATCTGTGTGCAGGGAAATAGAAACGGCCTACAAATACACGTTATACCCCAGTACCATAAAGAAGAAGCAGAAACAATAATAAGTAACCAGGACAGAAAAATCATTGCAAAAATGAGTGTACTTTATGTGTCTCTCTGCGTTCCCCCTTTTTTTCCCCTCTTTCTTTATGATATAAATATATTTCTTTTTAAAGGTATATCTTTCATCCATTTGCCCTTTCATGGTAAACTTGCAATAGAATCTCATCCTGGGTGGCAATGTTTTCTAACGTCAGGTTCAATTTCATTTTATATTTTAATGATACGTGAAGGCATACAATCACACCTCACAAGCCTTGGGATATAACTGAGGAAACTTCTTCTGCATTTTTTCATACATTTAAAAATATTTTAATATTACTCCTGCCTAGTTGTTAGATTCATTCCTTGATAATGGGTTTAGTCATAATCCTGAAAGACACAACCCTGAACACTGTATTTCTGAAGGTTGAAATCCTGAAAAATCAAAATCCTTAAAATGTAATTCTGGAAAAAATAATTTAAAAGATATTTTATTTTCATTTTTAAAAGGTGGCTCATTTGAGAAACATTATAAAAACACAACAGAACACTTCAGAGCCCACTTTCCACAATAAAATAGACAATAAAACACACATGTTTTTCACCTAAAGCAATGGCAACAAAAGCCAAAATTGACAAATGGGATCTAATTAAACTAAAGACCTTCTGCACAACAAAAGAAACTATCATCAGAGTGAACAGGCAACTTACAGAATAGGTGAAAATTTTTGCAATCTATCTGTCTGACAAAGGACTAATATCCAGAATCTACAAAGAACTTAAACAAATTTACAAGAAAAAAACAACCCCATCAAAGAGTGGGCGAAGGATATGAACAGACACTTCTCAAAAGAAGACATGTATACAGCCAACAGATACATGAAAAAACGCTCATCATCACTGGTCATCAGAGAAATGCAAATCAAAATCACAATGAGATACCATCTTACGCCAGTTAGAATGGCGATCATTAAAAAGCCAGGAAACAACAGATGCTGGAGAGGATGTGAAGAAATAGGAACACTTTTACACTGTTGATAGGAATGTAAATTAGTTCAACCATTGTGGAAGACAGTGTGGCGATTCCTCAAGGATCTAGAACCAGAAATACCATTTGACCCAGCAATCCCATTACTGGGTATATACCTAAAGGATTATAAATCATTCTACAATAAAGACACATGCACATGTGTGTTTATTGCAGCACTGTTCACAATAGCAAAGACTTGGAACCAACCCAAATGCCCATCAATGATAGACTAGATTAAGAAAATGTGGCACATATACACCATGGAATACTATGCAGCCATAAAAAAGGATGAGTTCATGTCCTTTTCAGGGACATGGAAGAAGCTGGAAACCATCATTCTCAGCAAACTAACACAGGAACAGAAAACCAAATGCCGCATGTTCTCACTCATAAGTGGGATTTGAACAATGAGAACATATGGACACAGGGAGGGGGACATCACACACTGGGGCCTGTTGGGAGGTGTGCGGCTTGGGGAGGGATAGCATTAGGAGAAATACCTAATGTAGATGACGGGTTGCTGGGTGCAGCAAACCACCATGACACGTATATACCTATGTAACAAACCTGCACATTCTGCACATGTATCCCAGAACTTAAATTATAATAAAAAACTATGTTTTTGCAAGCCCACTTAGGTATACTAGGAACAATTGCATGGGTATAAGTTATGAGCAGACGAGTGTATTCATAAATAGATGAAAAAGTGAAATGTAGAAATCATGTATCACTATGGCTGGTAATTGTGTACGCTCAGCTTTATAACTGCAATAATCTGAAATGCTGTGATGGACAACCCACGTCTTTTGAGAAGAACAATAGAAACCTGTGATCACTCGCCACCGCATATGCAGTCACCCAAAGAGCCGAACCCTTGAGCAGTTTTCTCTTTTACAAAAGCAGATGCACTAAAAGGACATTTCTTCATTTATTAAGAAAGTTTCAATATTTTTACATATACACACGAGGCTTACACATGAAGTCAAATGTACTTTCATGGAGTCAAGTTTATAAAAAATGCATAGAATGAATTAGAACTCTCTAAAAGTCTTTACACAATTTATACCTCCAATATTGGAAATGAGGTAAAGATGAAATACATAGCATAGCAAATCGTGAAAAATAATGCTGTCAATTTAAAATAGTTGGGAATCAAAAATTTAAAAAGAAAAAAGAAGAAAAACAAACTCAAAAGAAAATTTACCATATGAAAAAGCAATTAGAGGGATAGACTATGCATAATTGCACATAGGCTGTTCATAAGAGCTGGCCAGCTTTCACTATCATTAGCTCTATTTTGAAGTCTTGCATCCAGATGATTCTCCTTGGAGAATATGTTCACTTTCATTTTCTATATGGTGCTTGCTCTTTTTGAAATCATTCTGTGATTCAATATACAACAACATAAGCATTCCCTATTGTTTTCCCATCTTCTGTACCACACTTCTAGGTTGCTTTGCGCATGCAAAGTCCATTCCGCGTGCACTTATATACAGACTACAAATTTGGTGGGAACTATACTGTTGATCGAACCCCAACACTGTTGTATAAGTGTCTTCCTATCCTACCAGGCACATAATTATTTTTAAACTAGTCAGTAACTTTGCTGGCTTCTTCAGAGAAATGCGACTTTAATTCATTAAAAGCTCCTGGAATTTCACCAGCTGAAAGGAATGCCAGTGCAGACAAATAATGCATTATTTTTTTGAGATGAGTCTCGCTCTGTCGCCCAGGCTGGAGTGCAGTTGTGCAATCTCAGCTCACTGCAACCTCTGCCTCCTGGGTTCAAGTGATTCTCCTGCCTCAGCCTCCCGAGTAGCTGGGATTACAGGCCCATGCCACCACACCTAGCTAATTTTTGTATTTTTAGTAGAGATGGGGTTTCACCATGTTGGTCAGGCTGGTCTCAAACTCCTGACCTCAGGTGATCACCCACCTCGGCCTCCCAGAGTGCTGGGATTACAGGCGTGAGCCCCCGCACCCAGCCGAAATAATGCATTTTTAAAAGGAAGCTTTCATCATTGCCTTATCACATGGCCCATCCAGTCATCTGAATTGCCCTCCAAATGCAAATAAAGACAAAAACAAGGTAATAATAGTTCTGCCTGACATAATGCAACTAACATGATGCAACAACCCTGCTTACAGCTGAAAACTCATTCATACCTTCCCCAGAATTCAGGTTTCAGGGTTTCAACATTTGGGATTTATTGTGATTTTCAAGATTTTAGACTAGAGATTTTGATCCTTCGGTACTTCAACCCAAATTATGATTGAAATTACAGATTATCATGTTCAAAATTGCATCTTTCAGAATTATGATCAGCACTGCTTAATTATTTTATTTTATTTGATCATGTAGAAAATCAAGCCATATTCTTCTTTAGAGGAACTCAAAAGACATTAATTATCCCCAAATTTACCTATACACTTAACATAATCTCAATAAATATATCAATAGGTTTTTGTGGTGTGTGGGGAGGGGGAAAGTCAAGCTTATTCTAAAGTTTATATGAATAAATTAATAAGCAGAAATAGAAAAATTCTGAAAAGGAAGAATAATGAGGAATAATTAGTATATTAGATATAAAGATATATGATGAAGTCACAATAAACAGAGTATTAAGTTGTTCTTGAGCAGACACAGACGAATGAAATGAATACAAAATCCATGAATTGACCCAAAGTCACATAGGAATTTAGTATTTAATAAAGGTAGCATCTCAAATCAATGAGGCAAAGATATGTTATTCAGTCCATGGTGTGAAACAAATGAGTAGGTCAATGCAAAACAATGTTACTAGCACAAGTTAATTGCTACAGATTGTTTTTTTTTTTTTTTATTATACTTTAAGTTTTAGGGTACATGTGGACATTGCGCAGGTTAGTTACATATGTATACATGTGCCATGCTGGTGTGCTGCACCCACTAACTCGTCATCTAGCATTAGGTATATCTCCCAATGCTACCCCTCCCCCCTCCCCCCACCCCACCACAGTCCCCAGAGTGTGATATTCCCCTTCCTGTGACCATGTGATCTCATTGTTCAATTCCCACCTATGAGTGAGAATATGCGGTGTTCGGTTTTTTATTCTTGCGATAGTTTACTGAGAATGATGGTTTCCAATTTCATCCATGTCCCTACAAAGGACATGAACTCATCATTTTTTATGGCTGCATAGTATTCCATGGTGTATATGTGCCACATTTTCTTAATCCAGTCTATCATTGTTGGACATTTGGGTTGGTTCCAAGTCTTTGCTATTGTGAATAATGCCGCAATAAACATACGTGTGCATGTGTCTTTATAGCAGCATGATTTATAGTCCTTTGGGTATATACCCAGTAATGGGATGGCTGGGTCAAATGGTATTTCTAGTTCTAGATCCCTGAGGAATCGCCACACTGACTTCCACAATGGTTGAACTAGTTTACAGTCCCACCAACAGTGTAAAAGTGTTCCTATTTCTCCACATCCTCTCCAGCACCTGTTGTTTCCTGACTTTTTAATGATTGCCATTCTAACTGGTGTGAGATGGTATCTCATAGTGGTTTTGATTTTCATTTCTCTGATGGCCAGTGATGATGAGCATTTTTTCATGTATTTTTTGGCTGCATAAATGTCTTCTTTTGAGAAGTGTCTGTTCATGTCCTTCGCCCACTTTTTGATGGGGTTGTTTGTTTTTTTCTTGTAAATTTGTTTGAGTTCATTGTAGATTCTGGATATTAGCCCTTTGTCAGATGAGTAGGTTGCGAAAATTTTCTCCCATGTTGTAGGTTGCCTGTTCACTCTGATGGTAGTTTCTTTTGCTGTGCAGAAGCTGGAGGCATCACACTATCTGACTTCAAACTATACTACAAGGCTACAGTAACCAAAACAGCATGGTACTGGTACCAAAACAGAGATATAGATCAATGGAACAGAACAGAGCCCTCAGAAATAACGCCACATACCTACAACTATCTGATCTTTGACAAACCTGAGAAAAACAAGCAATGGGGAAAGGATTCCCTATTTAATAAATGGTGCTGGGAAAACTGGCTAGCCATATGTAGAAAGCTGAAACTGGATCCCTTCCTTACACCTTATACAAAAATCAATTCAAGATGGATTAAAGATTTAAACGTTAGACCTAAAACCATGAAAACCCTAGAAGAAAACCTAGGCATTACCATTCAGGACATAGGCGTGGGCAAGGACTTCATGTCCAAAACACCAAAAGCAATGGCAACAAAAGCCAAAATTGACAAATGGGATCTAATTAAACTAAAGAGCTTCTGCACAGCAAAAGAAACTACAGATTGTTTAGACTGTGTATTTCAAGAAAAAGGTGGCTACTTTGCAAATGGAAGTAAAATTAAAAAACAAAAGTCCATAAATTCTGGGACTTATCAGAGAGAAGATGTAACTAATTCCTATCTCTAACTAATAAAATATAAAACTGAGGTGGTCTTGGTTTGGATATAAAACCAATTATATCCAAGCCTAATAACAAGAAGTGAGTCACGGATATGGCCGTCAAATCTTTTTCCTTCAACACTGGGAATGAGTAAGGTGGCTCTAAGTCTTTCAGGTGGATAAAATTACTCCGGAAAAGAAACCAAAGGTGTGGCTCTGCCACTGACGCCTGATAGACTCAAGGTACTGCTTGGAAAAGAATGTGAGGCGTATATGATGGCACGTGCAGCTGATTGGAATGAAACAAATGAGGTGACAATTATGTTTTAAGAGCATTGTACTGACAAGAGAACCACTAGCTGTAGTAAAAGGGATTGCAACTTTCTTGCTTGAAGCCTGAAACTCGTTCAGCATATTAACTGCCATTCACATTTATCACACGTTTCTCTTTTTAAAATTTTTATTTATTTATTTATTTTTGAGATGGAGTCTCACTCTGTTGCCCAGGCTGGAGTGCAGTGTTGCAATCTCGACTCATTGCAACCTCCGCCTCCCAGGTTCAGGCGATTCTCCTGCCTCAGCCTCCTGCGTAGCTGGCATTACAGGCATGCAGTACCATGCCTGGCGAATTTTTGTATTTGTAGTAAAGATGGGGTTTCGCCATGTTGGCAAGGCTGGCCTCAAACTCCAGACCTCAAGTGATCCGCCCACCGTGGCCTCCCAAAGTTTTAGGATTACAGGCGTGAGCCACCATGCCAAGCACAAAGGTTTCTTATATAGGTCATGCCCATATGGTTTCCAAGAACAATTTCTTTGCTGCTCATTGGCCAGACAAGAAGCAAATGTCATACATTGTCAGATTTCTCTTATGGCAGCTTTACCCCACTCTTAGTACCAATTTCTGTATGCTTAAGCTAGATTACAATATAGTAACAACCTCAAAATTTCAATTTCTCAAAACAAAAAAGGTTCATGTCTTGCATATATAATATATTTTAAACAAATACAATTCACCGCACCTACTGATGGACTTTTAGATTACTTTCAATCAGCATATTAGAAATAATTCTGCATTGTATACATATCATTTTGCACATATGAAAGTATGTGTGTAGGTTGTATTTCTAGAAATAGAATTGCTAAGTCAAGTGATATGTAAATGTAAACATTTGGTACAGATTTACTGACTTATATTCCCGCTAGTTATATATGACACTGCCTATTTCCTCCTACCTGCAACAATGTTGTCATTAACGCTTTTGATCTTTTACCTGAGAGGTAAAAATAATATCCCATCATTGCTTTAGTCTTCATTTTTCAAGTTATCCTAGATGTTTCCTTGCTTTTCATAGACTTTAGAACTATTTGTATGCTTTTTTGGTGGATTTATTTATATCCTTTTGTCTATTTATCTGGTTGATTGTCTTTTTTCATTGATTCCAAAGAACTATTTGCATATTAGGAAAAATTTATTAAATAAATTGAAAATAGCTTCTTTTTTTCCAGATCATTATTTCTATTTGGATGCTGTTTATTGTATTGCTGACCTTGCAGAATCTTTTCTCCTTTTTATGTGAAGACACCAAAAAAATACCATTTTTTTCTTTTTGTGACATCTAGGTTTTGTTCTTACTTTAGGAATACCTTTGCCATTAAACCAACACATTATTTAAAGAATGTATCAGCAACAACTGTTTTCTTCTACTGTCTTTAAAGTTTCATATTTTGTGTTTATATTTTAAATCCAGGTAATATTAACTTTGGTGTAAACTGTGAGAGAAGGATATGCATTTATACAATTTCTAACTGGTAAAGTGGGCGCTTTTGTAGGTGAAGATTGGTTAGTTGTGGAACAAGGGTAGTTTACTGAATATGCTTTTGTAATTTTGAGTTTTCTACCTTGTTCATGTAAAATTTACCAACATTTTATTAAAAGAAGCTGTTATGCAGAGACATTATTGACTGTTATGTAAAAACATTAAGAAAGCAGCTCCAATTGAATGTGACCCTGCAGGAATACAAACCAATGTTTTCAGATCTTCTTATTTTCCAAAAGAAGCTGAAATTTGGATTTTTATGTGAAATCCCCTGATGTTTAAATGTCGGCAACTAATTCAGAGTTAGAAAAACAAAGCATGGTCCAAACAAAACACATCTGCTGGCCAGATGGGGCCCACAGGGTGCCAGTTTGAGACCTGTGTTTTAAACGCTTTTTCTTATCCTCAAAGATTCATGTAAGTGCCTCTCCTACAGCCTTCTGTGGCACAGTGTGTTCAGCCCCTATCGTAACATATTTTAACTGATTGTTGCTGGCCTACCTTCTCCATTATAGATGCTTGAAGAGTGTATTTATAGATTTTGAAGTCCTGAGGCTTAACACAGTGTCTTGTACCTAGTAGACAGTATAAATGCTTGTCAAATGAATAAATAGATGAATGAATGAACTCTGCTCCAAGCAGAATCTATGTCCTGAAAAACTGGACAAGGCAACTCAGGTCACAGAGGTTACCTGGTTTGGACTGCTCCTTCTCCTGCCTCCTCCATTAAGTCCCTCAGTCACCTTCATGGTAAATTAAGTGATTGTACCGCATAGTGATTTTGTAAACAGGTGGCCGCTACAACGTTGTGAATCTTGGCCACTAGATGTCTCTCTTTGCCTAAAGGACATTTGGAAGTGCTGGAGTCAATGTGGGGTTTGCTGAAACAATACGTAAGTGAAAAAGAATGTCCTAATCTCAGGTCACATCTTCAGATGTTTGTCCTCATGAGGAAGTTGAGCACGGCCATGACACCAGAGCAAAAGTGCCCAGGGACGGAAGCAGCTTAATTTTGTTCTAGAAGAGCTTCTCATCCACAGGAAGGACCCTTTGCACTCTGAGTCTGTTGGGTGTGAGCCTCTAATCCAGCAGACTCATGAGTGTTCTCCAGAAGCCTTGCTTGTGTTATTTTTCTCTGATGCTATAGGCTGGTGGAGAAATGCATCTTACTGTAAAGGGTCTGGAACTCTAGAATCTGCATGGTAAAAAGGAGGATTCTTGTAAGATATAGCAGATTCTCTATTGAGGCTGTCCCGACCCTGTAGAATTCCTGCACCTCCTGTGATTGCAGGGGGTGTGTTCTGGTGCCTGCAGCTGTACCTTTCCTATGGCCTCACGAGGATCTTTTGAGCTTGGAGAGGTGGGCTTCTTGGTGCTGTATAACTCTTATTTTAAACACAGACGGAGTGAAGGGGAAAAAGGATTATCACTTATTTTATAGGTTATAGCTTTCTCTTCTCAGTGTTATCTGTGTACATTCTGTACAGAGAATAATAATTCTGTATCAATACTGTACATTCTGAACTGATTAAAGGCCACAGATACCGTCTTGACCAACTGCCAGATTTACACAGGACCTTGAATTTAGTGACACTTGAAGCTTACTTCTTGAATAAAATGAAGTGTGGACTCTATAGGATTTTGATGGCTCTCCAATTTATTATGGAAGGTTCAGATGATAAGAATGTTCTATCTCATTAGTACCTGGTTTGCCTTTGCTTTTTCTTTGGATATTTAGCAAGGGTCAGACACTTCTATTTGTATTTTTCATCTGTCTTTAGGAAGCAGTAGAGAATAGTGTGACAGAACAGACTTTGAAGTCAGGTTGTGTTGATTTTCTGGCTCACCATTCACTTAACTGCTCGATGCCTTCACTCCATTGTCTATAAAATAGGGTTGCAGAACGTATAAAAACACATGAAAAATGATCACAACAGTACTTGGCACATAGGAAGTACTCCGTAAATGTTGGCTGATCCACCACAAAAAAAAAAAAAGAAAGAAACCAACAACAAAAAAAAGAATGAGATCTTGTCATTTGCAACAACGTGGATGGAGCTGGAGGACATTTAGTGAAATATGCCAGGTAAAGAAAGACAAACTTCACATGTTCTCACTGATTTGTGGGAGCTAAAACTAAAACAATTAAACTGATGGAAGTAGAGAAAAGAATGATGATTTCCAGAGGCTGGGAAGAGTAGTGGGCAGTGGGGGAGTGGGGATGGTTAATGGGTACAAAAATATCATTAGGTAGAATAAATAAGATCTAGTGTTTGATAGCACAATGGGGTGACTATATTCAATAACAATTTACTAAACATTTAAAAATACCTTAAAGTGTATAATTGGAATGTTTGTAACACAAAGAAATGATGCTGCATAACCGCAAAGGTTTGAGGTGATGATTACACATTGTATGCCTGTATCAAAATATCTCATGTACCCCATAAAAACTTATACCTACTATGTGCCCATACAAATTAAAAACAAAAAATTTAAAAAAAAGTTTGCTAAGCCAGGAACTGTGACTTACACCTGTAATTACAACACTTTGGGAGGCTGAAGCAGGAGGATCGCTTTGAGCTCAGGAGTTCAATACCAGCCTGGACAACATGGCAAAACCCCGCCTCTACAAAAAATACAAAAATTAACATTGGTGGCTCACGCCTGTGGTCCAAACTGCTTGGGAGACTGAGGCTGGAGAATCGCTTGAGCCCGGGAAGCAGAGGTTGCAGCGAGATGAGATAATGCCACTGCATTCCAGCCTGGGCGACAGAGTGAGACCCTGTCTCAACAACAACAACAAAATGTTGGCTGATACTAAGTGCTTGGTAGTTCTTCTCTTCCTCTAATTAGCTGTCCAGGTCTCAATTATAACACAATGCTACCCTACCCCTCTGATAAAAGCAATTTCTCATAAGTCACAGTGTCCAATGCTTGTCCTTAGGTAGCTTCATAATTTCAAACCCACCTCTCCTTATCTTAAGCCCTTGTTCCGAGTATGAAGAGCCTGTATCAGCTTTGATAAGACTTTTATCATAGTAGTCAGAAGAATCGTCTCGCTGAAATTTACAGTTTATACTCAACTCTTCTCTTTTTTACTCCTCCTTTCAGTTAAAAAAATTATACTTGCAATATATACATATACATATATATAGTGCTTTCAAACATTTTGCAACTATGGAATAAAACCACCTGAAACAGTCCAGGGTCTTTCACACTCCTGCATCATCACATCACTCAAGTCTGCCGTTTGTGTTTGCAGCCCCTGGGGTAAAACTTCTTTATGACCAAACTCAAAGAATGTCCAGCACTTCTGATGTATGGACATGGGCATCAGGGTCCTTCTGTAATTGGGTTCCTGTCCTTTTCTGGTTCACCTGCTGATCTGTCTAATTTAGATATTGTTTCACACCGAGTACTCACTCAGGGACAGTTTGTTGACATATGAATTTAGATAACTAGTTTCAATAACATGATTCTGTTTGCATTTTCTTTCTCCCAGGACTCAGGCTTATTGCTGTTTATTTGTGGGACCCTGCTCTTTTGCTTGGAAACCAAGCAACCAGACTCTTCACTAAACCAACACCAACAGATGAAGTTAGAAGGCTTGAAGCTCTTCCTCAGCCCCAGGCCTTTCTTCTTCTTCTTTTTTTTCCCCCCAGCATTTGTGGAATGTAAAGTTGACCAGATGAACCAAAATAAATTTGTTTACCTGGCTTCTTATGCTCAAGTGAACACCTTGTTCATGCCTGTGAAACATTACAATCAAACTAGAGGGGCAACAAAGCTCCACAGCTCTGCACTCAGAAGGTTGGCTTTGTCCTGAGCTCTTAAGGTAATAAGATGTCCGAATGCTGCCACAGTGCATAAACCCATGCTGCTTCCTTTTGCACTGTGTCCTTTGCAAGGACCAGAGAGCTCCTCAAACTCACCAGGAAGTACTGAGGAATTTAGTGTTGCGTGCACTAACAGATTCTTAGCAGGAAATTAGAAGCGGTGAGTAAACTGCTTTTTGGTGAGTCATCAGTTTCAAAAACACACCTTATTTATGAAACAATCTGAATATTGGACGTACTATGACTTCCTTCTATTAAACACGGAATTAAAAGACTATTAAATGCATTCATCTGTTTGGATTCAGATTTTCTCCAAAATCAATGTGCTCATGGAATCATTGATGTCTACCGGTTGCCTCACCTACTAGTGTCTGCTAAAGTGTTTTTGGTCTAATGAGACAATGTAGGGTTTCCTTTGGTTCTGAGGGCCATACCTTGGCCCTAGGAAGTTGTTGGGCTGCAGTGACACAATGAGCCAAAGGTGGATAACAGAGCTTCCATCTCAGCTTCAAGCCCTCACCACCTTAAACTCCACACTAGTTGGTCATTTCAACTGTTTCCACCCAATTCCATGGCCACTTTCTTGCTCTAGTGATTAGTAGATTATTAATTCCATTTTATAAACACATTCTTACTAGGATGTCAGTGAATTACTTTAAACACTTGTAATTTAATATAGACAATAGGAAAGGGGTGGCACTGAACTGAGAAGATGGCATCTCTCATCTTAAAACTTTAGACATTGGACCTACTGAGTAAGAGTATGTATGTCTGGAAGTCTTTATCCTTTCGGAATTGAAATTTGGTCTACAGTTATAATTGGTGGACTGTGAAACAGGCAAAACCCTACAGAAAACAAGCAGAAGGAGAATGGAATTAACTCGACTAGATTATGAGATTAGCTTTTTTCCACCCAGGCTGATGGGGGACAAAGGAACAATGGTTGAAGCTTGAGTCTACCTGACAATTGGGGTTTGTCAGGTAAGCCCCATTCTCTTGATAACTTTTTCAGTGGGCTAGACCCAGACCCAATCATGTTAAGTATGATAGGGATCAGTGGCCCAGCTGGTGTGGAAGACAAGTGGGTCATACTGGGTTTAGGCCCACATAGCACTAAAGGTCTTCAACATGCAATTAGAAGCTCAAATGTTGACGGGAATATTGTTCACTCTAAAAAAGATGTTTCTATTAGAATTTACTTACTCTTTCATGAAAACATAGATGCTTCCTCTTTCCTGATTGTGAGAACAGTGTACCTGACTAGCTTCCCCTTTTCTTTAACTGTTAGGAAGTTCTGTCCTAGAGATAAGTTTCAAATTTATGAAACAATAATTTCAGGGATTATTATTTGCATCACTTTTCTTAATTGACTCTTTATAGTTTCCTTTTTTATAGTTTATATAGAGGTTTTATAATGATTTTAAAATTTTTATTCTCACACTATTTTATTTTATGCATTAACATTGTAAGCCAGCTCAAGTCATTTGTAAAACGTGGAGTGCTTAAAAGAAACAAAAGAAAATTAATAAATTAATTGAATTCAGAGACATCCTTTGCTTTCTTTTCAGTGGCATTTTTGAGAATTAACATATTATTATCCCCTTCATTATTCCATAACAGAATTACAAATTGCTAATTTAGACGTGGTTGTTAGTAGCTCATTACCTTGACCAAAAGTAATTTATGAGCCAATGTGGCTAAAGATACAGCACATAATAATCTTGACCTTTCATAGTTTTCAAACTGGATGACTCCTTGGAAAGAAAACAAATCTTTACTAAAGAAGTTAATCAGGTTTCACTCTAGGTTTTCTAAGCACAAAAAACACACCAAAAGCATTCACCCCAGCATCCACCCTGTTGCTGTCTTTTGCCACAGCTCCTTTGGTACTACCCCACCCAGAAGTCTGAGGTTGTTTTATCTGGGAAAGTAGCTAGTTGATTCTTTAGTCTTAAATAAAAAAGTTGGAAAAGGAAAAACAGTATCTACCCTTATTTCTGCCCCACAGGAATTACCCACCTCTCCTCATTGGAATTATGCATGAAGGGCTGCATTCCTTCAGCTTTATAGGGTATGACCCAGTGTGTTCAGAGGTTGGACAGGAAGATTTGATGGAGTAGCATTTTGTAGTAAACCGATCTAGGGCAAAAGTGTTCCACATTCCCCTAGAGCTTTTCTCTCCCATTTCCCTTCTGTGATTTCAGACACCCATTTATGTCTGCTGGGAGAATCATTAAGTCTTGAGCTCTGTGCTCCTTCCTCTTACCAGACCTGATAGTGACTTTAAGCGGGAGGGGGAGTTAGGAGAAAAGTATTTTGTTTCCTTCTTGAAGGGGGTGTGTCCCAGGCTTGTCTACCTGCACAGGCAGTAATGCGTGCCAGGAATTGCTGATGGATCAGTGAGCCTGTGTTCATGCCAGTGAGCTGCTGTGGCTCAGATACTGATACTTTCTTTCCAAACAGCATAAGAAGTGATTGAGCCACAAGTATACTGAAGGAAGGGCTCCCTCGAGTTCTGGTGTGAAGAGATAAATCACCAGGTAAGCCCAATAACTGTACTTTGATTACTAAGAACGTGTATTACGATGACCAGTACTACCTGTTAATCTGAGATTATTTTTTCTCTCCTTGAAAAAAAAATTCTGATTTCAATGTATCATTTCCTGAAGATGGTTAAATAAGGGAACAGAGTTGAAAAAGCAATGAGCAGAAACAACAGATTTCAACCCGCTTACTAACTATAATGAGGTGATTGGCTGAGGCTCAAGCTCCAGATTTTCTGACTGAAAGCACACTCTTCCCTCTGTGATAACACAGGAACCCCATTGTTCTGATGTGCCAGGGAGGTAGATTGCCTAGAATAAAAAGGGCTCCACCAAAGATACTTGTTAAAGTATCAGTCATATGGTTTTCACTAATTCATAATACGTTAACCCTTGCAATCTCTTAAAATAAAATTATGCTTGAGAGAATTAAGCTTATTTTTCCTTTAGGGTGAATTAGTTTAAGCTTTGCCTGGATCCATATATATCCAGGAAGTACTTCTCAATTTAACTCCTTCCCAGGACTCCAAAAAACCCTAGAATTGACTAACCATTTCTCCTGCTACTTCCCCAAATAAATATAAAATGTCACACTGTATTTTCTTAGTAGAGGCCTTGAAAATATATAATTTTTCTTTTCTCTTTTCTTTGTTTTCATGAAAAATCCATTTATGTAAACCTGATAGCCTATGTAATGTACCATGCCAGAGACTACATGAAGGAAAAATACCGAAGGAGATATAGAAAGAAGGTCAAGGTGGGAGAGGTGTGGAGAAGTGATGACCTTGGCTTTTTCATGCTGAGATCCATTAAGCTCAACTTGATAATAGCATTCATGGGCTGGAAATTACAAACAGAGGCAAGAATAACAAAAAATAAATAAAAGTACATTCTTTAATATGTTAGAATATTAACACAAGCCTTTTATTATGCTCTGTTGTCATTAAGAAAACACCACTCATTATCTAACCATAACCCAAATTGACAACAGTGTTCTAATAATGGTCCCATAATACTTTATTCAACCTTTGACAAGTAGTAAAACATTGAGCAAATTATTTAGTTGTCTTATCCTGGTTATTTCATTTGTAAAATGGTGCCAATAAGCGTTAAGATTGGAAATAGGAGTGTATGCCTGTGGAGTCTGACAAGCTCAACTTGCAAACTCACCTTTTGTGCACAACCCCAAGCTGATGTGAATTATTGTTGGATGCCTTGTATGTCTTTCTTCTCCAAAAGTAGAGTAAATTTCTTAAAAAACAGGGACAGTGTCCCAATAACAGGGTCTGTCTGTTGCTGGGCTGAGGGCAAGGAAAGCACCATACTTTCACAACAATGTGCCTTCTAATGTCTTTCATTACACAACTAAAGGAATGCAAACATCTCTTTAAAAAAGTAAATGAACACATTCATTCAAATTTGGATATAAATAAATGATTTTAGTGCTTTGGCTGAGAGTAAGTAAAGTAAAAACTGGCAGGAGCAAGAGGGCACTGGGTATCTGAGGGCATTAGCAGTGGTGGGGTGTGCGTCACAAGGGTGCACAAGTCAGAAAGTGGGGGAGTGGCATCCCCGGGACAAGTGTCACTGAATTCACAATTTTGCTTAAGGACACCCTTAGGAAACTGTGCTGTGTAACCTACCTAATCTAAATGTTTATATTTGTAACTTTCAAAATATTTTGCCTGTTTTTTTTTTTATTTTATTTTATTTTTTGAGACGGAGTCTCACTCTGTCGCCCAGGCTGGAGTGCAGTGGCGTGATCTCGGCTCACTGCAAGCTCCACCTCCCGGGTTCACGCCATTCTCCTGCCTCAGCCTCCCGAGTAGCTGGGACTACAGGCATCCACCACCATGCCTGGCTAATTTTTTGTATTTTTATTAGAGACAGGGTTTCATTGTGTTGGCCAGGATGGTCTCAATTTCCTGATCTCCTGACCTCGTGATCCTCCTGTCTCGGCCTCCCAAAGTGCTGGGATTACAGGCGTGAGCCACCACGCTCAGCCACCTGGTTCTCTTTTTAATGTTCTTTGGCAGGGAACACCCATAGCTTGTAGAGAAGGGGAAACGCTGTTGCCAAATACATATGTCTTGGGATTTTCCTAAATTGTGTTTGTCTTAGCAGAGTAGTGCTCGCAAGATTTCAAGGCCTTCAGATTTCTTGACTGGATAGATACATGGTTTTATTTTATTTTATTTATCTATTTATTTATTTATTTATTTTTGAGACAGAGTTTCTCACTCTGTTGCTCAGGCTGGAGTGCAGCGGCACAATCCCGGCTCACCTCAACCTCCACATCCCAGGTTCTAGCAATTCTCCTGTCTCAGCCTCCTGAGTAGCTGGGATTACAGGCATCTGCCACTACGCCTGGCTAATTTTTGTATTTTTAGTAGAGACAGAGTTTCACTATATTGGCTGGGCTCTTCTCAAACTCCTGACCTCAAGTAATCCACCGGCCTTGGTCTCCCAAAGTGCTGGGATTACAGGCGTGAGCCACCATGCCCAGAGATACATGGTTTTAATAGATGTGAAAACAATTTAGGATCTTGGAGGGATAGTACAAAAGGTCTATAGCATCGTGGTCTGAAACATACACTCTTCCATTCACAGCTGGGTTCAAGCCTTGATAAACTCAACCCATAGTACACAAAACCACTAAGAAAGGGAAGCCTTCTTATCACATCCCCTCCCCAGTAAGCCACAGATAATCTCATAGAGGCTCCTGGTCAGTGGCTGATGGAAACTGGGACCTGGCATGTTGAGAATGAAAATTCATAGGAATTAATAATAGAAGTGGAATATGCCCTAGCATTTCATAGAGTTAAAATAAATTTCCTATGTGTAGTCAGTTGAATAAAGAAAATGCAGAGATGAGCAGCAATGAGGTATGCAGTCCTAAAACTGCAAACTCTAGTTACATTTTATTGATGAGCATTATCAGATCCTCATGGTGTCTTCTTGGTTTTAGTGCAAATGTCAGTTTTTAATCTCCAGAGGTCCACAAATCTAAAGACTTTAAAGTCCTTAAGAAAATTTTCTTATTCTTTTCTTCTTTCTTGGAAGACAAAACTTTAAAACCTGATAAGAGTTTCTTTATTGTTTTGGGATAAGCAGATATTTATTATACATTTGTGAAGTTGGGACAGCCTGTCATAGTACAACAGATTCACACCTGCAAAGTTTTGGGTAAAGAGAATTTGTGTTAAGCAGATTATATTTTCCATGAACACCTTTTACACTTGTGTTTGTACTGCATGCAGCCCGACTCTACTTGGAGACTTTCCTATGCTTCGTCTCTTAGATAATCAAGCTAATTATTTCTGATAAGACACTTAATGATATATTTCTTAGGCATATCATAGTCTTTTACGTTGTTGAACAAGGTATCAATTAAGCAAGTAATTGGTAAAAGATGTAGATAGCAGTAGAATTTTAAAAATATATTTAGGTCAGAATTTTATAGGAAAAGGGCCTCATTAAACAAGCTTACAGCTAGACAGGGGGAATAAATTCTAGTGTTCTATACCACTGTAGAATGATTATACTTAACAATAATATATAGTTTCAAATAGCTAGAAGGAGAGTATTCAATGTTCCCAACACAAAGAAATGATAAACGTTTGAGATGATGGATATGCTAATTACCCTGATCTGATCACTGTATATCACATATATCAAAACATCACTAGGTACTCTATAAATGTGTACAATTATTATTTGTCAATTAAAAATAAAATTTAAAATAAATAGAATTGATAAAGAATTATCAAGGTGGTCTGGATAAAAAACTGTTTCATTGGGAAAAATAGTTGGCAAACTTGGCTATTCACTTGGAGGAAATGAAAGGAAATCTGAAAACCTAAATAAATTCCAGCAGGATTGAATATTTACTTATTTCGTCCCAAAACCTAAATTAACTTAAGAAAGATTGAAGAATTAAGTGTACTAAAAATAATTTTAAGAACTAACTGTTAGACTAAAATGTAGAAGAATGTTTTCCAATCTTTTTATAGAAAACACATTCTTCGGCCGGACACGGTGCCTCACGCCTGTAATCCCAGCACTTCTGGAGGCTGAGGCGGGTGAATCACCTGAGGTCAGGAGTTCGAGACCAACCTGGCCAACATGGTGAAACCACATCTCTACTAAAAATACAAAAATCAGCCGGGCATGGTGGCGTGCACCTGTAGTCCCAGGTACTCGGGAGGCTGAGGCAGGAGAATCACTTGAACCCAGGAGGAAGAGGGTGCAGTAAGCAGAGATTGCACCACTGCACTCCAGCCTGGGTGACAGGGCGTGACTCCGTCTCAAAACACAAACAAACAAACAAAACCACACATTCTTCACACAACCCTAAGTTTAAAATCCATAATGGGGCTGAGTGTCGTGGCTCATACCTGAAATCTCAGCACTTTGAGAGGCTAAGGAAGAAGGATCACTTGAGCCCAGGAGTTCAAGGCCAGTGTGAACAATATGTCAAGACCATGTCTCTGCAAAAAAATAAATTAAAAAATAATTAGCTGGGTGTGGTGGTGTGTGCCTATAGTCCCAGCCACCCAGGAGGCTGAGACGAGAGGATCATTTGAGCCCAGGATGGGGCTACAGTGAGCTATGATCATGGCACGGCACCCCAGCCTGGGCAACAGAATGAGACCCTGTCTCTAAATACAACCAAAAGTAAAAATGAATAAGTAAAATCCATAATGGAAAAGATTAACAGGTGTGATTTCATGAACATTTTAAACTTTTGTGCAGAAGAAAATAAGGCAAAAGTTTTAAAGATGAACTACAAATCATGAGCAAATACCTATAACAGGAGCGACAAAGACAAAAGAGTTCCTAAAACACAATTTTTAAGAAAAAGATGAACATTCTAATCAAAAAATTTAGGAAAATGACTTAAATAGTCAAGCTGGAAAAAAATACAAATGGTCAGTAAACCCCTGAAAAAATGCTTAAACTTACTGATAGTCAAACACAGGAAAATTAAAACAATAAGGCAAAAATTTTGCCTATCCATTTGGGAACATTAAAAAGATACTGTGGATAGAGTGATGAAACAGGCATTTCTGCACCTTACCAGTGAGTATAAATGGGTACAGGTTAGGAGGTCAATTTGGCCATGTCTAGAAAAACTCAACATATATAAACCTTTTGAAGCAGCACTTTCCTTTTAACTTAGAAAAGTTAAAAGTTAAATCCTGGTTTGCCTGGAATTCAGATGCGTGAAAGGAAGCTTAATAGAAGGGAAGTTTGAGCACAAATTGTGGGAGTTCAAAACTGCTATGATCTTGAGTTTGCTTTTCATTCTGTATGGTGTAGAATCTTGATGGTTTCTGAGGATGAACTGATGTGATATTTTCAGGATAGGTGGAATGCCAGTCAACTAGTTCTATTTCTAGAAGAATCATCTGGGGAATATGATTTTAAAACTTATTTTTACTTTTTAAGAAAATTATAATGAAAATACTATTCATATGTAAAGGGAAACATAAAGAATTAGTGGGTTTTGGTAGGTTTGAAACAATGAAGATTTATCAGTGTAACCATTGAATGAGAAGTCGGAGAAGTATGTTTTACTCCTATTTAAAACAGATCACCCAAGAAGAGTTTGTGACATCTTTAATCTGACCATTTATGTATAAAGGTCCCACAGAGCCTGTTCTGCAGGGGTTTTCCAGCAGGCCTGATCATTTGTGTTTCCATCCTTGGACTCCTGACTCTCCTTCGACACTGAGGACAATCATATTTGTCAGGAAGATAGCTTGTTTTTTCTTGTGTAATTTCAACTTTTATTTTAGCATCAGGGGGTACGTGTGCAGTTTTGTTATATGGGTATATTGTGTAATGTTGAGGTTTGGGGTACAAATGATCCCGTCACCAGGTAGTGAGTGAGCATAGTACCCAATAAGTAGCTGTTTTTTGTTTGTTTGTTTTGTTTTGTTTTGTTCTGTTTTTGAGACAGGGTCTCCCTCTCTCTCCCAGGCTGGAGTGCAGTGGCGCGATCTTGGCTCACTGCAACCTCCGCCTCCAGGGCTCAGGTGACTTTCCCACCTCAGCTCCCAAGTAGCTGGGACCACAGGTGCGTACCACCATGCCCAGCTAATTTTTGTATTTTTAGTAGAGATGGGGTTTCACCATGTTGCCCAGGCTGGTCTCGAACTCCTGAGCTCAAGCAATGCACCAGCCTCCGCTTCCCAAATTGCTGGGATTACAGGCTTGAGCCATCGCGCCCAGCCCAATAGGTAGCGCTTCAGCCCTCTCCCCCTCTCCCTCTCTCTCTGCTCTAGGAGTCCCCAGTGTTGATTGTTTCCATCTTTACGTTCATGTGTACCCAGTGCTTAGCTGCCACTGTAAGTGAGAACATGCAAATTAATGCAGGAACAGGAAGATAGGTTTGAAATGTACGTTCTTCCTTTTTCTGAGAAAAGAATTGTTTGTAAGGAACTCAGGTGGAGATCAAATTAACAATCATGATTTTATTAAAATCATGCCCCAAGCAACAAAAACTAACCGGCTCATGATCTAAGGGAAATACTTGATTCTTTGGGCTGAGAAATTTAGGGAAATAGTTAAAAAATTCGTTGTATTTAGAATTTAAATGTTACCTTTTCATTTTCTGCAATTGTGAAATGAAAATAAATTCCACTTAACTTACACAATTGCCAAAATAATCAAATCAAAACTTATTAAAAACACTTTGTAAATTAGAAGGAATTATTTTATTTCTTTTAATTAGGTAGCTATCACCTCTCTGGAGTTCTGTTCAGGTACTTTTTTATTTTTAAAAGCAAACAATTCAAGAAGCTCAAATTATCTGGACTTTACCTACTTTAAATGAAGTCAAGTAGAGGAGATGAGAAATAAGCCCTACCTAGGAATTACAGGAAGACTGGGTCCTGTTACTAAGCTGAAATCTTGGCTAGAAGAAAGAGCTTGGCATCTTTTGCGGAATGCCATTAATCATCTTTTAAGGGCTTCATGGTCACTCCTGCTATACCGAACCACAAGCGGCTGGGTCTTCAGTTACAAGGGTTTGGAATAGAGCCAACCCATGAGGCTTGCAGCTAAGCCTTTTACAGTGGAAACGAGCTGGACTGGTCTTCTGTGGGAAATGAATCCTACTAGAATGCCAGAAGGCATACTGAGCAATGAGCTAAAAACAACAAATCATCCTGAGTGAAGCTCTTCTCAGATGCAAAGCGCAGACTAAATAGAAAAACAGAATCCTCGTTAGGAAGGAGCAGACAGCTGTGCTAGGCTGAAGGCACCAGCAGCAGGAGAAATACTCTTGAGCTGAATGAAGTTCTAATGAGTGGCAAAGGAAACACAAACTTATAAGCACATATCTCAATTCTGGGATGGAAAAGGATCAGATTTGGAGGTAGGGTCACAAACTGGACTCTGAAGGCACAACCAGTCAATGAAACATAGGAGAGTTAAAATAGGGATCCTGGAACAGAGATTCTCGGTAACCAGAAGTTCCCAAAAGTGGGTCTGGATTGTGGCTTTTGGAGTTTCTCTTGAGGTGTGGAGCTACTATGTGTGATAATCCTGCATGAGCATATTGTTAACAGCCAGTGCATGGCACAATGCCTGGGAAATTGGAGGCTGTCAGTATACGGTAGTTGAACAAATGCAAGTTTAGCACAGATTGGTGAAGTGTCCTGGGGGAGGAGTGACTGAGCCAAGTAATTCTTTTTGTTGCTTCCAGACTTACAAGTCCAGAATTCTTAAAAATTATACCTCTGTTCTGAACCCAATAATTAAATTCTTAGTAGGTTCTTAGCTCATCTCAAAAGATGTTAAAGAATTTAATAACCAGTTTGAGGAGAAAACAAGAATAAAGATGAGTAGAAATCGGTAATCTTTCCAGGCTTAGGTTTGGTGACTGCCAGACATTGATAAAAGAACAATTAAATAAGTAATCTACAAATAGAATGTGGGGAATGGGCATGTAATAATGAAACCTGAATGTGAATAGATCTGAGCTCACTTTATTTTTCCTCTTACTGTATAAAGGAGGAAACCGAGCCCACAGAGTTTTAACTTTCACAAATCCTCACGGAAGAGGTACAAACATGAGGTTACAGTGTAATTCATCCAGACCTCTTCCTGCTGTGTTTATAAACATGAATGTGCTAAAACATGTGAAAATATAAAACGTGTTTACAATTTTACTGTGCACACATATATATAGACCTTCCCTGAGATTTTAAATGACTTTAAATTACTGTCCTTCCAGAGGAAGTTTGTCTCGCTCATATAACTTACCAAACCTCCAACCATTTTTCCAAAGATGGAAGTGGCTATCTTTTCTGTCCTCCCACCTATTTTCTCAGCTGTCTTCTCCTCTGTCTCTGTTCAGTTACAGAAACACACAGGAGCTTTTCTCAAAGGCAAGTGGCCCAACACTTCCTAGAAAAGATAGATGCCAATGAAAATGTTATCAAAAACTGATAAAATGAGAGATAAAGCAAAACCAAGGTTTTACAGGTCACCTGCCTAATTCTTTTTGAGTCATGATTTCTTTTAGATCCTATGTGGAGACCTGCTCTTTTCATCAATGTGTGTGTGCGCATGGGCGCATGTGAGGCCAAGACGGACAGGAAAGAGACAGCTCTACTGGGAATTCTGTTTATAGAGAAAGAAACATAATCCCATAAATATTGATGCCAGAGAAACAGCGCAGAGTTCAACTGTGCCTAAGATTAGATTGTTGCCAAGAATGCTGGAAAGTATAGGTGTGAGCAGTTTCAACTAAGCCTGCTGTTGATAAGGAGACAGCTGTTGGCATAAATAAATGATATTTGGAGTCCGTAAGTATATAACTGAAAGAATAGGGAGACAACAGCCAGCCCTCTCCAGAGGCATAATAGCACGTTCTAATGATTGTTCCCTGTAAACTGAAGGACAGGGAATGAATTCACTGAATGAATTCAAGGAAGTGCGGAGGGGGCGTCCCACCATGGCCAAGCCTTCCCACGGAAGCTGGTGCCCACACAGCTGCAGCTCAGGCATCACTGGCCCCAGCAGCCACAGCACAAGGTGTGATGGAAACATGTCATGCTCTAATGACAACAACAGCTCCTCATCTGTGGCAAGGACACAAGGATTCTGAGAATTTCTAAATAATCAGGACCATTCCGGCTTGGAAGGGAAGCGATGAAAATACCATGGGGTTTATGTTTACTAAAGGCGAAGTTCAGAGGGATTTATGATGACCCTGCACACACGCAAAGCAATCCCTGACATCCTTGCTGCTGTGGACCTTCCTTTGAGTCAGATAATTCAATTACTGTAAAAATGTACTTTATTGCTTCAAAGCTGGGATCCCTCCATTTCCAGAGTGATGGCCATCAGTTAACCCAAGTGCACTCAGAGAAGTCAAATTCTGACACAATCCAGCAAGTAACTATAAAAACTGATGGTAAGGTTGAAATACTAGGCACCACTCTGGGTACCTTACTTGCAAAGTACTCATTCAATTCTCCTAAGAACCTGTGAATTAAATACTATTTTCCTTGTATTCTTGATGACTAAACCAAAGTATAGAAAATCTGAGACAATTCCAAAGGGCATCCAGTTGATAAATGTCAAAGCTGGGAACAGGACCCTGGCTAGTACAGCTACAGAGCCCATTTTGACCATGTGCCTTGAGATTTCATTTTTTCCCACCTTTGACTAGTTGTCAAATATAGGATGTCCAGTTAAATTTGAATTTCAGATAAGACACAAATAATTTTAGACAACAAATAATGTTGCAAATATTGCACAAGGCATACTTAACTAAAAAAATATTGTTTATTTGAAATTCAAAATTTTGAGGGTACCTTGTATTTTTACTTCCTAAATCTTCCAACGGTATCCCAGAGGGAGCTATATGCACCAAGGAAGCAAAGAAAAAAAGTTTGATTCGCTTGAGCTTTGGTTTCAAATCCCAGAGTAGAACTCCTATCACACGACCAGGCTAGGTGGAGAAATCTTTATTTTTTTATTTTATTTTTATTTTTTTAAGGAGGAGGGGGCGGAGTGGAGGCCACAGGTGCCACAACCTCTCCCTCAGCCGCTTTCCCCTGGAGAAATCGTTTTTCCTATACTTAAAACAGTCTAGAATAACAGCTCTCAAACCTGCCTGGATGTGAGCATTGCTTGTGTAGCTTTAATAATACACATGGGCTGCCCTGGCATGGTGGCTGATGCCTGTAGTCCCACTTTGGAAGCTGAGGTGGGAGAATTGCTTAAGCCCAGGAGTTTAAGACCAGCTTGGACAATATAGTGAAACCTTGTCTCTACAAAAAAAATTAAAAGAATTAGCCTGTAGTCTCAGCTACTCGGCAGGCTGAGGTGGGAGGATCACTTGTAACCAGGAGGTCAAGGCTGCAGTGAGCCATGACTACACCACTGCACCTCCAGCCTGGGTGACAGAGCAAGAACATGTCTCGATAATAATAATTATAATTATAATATACATAGCTGGGCCTGACCTGTCCAAGATTTAGTAGGTTTAGGGTGAGACGGGGACACCCACATTTTCTAATGAGCTCCTAAATGTTTTCTCCTTTCCTTCTCTTCCCTCCCTTCCTCACTTGTCTGAAATTCTGATGCTAAGTTACAGTTTACCATCTGTAGCAAGTCCAAGGATGCCAGAATATATCTCTAGGGTGGGAGAAGAGGGAATAAAGAGGTGGAGTCTATGAGAGAAGGCTTTCCCACAATGCCCAGAGCTGTCCTCAGGCTTTCTCAAGCTGCCTTTACAGCCTCAGGCCTGGAGTACATGTATGAGGAAGATTTTTCAAGGAGAGAGAGAGAGAGAGAGAGAGAGAGAGAGAGAGACAGAGAGAGAGAGAGAGAGAAGAGAGAGAGAGAGACAGAGAGACAGAGAGAGTCAGACAGAGAGAGAGAGAGAGAGAGAGAAGAGAGAGAGAGACACAGAGTGAGCAGAGAGCAGTATGCAGGCCAGGTCTCCCATTTGGAAACAGACTGGCACAAAGAGGCAGAACGGATCACTCTGCAGGCACCAAAACTGTTATCCCATTTGAAAGCTCCAGCACTATAAACTGTGGTCTAAATAGTTCCTGGGAATTCAAATTAAAAAATCCTTCCCTAGAGGTGAAGAAAAAGTGGCCGGGCATGGTGGCTTATGCCTGTAATCCCAGTATTTTGGGAGTCCGAAGCAGGCGGATCACTTGAGGTCTGGAGTTTGAGACCAGCCTGACCAACATGGTGACATCCCATCTCGACTAAAAATACAAAAATTAGCCAGGCGTTGTGATGCACGCCTGTAATGCCAGCTACTCATGAGGCTGAGGCAGGAGAATCGCTTGAACCCGGAAGGTGAAGGTTGCAGTGAGCCGAGATCATGCCACTGCACTCCAGCCTGGGCAACAGAGAGAAACTCCATCTCAAAAAAAAAGAGTGAAGAAAAAGTGGAAAAGGGGCTGGAAGGGGCACAACCCCCACTCTGCAATGTGACTGTGCTTCATGAGGGTATTGCAAAATCAGTTTAGTAGAATATAGCAATTTACTAATAAAATGAAATAAAAACAAGTAGAAAATATCCAAGGTACACACACACACACACACACACACACACACACACACACACACATATTCATGTTATCACATATCTTTCTTTCTATGGGATCCTGTCAAGAAAGTTTGTAAAACACTGCTCGAGAGAAAAATATTCATCACTTTTAGAAAGCAGAAAGCGCAGGCGGGAAGGAATAGAACTCACAGCAGATAAGCTGTGGGGAAACAAGACCCTGAAGAATAATCTAGAGCCCAGGCTGCTGCCAAAGAATTTTAAAGCAATAGATTTTCAAGGAGTCTTTGGCAAACAGGAAGGTGGGGCATAAGAGGACCATTCATCCGAAAGGAAAAGGTAAATTCAAAAGCTGTACATGTCACGTTGCCTATTTTTCATGCTCCCCTAGAAAGCCCTAGAAAAGGTCTCTGCTGAGACATAGGCCACCTCTATGGTAGTTCTTCCCTGTCTCTAATGCCTTTTCTCGGCTTTTTAGATTAGAGGGCAGTGTGGGGTGGCACTGGAGAAATAGCAGGGTTTGTATGAAGTTTAAGCACACCCAGGAAGCAAGGTAAGGGCTGGATGGAGAGCCCTACTCTGTGTACTCTGGACTGCTAAGCAAGGACACTTATTCCACTGGAGGACTCTTGAGTTTGGGAATCAAACTTTCTCATCTTCTCCTGTGAGATGTAAAAGAAACATTGAGAGGCCAGAAGAAGGTATTCCTTTAAGTTCTATCAATGCTGTGGAGTAAAACTTAGCAATGATGTAACCGTTCTGTGTTGAGCTACCCAATATGGTAGCCCCTGGCCACATGTGGCCCCTGAGCACTGGAAATGTGGTCAATGTGACTGAGCAACTGAATTTTAAATTTAATTTAATTTTAACTGTAATTGAAATTTAGATAGCCACACATGGCTAATGGCTACTGTATTAGACAGAACAATTCTAACATTTTGTG